>NC_000017.11:10491111-10794141 GCF_000001405.40 Homo sapiens | reverse complement strand
CAAAATCACTCTGAAAAATTCCTTGGGAAGACATTGTGTTGGAGGCCACATGACTTCTCTTAATGAGACCAGCATAGTTGTTTTGTTTTGTTTTAATTCTAGAAGTGGAATCATTTTCTGTTTTCTTTGGCTGGGTACCAAATGTAATCGTTGGCTCTCACTTAGTAGAAGCCACATTGTTTAAAATATGCAAATCTTAAAAAACTAGGATCACACTTAGGCCAGAGCACATGTTCACGTCTAAGAGAGACTGAAGGAGCTGAGAGTGGCTGAGCAGCAGATTCCGACCTTACATGTCACACTCACTCTAGGGAATTTCCCACACTATTTACATCGTCCTCTCTCACACTTGGGCTGTTAGTCTGCAAGTTAAATGCATATATGGTGGTTCTCCATATAGAGCATTTGTTCGACCCAATTAGAGGCCATGTTGCTTGGTAGAATGACTATAGAATAAATCTGTGATAATAGGAGTAAGGGGTGAATTAAATGCAGTCCCCGCTGATTACTTACTAGTCTTTAGATTAGCCTGCAGGAAGAAAAGGGAGGCCCACAGAGGAGGATTTCCTGGAATTTATCATTGACCACCCAGCAACCACATTTAAGAACTGAAACTGAGAGGGCCACCTAGACAGTGCATGTGGAAATTGCAGGGCAATTGCTCCAGGGCAAGGCTTGCTCCGTACCTGCATCTACAAGGATACCACTCAGAGAGACTCCTTACGGTACAGAATTGGAGGACATGAGCCCTGAAGCCATCATTTTTTGTTTTTGTTTTTTTGAGAAGGAGTTTCGTTCTTTCACCCAGGCTGAAGTTGAGTGGCGCAATCCTGGCTCACTGCAACCTCCGCCTTCTGATTTCAAACGATTCTCCTGCCTCAGTCTCCCGAGTAGCTGGGATTACAGGCGCCCACCACCATGCCTGGTTAATTTTTTTATTTTTAGTAGAGACAGGGTTTCACCATGTTGGCCAGACTGGTCTCGAACTCGTGACCTTGTGATCCGCCTGCCTCAGCCTCCCAAAGTGCTGGGATTACATCTTAAAAACCGTGGAGCCATGCTTCTCCAACTGTATGCAGATCACTTGGGGATCTTGTTCAATGCACATTCACTGTGGCTCATGCTTGTAATCCCAGCACTTTAAGAGGCCAATGTTGGTGGATCACTTGAGTCCAGGAGTTTGAGACCAGCATGGGCAACATGTTGAAATCCAGTCTGTATAAAAAATGCAAGAATTAACTGGGCATGGTGGCACATGCCTTTAATCCCAGCTACTTGGGAAGCTGAGGCGGAAGGATCACCGGAACCTGGGGTAGTTGAGGCTGCAGTGAACTGTGATTGTGTCACTGCACTCCACCTGGGTGACAGAGTGAGATCCTGACTCAAAAAATAAAATAAAAAAAATATAGAGAGATTCAGATTCAGTAGGTCTGGGGAGGGGCCTGAGACTCCGCATTTCTAACAAGCTCCCAGGCCATGCTGCTGCTACTGGTTCCTGAGACACTTTGAAGAGAGAGGCTCTCAAGCAACCCCATCATTTCAGGGATGGGGAAACTGAAACCGCAGGTAAAGCGGCTTCACCAAGTTCAAGCAACTGAAAAGTGACAGATCCAGGTCTGGAGCCCAGGTCTCCAGGCTGCCAGTAAAGGCCTCTTTCCTCTCCATAAATGGCTGACTGGCTTCTCCCAAGCCCTGCTGAGCCTCAGGCAGAACAAGCAAGCGAGCAGGTCAGCAGCTGTGGAAGTGAGGCACGCTCATACTGCAGAGTCATGCACCTTTCCCCCTCGGGCCTCACCCTGGCTGTGCCGCGTGCCCAGGAAGGAACAGGCCTCCACGCTGCTCTGCGTCACTTCAGATACCACAGCACTGAGCCCATGGGTGCCCCTCACACAGGGCAGGGAGGGAGGAGGAAATAGGAGGGGCCACAATGCCACCAGGCAGCTCCACATTGAGCCGGACTACATCTGATCTGGACTTGTCCTCCCAGAAAGCTCTCCACCAAAGGGCTGGGCATGGTGAGCCTCCTACTGTTCCCCAGGCCCACCTCATGGCCCCTCCTCCTGTTCATTCCCTCTAGAGGCAATTGGGCCTTTTCAGTGACCTGAACTCTGTCCACCCTGCCACTTACAGGCTGAGTGACTATAGGTAGCCCCCTCCTATTAGGAGGTAATAATAATGACATCACAATCACAAGTGATCCAGCACCAGTCTTCAGGACTTCTGCAGCCTCCTGAATTGGCAAATACCTTAGAAGGTATCATGCCTCATGTCTGTAATCCCAGCACTTTGGGAGGCTGAGGCAGGTGGATCACCTGAGGTCGGGAGTTCGAGACCAGCCTGACCAACGTGGAGAAGCCCCTTCTCTACTAAAAATACAAAATTAGCCCGGTATAGTGGTGCATTCCTGTAATCCCAGCTACTCCGGAGGTTGAGGCAGGAGAATCGCTTGAACCCGGGAGGCAGAGGTTGTGGTGAGCCAAGATCGCATCATTGCACTCCTACAGCAAAACTCCGTCTCAAAAAAAAAAAAAAATCAAAATGTAGAGCTGTAAATCTTAGGCCATCACCTCCTGATTCTAGGGCTATAAACCTGTTGTTTTCAAAGCTATTTAAGGTAAGGTTTGCCATAATGATCAAGTCCACATTTCTCACAACCTCATCCCCATGGCTTATTGCAGAGATGACCAACAGGACCCACAAAACCAGGGGAAGGCGGTCATACTAGGTGGAAGGTCAGCCCACCCCCCAATCAGTAGCCTCGAAGCCCCTCAGATTGAACTCATCTCTCAGTGAAATTACAGTACAATTGAGGAAGGGGAGCTTATCCTGGCTGGATCACAAGCTGACCGCCACCGTTGAGGCAGGCTCAGAAATGTATTTGCATAAAGGATCGGAGAGCCTCCTGGGTAAAAACAAACCCTAAGGGTACAGGGAGTCAGGCAAACAGGCTTGGCCTAGTAGCAGAAACTTCACACGGATATGTTCAGCTTCCTTTACCTTCCATCTGTGTTTGTTCTCAGAGAAAAAGGGTTGCAAAAAGGAATAGAATTGCGGGGGAAACATACTCTCTATGATACTGGGATATACATCTCAGCACTTGAAGGCATCCAGCATACACTTGTGTTTGTTCCTGGTAGACAGAGTAATAATCTGGCAGAAAAATAAAACAATAGATGCCAACTAATAGCTGACTGAACTTGTTTAAGAGCTGAATCAGTTCTTCCAAGACTCCCAGAAGTTTCTTGGCAGGGCAGGCACACAAGGGGAATAGGCGCTAGCCAGGAAAACAAGGATAACAAAAAAGCCATTTCTTGTCAGGGGTATTGGGAAGAAAGGCTCAGAATACCAGAAGCTGAATATGAATCTGGGAATACCACAGCTTTGCTGTGTGAGCCAGTGCTATGCACAGATCCAAGGACTAAACAAAGGGAATGGCCAGAAGCAAGTGCCTGTGACTTTACAGTAGCCACATGGTTGCAGGCTTACGTGTGTTCCTTTATTCAACAGATGGTCACCTTGGGCCTCATTCCAGCCTGGGTCCCAAAGACTGCCTCAACCGGAACTTGGAAGGTTCCTTAGCATTTGACACTGGTAACTTTTAGAAAAGGAAGGGAGAAGTAAGGTACAGATTCCCACTGGAGCCACCCTGCCATCAGACATCTCTGCCATACCCCATACTGCACTGGTCTGTGTGTACCCAAACCCCCCCAAGTCAGCATGCAAATAATTTGCATGCCATTTCTACACACTATTTTATAAGTTAACACCTTAAATGCCGAATTTGGCCTGCCTCTGCTTTCCAAGTTTCGGCACCCAGTTTACTATTATCTATTTCTTTTCTTTCCTTTCTTGTTTTTCTTTCTTCAAACTAGCTGTGCCTGCACCAGCCCCAGCCCTCGAGAACAGCTCTTACCTATTTCACCCAGTTCACTTCCAGCCAAAGCCACAGGCTTATCCCACAGTGAAAAGGACAGAGGCCCTCCATCAAAGCTTTTTTCTGTGTTGGGCATATACCCAACACACACAGACTCAGCTTGGATGTCCTCTCACCCCTTGACCCCATCTTTCTGACTAATCCCTTCCACTCCGCATCAATCTGGGGCTCTGTGACCCTCCCTTCCCAAGTTCACATCTACCTCCCTGGCTGCAGCTATTCAGAATCTGAACTCTGACCCCTGCCCAGGACCTCTCACTCTGAAGAAGAGTCCAGGGCTACAACACCCAACACCAGACCTCTGTAGCTCCCTGGGAACAATAGAGCAGTGATTCTCAAAGTGCAGTCCCTGGACCAGCAGCCTCAGCCTCCCCTAGGAGCTTGTTAGAAATGCAAAGACTTCAGCACTCCGTCGAGTAACAAACTCATCCCAGTTTCCCCAGGACTTTCTTGGTTTCAGTATTGAAAATTCCACATCTTGAGAACCCTGATCAGTCCTGGGCAAACCAGGCTGGCTGGTCATACTAACTGTATCCTAGACCTGCTAACGGAGCAGCAACGGGGGTAGGGGTCAGCAATGGGTATTCAACAAGCCCTCCAGGGGATTCTGATGCCCGCTCAAGTCTTATAACTTCACCTTAAAGGGTTTTTGATGCTGAACTTGTGCCTGCCTGAGGGCTGCCCTCTGGGTGAACCCCTCTTGTCCATCTTCTCTCTGGGCACAGGAAAACAAACCATGTCATTTGGAGTCCTCCCAGACTGCACCAGCCCCAAGCAGCTCTGTCAGCTGTGAAGAACCTCAAGTCCTGTCCAGCTGATACCGTCTTAAGTCACCTGCAACAGGTGTCCTCACCAACTAGGGGGGTGCACTCATTTTTCCTCCCATCTCTTTCACATTTCAATTTTCAAGGAAATCGAGTTTCCCTTTGTTTGGGGAAAAAGTCATGTGGGATGGGGGAGCTTGCTGGGCCTGGTGTACAAAAAAGGAGGGAAAAGGAAGGAGAGGGGTCTCGGTGGGGTGGGGGAAGGGTGAAAGGTATTGAGGGAATGACGTTGATGGAAGGAGGATTAAAAGAAGGCTGGGATGGAGAACAGCAGTGGCAAAGCCATGGAAGAGAGAAAGTGAGAAATGGGAAAAGGTTTCTCAAAGTGTGGTTCCAGTGGACCAGCCGCGGCAGCAGCCCCTGGAACCTTGTAAGACATACAGATTGTCAGTCTCACCGCAGACCTACTTAATCAGAAACTCTGGGATTGGGTCCCTCTGTGTCTGCAGTTTAAAAAGTCTCCCCGGCCAGGCACAGTGGCTCACGCCTGTAATCCCAGCACTTTGGGAGGCCGAGGCGGGCAGATCACGAAGTCAGGAGATGGAGACCATCCTGGCTAACACGATGAAACCCTATCTCTACTAAAAATACAAAACATTAGCCGGGCGTGGTGGCGCACGCCTGTAATCCCAGCTACTCAGGAGGCTGAGGCAGGAGAATCGCTTGAACCTGGGAGACAGAGGTTGCAGTGAGCCGAAATCACACCACTGCACTATAGCCTGGTGACGGAGCGAGACTCCGCCTCACAAAAAAAAAAAAAAAAAAGGCTTCCCAGTGATTCTGATGACAGCTATGGTCTGAGAACCACTGGGCAAAACAATTGTATTTCTTTAAGCAAGCATCCTACTCCCCTTGAGGCTGGGTTTTCTCGTTTTCAAATTTCTGCTGGTCATAGTGGCTCAGGAGAGAGATGGGGATTCTTCTAATGTGGCTCTCAAATAACACCTCTTGCTGCTGGCCTAAAAACTTCCTGAGTCACACCTGGGGACAAATGGCTGTGATATCTGCCTTTCCCTCCATGGCTCTCGCTGTGCCATTGGTCCCGCCAGCCTAGGGCAGCTCTAGACTGGGCTGCCTCTGGTGCTGTGTCATTTCCAAATCTAGTCAATATCAAAACCCTCCTTTATAGTTTTATCTCCTCTCTCCCTTGTCTTGACATAGGTTGTCTGCCAAAGAGACTGTAATCATTAAGGAATAATTCATTCATTTCCCCATGATTTATTAATCAAACATATCCATAACCCCATAACTGGGTATACAAAAAGCATAAAACAAATGTATTATGATTTCCATTAGAGTTTTTGAAACATTTAAAACAATCCATTACAATTTCCATAAACCCCTGGGGATCTGGGAGGAACAACTGAAACCAGAGATCCAGATCTCAAAGGCCTGTGTGAACAAAGGTAGCAAAAGACCCAATCAACTAAATGCCTGTTGGCGCTTGTCACTGTCCCCCAACCCTCAGCTACTCAGGACTTTGTCCCCTTTCACAAACCCCACCCCTTCCCTTTTCTGGGAATCCCCAAGTGGCTTCTCATGTGGGCTCACAAACACCCCCAGTACTAACTCAGTGGGGTCTGTGGCTGGCTGCTGCTTTGCCTGTCCCCAACTGCTCAGCCTTTCCCAACCTGGCAGCTCCTACTAGACCCCACCTCCACCTCCTGCAAAATAGGGCTTCATTTTTCACCATTAAATCCACCAGAAAATGCCAGACTGCATGGCAGTGTGGCAGAGTAGGGAGGCAAGGCCTGGTGCCCCAGCGGTCCCCTCTGTCACAGCAATCTCAGAGCCATGCTGCTTGGGCCACAGTATGATGCAAGGTGCTAGAAAATTATATTTCCCGTGTCCACCCGCAGGGCCCTGCTCACACAGGAATTCATGGCAGAATGGAGCTGGGAGGCAGATGGAGCGATGGAGATCATATGCTCAGGATCCCTCTCCCCCTCTCATGACAAAGGCTTTGCCCCTGCTTCTGGCTGGAGGGACCTGCCCTCTCCTTGCTTGGGACAGTTGTTAACCAACACATCTTAATGACAGAGGAGAGAAGAATCAAGACCTGGGGATGGAGCTGGGAGAGGCCAGCCTCGAACAAAGAATATCTTGAAAGCCTCTTTTTATCATTAAAGTGTGTATGAATGTTACCTTTTACCTCATCATACACTTGTGCTTGTTCACTGTGTTTTAAATGTCCTCAGATCTTCAAGTATAATGTCTTCGTTCTACCTGCGGGTTTAACTTTCCTCCGGCACAGCGATGTGGACCCCTAGACAGCCACACAGCACAGCTGAGAAGGAATTCTCATGGCTGGCAGCAATTCTCTGTCATAGGTTGGGAGGCTCTTGATTAATACGTTTCAAATTAGTCAGGGCTTAAGATCAAGATGCACTACTCTTTATTTTATTTTATTTTATTTTATATTTTATTTATTTATTTATTTTGAGATGGAGTCTCGCTCTGTCACCCAGGCTGGAGTGCAGTGGCGTGATCTTGGCTCACCGCAACCTCCACCTCCCGGATTCAAGCAATTCTCCTGCCTCAGCCTCACAAGTAGCTGGGATTACAGGCACCCGCCACCATGCCCTGCTAATTTTTGTAATTTTAGTAGAGGCGGGGTTTCATCAGGTTGGTCAGGCTGGTCTTGAACTCCTGACCTCCAGTGATCCACCTGCTTTGGCGTTCCAAAGTGCTGGGATTACAGGCGTGAGCCACCACGCCCAGCCGAGGCACCACACTTATGCAAGCTTCACATGAGAAAGCTGAGATGTACAATGACTCTGGGGTGTAAAATGACTCACCCGAGGCCACAGGGCTGGACTGGAACACACACTTTCTGACTCCTGACCTACTGCTCTTTCTGCCATTCCGTTCTCTCTCTCTGAGTGAAAGCAAAAGTCTGGTGGTGAAACAAGGACCCCCTCTACCACTAAGCCAAAGCACCTGGTCAGCATAACAGGGGAATGAGGGTGTGTGCCTGGGCAGCCTCTGTGTACCTCTTCTATGGAATGGGAACATTGATGCCAGAACTATAGACTCCAGAGGATGGCTGTGAGATGTCTGCTGGGTAGTAACAGCCATACAAGGCTTTGGAAACGTATAAGTGTGGAACAACGTGGGTTGTGGCTCTTGATTCCCCCGCTGGGAAGGCTCAGGTGAAGCTTTGCTCATTCTAACCTTCTCCCTGCTCTTGCCCTGTTTACCGCACTTCAGCAAACACACATGGTGGAGTGTGGGGAGCTCAGGGAAGCCAACTCTGTAACAAGGAGGGCAAACACCTGGCCCATGAACCAGAGCCACCTCCACACACTCCAATGCCAATGTAAATCATCAACATAGGATCTTATAACTGTACTTCTGGGCACCGGCATGGTCTCCATCCATGACTGCAGAAGCCACCACCAGGCCGCTGAAATTGGCTCCAGAGGCCGGGCGCGGTGGCTCACGCCTGTAATCCCAGCACTGGGAGGCCGAGGCAGGTGGATCACCCGAGGTCAGGATTTCGAGATCGGCCTGACCAACATGGAGAAACCCCGTCTCTAGTAAAAATACAAAATTAGCCAGGCATGGTGGCCCATGCCTGTAATCCCAGCTACTTGGGAGGCTGAGGCAGGAAAATTGCTTGAACCCAGGAGGTGGAGGTTGCAGTGAGCCGAGATCATGCCATTGCACTCCAGCCTGGGCAACAAGAGCAAAACTCTGTCTCAACAAAAAAAAAAAAAAAAAAGGAAAAAAAAAAAAAGAAATTGGCTCCAGAGATGAAATCATTTATCTTCGCTATTTCTTAGAGTTCAAAAAAGCCAATTCTCAGGTGTCAATTATGTAGGTGAACTTAGACCAGCTGCCATAGCGAGGGAACACCTACAAATCACTCCTCCCACTGTAGCACAAGTGATTCAAACTGGGAAGAGCCCTGATTAGTTTGAAACTTATTAATCAATGTAGTCCTACATTCCAGGCATAAGGCTAGTATTTGTACTGTCCTTCATTCCAAATTCTTCTTGGTCTACCTTACATGGGGAAAGTCTTTGTGCTTTATAAGCATAACTTTTGAAATGGGCTTGGTAGACCCTGTATTAAAGTTAAAAAAAAAATACCATTTTCCCCATAAGCCAAAGAGGCTTAAAAAGAGAACTCAACTCAGAGAAGATCTAGACATGGAATTAAAGGGTAAAAGCATGAAAGGGTAATTAAAGAGGTGGATTGTTTGAAACGGGCAGTTAATTGCTTCAAACCTGAACCAAACAGGCAAGTTGAGTGGCTCAGGGTTGTGTGACTGTAACTTACCTTATCTATAAATAGATCCTACTCTGTATTATAAATAGCTTTACACTTGAAGAGCTTCTGAATGTGCCATACTAGAGCAGATGGGACTGGGGGCCAAACTGACGGACGTGGCAAAGGAACCAGATCACAAATCCAGAGTCCTACCCTCCCTCCATACATACACATACTTCCAATTTCCTAAATATTGAAGGCAGAGTAAGAGACATGCAAGAGACATCAGTGGAACTCCAGCAACAGGGGATTTAATTTGGAGTGTAGTGAGGACTTAGCATAACATAAAACCCCGAAGTTTGGAGGAAATCTCCACAAAGTTAAATGACAATAGCTGACTTGTCCCTCTTGCAAAGTGTAATGCAGTTTCCCCTCATTAATGCAAACACACACACACACACACACACACACACACACACACACCCCTGTGGTTCCTCTCCCCTTGCTGGTAACCCTCCACCTTGATATAACCATCAACTGAGGAAAGAGAATGTTTCGTACTAGAAGTCAGACCCGGGTTTCTGTTTCAGCTCTGCAACTTGCTGGCCAAATGACCTTGTCACTATACCTTCCTCCAAGGCTCCAATTTCATCTGTAAAATGGGCTCTTATAACTATCAAGAGATACAATACATACAATAATAACTAACATCTACTGAGGGCTTACCATGTGCCAAAATAATTTATTCTTTATCGTAACCTTACTTGTCACCAATTGTAATCTCAGACAAATTTCTTAACTTCTCTGGGTTATCTTTTTATGATAGATAAGATATTACAGTAGTGACAAGTAGAGATGGAACTGGAAACAATCAATCTGACTCCAGAGCACTTTGAAATCTATAAAGAAGACTACAGTTGTAGGCCAAAGATGGAAGGATGTCTGAAGTCAGCACTTCTGAAATTGTGGCCAGAGTACCTCACTGAAATGCAGATTATTTTCTCCCTCTCCAGACACCATATTGCTGTGTGGGAGCATCTGCATTTTAATAAGCCTCATCAAGCGATTCTTATATAGAGCAACTCCAGAACTTCTGAATTACGATTAGACCCTAAAGAGTCACTTCTGGCTAAGATGGAATAACAAAGACTGGATTTATGCTCCTGCCTGAAATAACAAAAAATAAATTAACAAACAAGACATATAAAATGATAGTTTACAAAAGTGTGGAGGCTGGGCATGGTGGCTCACGCCTGTAACCCCAGCACTTTGGGAGGCTGAGGTGGGCAGATCACCTGAGGTTGGGAGTTCGAGACCAGCTTGACAAACGTGGAGAAACCCCGTCTCTACTAAAAATACAAAATTAGCCTGGCATGGTGGCGCATGCCTGTAATCCCAGCTACTTGGGAGGCTGAGGCAGGAGAATCACTTGAACCTAGGAGGTGGAGATTGCAGTGAGGCGCGATCGCGCCATTGCACTCCAGCCTGGGCAACAAGAGTGAAACTCTGTCTCAAAAAAAAAAAAAAAGTGTGGACATCAGGCAATGAAATACAGTGATAAATGAAAGATGGGAAAAAAGAGATAAGCCCAACCGTTGCCCCAGCTTATGGCATTAGAGAGTTTCTAGACCACGGTATAAGGAAGGGGAACATAAATGGAGGCTGGAAGACTCCCCGAGTTAGAAGGAAGTGATAGTCCAGAGAGAAGAAATCAGCTACGGTCTGAAGGGCAAAATATCAGATAGGAGGAGAGAGCTGCACAGACAGAAATCTGCAGAGAATTCCAAAAGATTGTTCAGCAGAGTACTGATTGGCATGTGTGTGTGAGGAAACTACCCAAGGCTGGGAAAAGAACCATGGAAACGACTGGAGGGGAGAGTGGAAGGTGTTCAGCAGGAGTAGGAAGGATGCCTGGTCCAACAAAACACTATAAAAACCCACGTGATACATGCATTAAGTGAAGTACTCAGTACTTAGTAGTGCAGAATAATTACCTCTACACTAAATGCTACTCTAGTATAGTAAGTCTAAAAACAACTCCCCACCCAAAGGATTAAACTATTTCCAAGTAATTTAACTGTGTCCCAGGACAAAGCTCCAAGATGTTTACAGAAACACAAAAATATCTAGCATCACCAAACAAGTTAAAATTCACAATGTCTGGCAACCAAAAAAAGATTACCAAGCATGCAAAGAAGCAGGAAAATGTGACCCATAATGAGAAGGAAAATCAACCACAAGAACCTGAAGCAAACTATACTCAGGTACATCATAATGAAATTGTTCAAAACAAATAAAGGGAGAAACTTGAAAGCACCAGAGAAAGACAGAAAGACATGCTACAGAGGAACACAGATAAGAATGGCAATGTATTTCTCATCAAAAACAATGTAAAAAAGAAGACAATGTAGCAATATCTTTAAAGTACTGGGGAAAAAAATGACAACCAAAATTTCTTTACCCAGCAAATATATTTTTCAAAACCAAAGGCAAAATAAAGATTTCTCAGATATTCAAAAACTAGAACAATTCATCACTAGCAGCCCCATGCTACAGAAAATAATAAAGGAATTTCCTCTGGCAGAAGTAAAATTACAGATGGAGATACAGATCTACACAAAGTAATGAAGAATAGCCAAAGGGTAACTTCTTGGATAAATACATAAGACTTTTCCTTATTATTTAAATCTCTTTAAAAGATAAGTAGATGTTTAAACAAAAATAAGAATAGTATATTGTGGTACTTATAATATATGCATAAACCCTTCTATATCTACATCTATATCTATATATACATCCTAAATAAGTGAAAACTAAATAACACACTTTTATGAATTCATGAGTCAAAGAAGAAATAAATAAGAAATTAGAGAAATTGGAAAGTATTTTGAATTAAATAAAAATGATACACAGCTTATCAAAAGTTGTAGGATGCAGCTAAAGCAATACTTAGAGGGAATTTATAGTTTGAAATGCTTATTTAGAAAATAACTTCTTGAAGAAACAACCTAGAATCTCATCTTTTAAAAAATCAGCAAAATTACTGCAAAAGAAACCCAAATGAAACAGAAGAATGGAAATCAGATCAGAGCAAAAACCAATAAATAGTCGATTAAAAAAAATAGAAGAAATCAGTGAAACCCAAAGCTGGTTCTTTGATAAGTAAAATTTGTAAACCACTAGCCAAAGTGATTAGAAAAATAAATGAGACACAAATTACCAATATTAAAAATGAGAAAAAAATAAAAAATTAAAAAATTAAAATGAGAAAGGTGACATACTGCAGATTCTGCAAATAGTAAAGGATACTAAATGAATATTATGAATAATTTCATGCCAATAAATTAGATGAATTAAATGAAATAAACAAATTATCTGGAAAATACAAACTATAAATGCTTATTCAGGAAGAAATAGGTAACTATCGATAGCAACTATCGATAATAGTAACTATTGATAGTTATCTATTGAAAATAGTTAACTATTGATAATAGATACCAGAATAGCTCTCTATATATTAAACAAATTGAATTTGCAGTTTAAAGTCTTCTGATAAAGAAAAGTTCTTTACACTGAAAACTATAAAACATTGCTGAGAGAAGTTAAATAAATGGATAAATAAATAAATAAATAAATAAATGAAGAGACATATGATATTCATGTGTCAGAAGGTTTAATACTTTTGAGATTTAATGCTCTCCAAATTGATATATAGATTCAAACAATTCCAATAAAAATCTCAGCAGGGTTTTTTAAAGAAATTGACATGTTCATTCTAAAATTCACATGGAAATACAAAAAGGTAGTACTACCTGATTTCATGACTCATTATAAAGCTGTATTAAATAGGATCATATGATATTGGCATTAAGAAAGAAAATTAGGTTAATTCAACAGAATAACAGTCCAACAATAGATCCACACATATTTGGAAAACTGATTTTTTACAAAGATGCAAAGGTAATTCAGTCAAAAAAGACAGTCCTTTCAATAATTGATATTGAAATAAGTATATATCTACATTTTTAAAAACGAACTTTGATTTATACCTAACACCAAATACAAAAATTAACTCAAAAAGAATCAAACACCTAAATGTAAAACCAAAAATATGAAACTTCTAAAAGAATAGCAGAAAATCTTTGTGAACTGGGATTAGGCAAGAAGTGGTTGAATGACATCCAAAGCATAATCCACAAGAGAAAAAAAATGATGAATTTGACTTCATCAAAATTAAAATTTCATTTAAAGTGTCTCTGCAAAAGTCTCTGTTAAGAGACTCAGGAGTTTGAGCCCAGCGTGGGCAACATGGTAAAAACCCATCTCTACAAAAAAATACACAAATTAGCCGGGCCTGGTTGCATGCATCTGTAGTCTCAGCTGCTTGGGTGGATGAGGTGGGAGAAGGATCACTTGAGCCCAGGAAGTCTAGGCTTCAGTGGATTATAATCATGCCACTGCACTTGAGCTTGGGCAGCAGAGCAAGACCCTGTCTCAAAAAAACAACAAAAAAAGAATGAAAGAGGAGATATCACTACAGATCCTGCAGACCTGAAAAAGGTAGTAAGATAATATGAAATACTATGAAGAACTCTATGGACATCAATTTGATAATTTAGAGGAAATGAACTAACTCCTTAAAAGCCAAAAGTGACCACAACTCATCCAAGTTTAAATAGATGATGTGAATCACCTTTTTTTTTTTTTAATTAAATTTGTGGCTAAAAACTGCTTTAAAAGGAAATCCTGGGTCAGCTGCGGTGGCTCACGCCTGTAATCCCAGCACTTTGGGAGGCTGAGATGGGTGGATTACAAGATCAAGAGATCGAGGCCACCCTAGCCAACATGGTGAAACCCTGTTTCTACTAAAAATACAAAAAATTAGCCAGATGTAGTGGTGGGCACCTGTAATCCCAGCTATTCAGGAGGCTGAAGCAGGAGAATCGCTTGAACCCGGGAGGCAAAGGTTGCAGTGAGCCCAGATTGCGCCATTGCACTCCAGCCTGGGCAACAAGAGCAAAACTCCGTCTCAAAAAATAAAAGTAAAAAAATAAAGAAAGAACTCTCAACATTCATTAATAAGAAAACAATGACAACAACAACAAAATAATTTTAAAATGGGCAAAAGAGTTGAACAAACCTTTTAACAAAATACACCATATGGAAGGTGAATATGTTTAACATCATTCACCATTAGAGAAATGCAAATAAAAGCCACTCCGAGATATCACTACATGCTTGTTAGAATAACTACAATAGAAAATACTAGCAGTATGTGTGATCCAAGGGGTAACCAGAGCTCTCATTCAATGCTGGTGGAAACAGAAAATGGTACAGCCACTCTGGAAACCAGTTTGACAACTTCTTATAAAGTTAAACAGATATATTCCTTACCAGATGACCCAGGAATACCAGTCCTGCACATGTACTCCAGACAAATGAAAAGTTATGTCCACACAAAAACACCAACGTTTATAGCAGTTCTGCTCACAATTGCCCAAAACTGAAAATTCAATTGTGAATCAATAAACACACTGTGGTACATCCATACCATAAAATACTACTCAGCAAGGAAAATGAATGAGTTCTTGATACTTGAAGTAACTTGGATGAATCTCAAAGGCACTAAGATGAGTGAAAGAAGTCAGTTTCATACCGTATGATTACAGAACATGTTTGAAAAGACAAATCTATAATGATGTAGAACCTCTCAGTGCTTGCTGGGGCTTAGGGTTGGGGTGGTGATATGATCACAAAGGAATAGCAGGGGAGAGGTTTTTGGGGTGATGGAATTCTCTGCATGCCGATTATAGTGGTGTTTAAACATATCTATGCATGGATTACAAGTCATAGAACTATACATTCTCTGAAAGAATGTCAACTTTATTAGATGTTAATTTTTAAAATAAAATAAATTAAAAACTCAAGTTGTTTAGATTTTGTATTCCCTGAACTCTGCAAAAGGGTCTCTACATGTGGGCCACAGCAAAACGTCTTTGAAATATGCTTTGTCTCCCATCTATTTACACCGTCTGCTTGTAAACCTGTCTCACACTTCATTTTCAAATCCCTCTATCTGGTGCTAAGGGGAATTAGGGGACTAGGAGCCTCCCACAATCTCATCCCTTCATTCATTCTTCAATATTGACAATAGGCATGCCCAATGTCAAATGCAGTTTCAAGTTCCTCACTGTCAACTTTTCCAGCCTCCCACACTTTCCATATGGAGATCTGGAGCAGGCTACTGTCCCCAGCCTCCCCTTCTCTCCTGTATCTTCAGTCTGCACAAGTTCAAAAGAATCCTTCTGGGGAAGCAGGACCTACAGTGGGTGTTGGGGGACAGTGGGCTAAGCCAGCATCCTCTTCAGACAGCATAGGGAGAGCAGGATTTAGAAATCCACCTTAATGTGGAATGCGTGCATCCAAATGAGTCCTTCTAACAGCCAAACTGAGGCTGGGCGCAGTGGCTCACGCCTGTAATCCTAGCACTTTGGAAGGCTAAGCGGGTGGATCACCTGAGATCAGGAGTTCGAGACCAGCCTGGCCAACATGGCGAAACCCTGTCTCTACTAAAAATACAAAAATTAGCTGGGCATGGTGGTGGGCGCCTATAATCCCAGCTACTTGGGAGGCTGAGGAAGGAGAATCGCTTGAACCCGGGAGGTGGAGCTTGCAGTGAGCTGACGTCGCACCACTGAACTCCAGCCTGGCGACAGAGCGAGACTCCATCTCAAAAAAAAAAAGCTCTAAGATGATTTTACCAGGCAGTCAGATTTAAGGAGCTTCCCTAGGTCAGGGGTCAGCAAAACTTTTCCATAAAAAGCTGCATATTAAACATTTTAAGCCTTGCAGGCCACATACAGTCTCTATCACTACTTCTTTTTTTTCCTTGTCCTCTCCCTCATTCTCCTCTTCTCCTCCTCCTCCCCATCTTTCTTCGCCTTGTTCTCCTTTTCTCCTTCTCCTTCTTCCTCTTTCACAATCTTTTTAAAAATGTTAAAATCTATTGTTATCTCATGGGCAGTACAAAAGCAGGCATAGTTTGCCGACCTCACCCTCAGTTAACAATTCTCTGACATTAGTCTTTGGACCAGAGATGAGCAGACTTGGTGGAGAGCAGGTAAACAGGCTCTCAAAAACAAAAGCCCTGGCCGGGTGCGGTGGCTTATGCCTGTAATCCCAGCACTTTGGGAGGCCAAGGTGGGCAGATCACGAGGTCAGGAGTTTCAGATCGGCCTGGCCAACATGGTGAAACCTGTCTCTACTAAAAATACAAAAAAATTAGCTGGGCATGGTGACATGGGCCTGTAGTCCTAGCTACTCGGGAGGCTGAGGCAGGAGAATCGCTTGAACCTGGGAGGTGGAGGTTGTGCTGAGCTGAAATCACACCACTACACTCCAGCCTGGGCAACAAAGCGAGACTCCATCTAAAAAAAAAAAAACGCCCTGATTTGTAACATTTGCTGATATCGTGGTGTAAATACTCCCACCGTGCTCAATTTCAAACTACCAATGTGTTGTTATTGGACACAGAGTTGGCAGAAAATGCTCAGAAACGGCTGTCACCAGCCAGTGCCAGCTGCCTCCTGCACATCACTGTAATGAAATCACCTGGGAAGCTGATTAACAATACACCCCTGGAAATTCTGGTGCTGCCAAGTAGGGGAAATACTGTCCTTGGTTGCATGAGGAAAAAATAAATTGATAGAATCATTCTCCAAATGCTTGTACAAGGCACTGCGCTAAACTTTGGGGATCCAAAGGTGTATAACATACGTCGCCAACCTCAAGGAGGGCGTAGTCTAAAGGAGGAGACTTCACAAACAAACAGGCATCCACAGGATTAAAGGAGACTGTGACAAATAGGCTCAGGCACTATGGCAGCCAGAAGGAGCGGCACTTACCTTGAGCTTGCAGTCAGGGAAAGATTTGTTTAGGGAAATGACACGACTTAGATATAAGAAAAAAAAAAAGATTGTGTGACCAACCATCCATGCTAGAGCATTCTCTCTTATTATTATTATTATTATTATTATTTTGAGATGGAGTTTCACTCTTGTTGCTCAGGCTGGAGTGCAATGGTGCGGTCTTGGCTCACTGCAATCTCCACCTCCCAGGTTCAAGCGACTCTCCTGCCTCAGCCTCCCAAGTAGCTGGGATTACAGGCACCCACCACCATGCCAGGCTAATTTTCATATTTTTAGTGGAGACGGGGTTTCGCCATGTTGGCCAGGCTGGTCTCGAACTCCTGACCTCAGGTGATCCGCCCACCTTGGCTTCCCAGAGTGCTGGGATTACAGGTGTGAGCCACCATGCCCGGTGAGCATTTTCTAAAAATCCCACCTGGGGGTCATCTGACTCTCTTTTATGCAATGTACCTTTATTTGATACATTCTTGGCAAGGGCCTAGACATAAAATAAAAAGTTAACTTGTATAAAATTGATAAAGCCCTTTTTTTTTTCTGTCCAAGAAAGAAGTGTAAAGATAAAAACTGACACTGAGACTTTCTAATTCCGGTATCATGGCATTCTTCCTCTTTTTTTTTTTTTTTTTTTTGAGACAGAGTCTTACTGTGTCATTCAGGCTGGAGTGCAGTGGCATGATCTCGGCTCACTGCTATCATTGCATTCTTTATCTACTACAGCTAGAAAAAAAACTAAGCAAAAATAACAAGATCTCCCTGCCTGGCTCAGGTCACCTGCATCACAAAACCTTGGCTATTTCCCACAAACCTAGACTCTTTTTTAACAAAATCATCTTTTCCTTGAATTTTGCTATGCTGATATCTGAAGATTTGCTGTGACCTTTGGGATTATGAGGATGATATGAGAAATATGTTTTTCACCATGAAAAGGTTAATGTAAACTTTATGAGTTGGTCATTTTGCAGGTTTTTTTTTCTTCAAATGCTCGTTGTGTTTTGTATTTGGCAAGCCAGCCCTTCTGAAAAGGCTGACTCCTTGATGCTCGTTAAAGATAAAAGTTTTCTTTAATTTCCTAAATGCCACCATCTATGAGTCTTTGAGATAACTCCAAAGGTTACTTTTTATTGCCTGGTTAGGTATTAACCAGTTTTACACTGAATTTTGCAGTCTTATTTCAGCATTCTTTTTCCTTTTGCTGTATAAATCCCAGTTCCTCATATCTTCAATGAACTTGTTTTTTTTTTTTTTTCCTGCTGATTCTCTCACGTATCAGTCAGCCTCAGCTGTGTAACAAAGTATTCCAAAACTGAGTGGCTTAAAACAAGAAGCCTTTCTTTACTGATGATTTTGTGTGCTGGGAAGTTCTTCTGGTTGGGGTAGTTAATGTCTGCTGGTCTGCTTACACATCTATAATTAACTGGCAGGACACTTGGAAACTCCGTGGTCTAAAATGCCCTCACCTGTATAAGGGACAACGAGTCCCTGTGTCTCTCATCATCTGGCAGGCAGGCCTGTGGTTTTTATCTGCTACTTGCTGGGTTCCAAGAACAAGAGCAAGAGTAAGCAACAACATGCAAGTACTTTTTGAGTGTCGGCCCATATTTTATTTGTCATGTCCCACGGGTCAAGGCAAGTCATATGGGCAAGCAGGGTGGGAAGTTGCAGACACAGGGAGGTGTGGATAAACTGAGGACCATTACTGTAACAGCTCACCACACCTCACTCATGAGTTGAATAAAAGTCTGGCGTGTGCTAACAAAATACTTTGAGAATTATGCATTTACAGGATGAAGAGATGACCAAAAGGAACCCTATAAAAAGAAAGGAGTGGGGAAAATGAAGGGACAGTGAAGGGAAGGGTGTTCCCAGCAGCAGGGATTGCAAGTGCAAAGTCCTAGAAATGGGGTGGGCCACACCTGCTCCAGAAAGCTGCTCACTATGGCTGGAATGAAAAGAAAAGCAAATACACCTTGATTTAAAACTTGGGTTTTTTTTTTTTGATACAGAGTTTCACTCTTGTCACCCAGCCTAGAGTACAGTGGCGCAATCTCGGCTCACTGCAACCTCCACCTCTTGTGTTCAAGAGATTCTGCTGACTCAGCCTCCCGAGTAGCTGGGATTACAGGCACCCGCCACCACACCCAGCTAATTTTTTTGTATTTTTTTAGTAGAAACAGGGTTTCACCATGTTGGCCAGGCTGGTCTCGAACTCCTGACCTCAGATGATCCACCTGCCTCGCCCTCCCAAAGTGCTGGGATTACAGGCATGAGCCACCGCACCCAGCCAAAACTTGGGTTTTATTCAGATTTGCTTTTATTTAAACACAAAGAAGTAGACCATTAGTGGCCAGACCATTGCAATATGAAACTTAAAAGGTTGTGAGATTAAGACCTGCCTGCCTTAAAAAAGGAAGATCTGGTCTTTGGTGATTTCAGGTCAGGTCTAAGGGGCCATGATGGTCTACAATGAAAGAACAAAGCCAGGTGTGATAGTGCGTGCCTGTATTCTCAGCTACTCGGGAGGCTGAAGTGGGAGAAGTTCTTGAGCCCAGGAGTTCGAGGTTGCAGTGAACCGTGATTGTGCCACTGCATTCCAGCCTGGGTGACAGAGCGAGACCCTGTCTCAAGAAAAAGAAAGAGGCCAGGCACGGTGGTTCACGCCTGTAATCCCAGCACTTTGGGAGGCCAAGGCTGGCGGATCACGAGGTCAGGAGATCGAGACCATCCTGGCTAACAGGGTGAAACTCCGTCTCTACTAAAAATACAAAAAAAAAAAAAAAAATAGCCAGGCACGGTGGCATGTGCCTGTAGTCCCAGCTACTCAGGAGGCTGAAGCAGGAGAATCACTTGAACCTGGGAGGCAGAGGTTGCCATGAGCTGATATTGTGCCACTGCACTCCAGTCTGGGCAACAGAGCAAGACTCTGTCTCAAAAAAAAAAAAAAAAGAGAGACAGAGAAAGAAAAAAAGAGAAAGAAAGAAGGAGAGAAGTAGAAAGACTTGCCCCTGGAGAAAGGAAGAATTTCTCAGAAATGGAAAAGGAGACTCCAGAAAGAAGGAAAGAGAGAAAGGCAGGTGTTATGAGAATGGATTGACAGGGAGCTGGGTCAAGATTCCATAGAATTTGCTCAAGAAGGGGAAGGGTATGCAGCTGGGAAGAAGTGAGGGTAGAGGGAAAGGGTGAAGAGGACCTGACAAAAGATGGCAGTCAAGGATCTTGTTCCAGAGTCCAGAAACTACATGGGGTCCTGTCTACACTGGGTCACCACACAAGCTCTTCCTCCCACTGGGGTCCATGAGGACTTTGCTTTGACAGCATCTGGCATTTAGCAATTTGCCCAGGGTCTTCCTTCCTTGGTTTCTGAGCACCTCACCTGGAAAACCCACTCTCCATATTCCCATAAAGCTACAAGAAAGGATAGCTGGGGACCTGGTCTGCTTGCGTGACCGTAGGGTGAAAGAAGTCCCCTCCTTCTAATCCTTTTCTCTAAGGCCTGAAGGAGTGAAGGTAAGATGGTATTGAGTCAGCTAAGGTACCCCAAGCTCCCTGCTTTTAGAAGATTTTATACGAGAACATGAACCAGCTCAAACATCCAGTCTTGTCCCCAGAGGCATTCATTGTTCATCATTTCATGTGCATTGTTCCAAAAAGTTTGTATTTATAGCAACTGACCCATAACATTGGCAACTGTGTATTTCAGATGTGTTTTCAAATACTTAGAAAAAGAGAAGAAAAAAACAAACAAACAAACAAATGACCTAGACTCAGAAGAAAACTGGGTAGCAGTCCCCGGGTTGGTTCTATGAAAATATTGAGTAATTTTATGCAAAATAACTTGTACCCAGGGGTGAGTTTCAAAGGCAGGGGAATGAATGATTTGGCTTAGTTGTCAAAGTCACGCTTCCCTAATTGCAGAAAGAAAAAGTGTCAGTCAGCTTTTACAATTACCCTCCTTGACATCTACATCCGGCTTTCCTGATCACAGAAAGGAAAGAAAGCTAAAGTGGCTTGCAAAGAATGGGCCCCTGGGAGCAGAAAATGAGATTCTCTCCTTAAAAGCAAGAGGGAGGGAGGAGCAGAGAAGGCCAGATTGACAGAAAGAGCAGCTCAAGAGCTAATTAAGTCTGCAGAGGAGCCAGATAGGCCTCCTCCCTGGTTCATTGCCAGCAACCAAAGCTGTTTGATGTTTCTCTGAAATCTGAGTGGGCAAGCCCAGCTTCAGGCCCAAGAAGGATTTTTACTACAAAGGCCAGAAGAATCAAGAGAGGTGGAACATAGGAAGGGAACTTGGGCAGAATGAAAACCACCATCTGACTGCACAGAGATAGTGTGAGAAAGGCATTTACACTCTCACCTTAATATCTAAATGGTTATTTTAGTAAATTATTTTACTTTTATTTTTTTAAATACCATGTCTCACTCTGCTGCCCAAGCTGGAATGCAGTGGCATGATCATAGCTCACTGCAGCTTCAAACTCCAGGACTCAAGGATCCTCCTTGCATACAGCTGGGGACAAACAAGAGCGAGCCACTGAGCCCTGCCAAACTATTTTAACCAAAGGGAACAGGAAATTGTCGTCAAATGAGATCTTTGCCATCCATGCCATGAATCGGGCACCCCCTAGTGTCAGCTTCTGGAATTACAAGCATAGGCGTTCTTGGCTTTGCCTGGTCTTGGGAAAACTAAATCAGAGTAGCAGGATGTGCTCCTCGGTTTTTCTTTCACTACGATCTTGCTGTAATTGTACGCCCATCTCTGGCCCCATTTTTTGGGTCTCTACAAGGGGCTAACACAAATAATGCTAATAATATTTTCTTGCGTTCTTGTATCCTTTCAGAATGCACAAAGCCCTTTCACACATTTGACCTTACAACCATGCAGGAAGCACATCCATGTGGATAATGCAATTATCTGCATCCTACCAAAGAAAAAAAAATTAAGGGACCAGAAAGACAAAGTGGCCTGTTCAAGGTCAAAGGCAACTTAATGATGGAGCCAGTAACAAAACCTCCAGGTCTCAAGTTTAGTGTGGTTCCCCCTAATCCTCACTAAAGGGTTTCAGAACACACCTTACATTGGTTGCAATTAGAGTTACCTGTCAAGCTTCAGAAACATACCAGTGCCCTGGTCCCACATCTGGAGACTCTGATTTAACTGGTGTGCTGTGATACCCACACACGAGTATTTTATAAAGCTCTCCAGATGGGACTAATGTGCAGCCAGGGTTGAAAACCACTGTTAGAGAAATAAAACAGAAGGACAGAAAGCAATTATGCTTACATCTCAGAGAGCTAAATTGCCACTAAAACACCAGGCACACCAGAGATCATCTCGACTGCCATGGACAAAGAACCCAGAACTGCCCCTCAGATCCCCATTTATTCAACTCACAGAGACACGAAGATAAGCACACAAAGACACACATGGACACACAAACACACAGATACACAGAGACACACACAGAAACACACATAGCCATAGACACACACAGCCGACAACTTCATAATATACGAGGAACACAGCCTGCTTTCCTGGACTAGGACTCTCCCTCCTATAATCCACACCCAAACCTAAACGGGAGTGCCTCAGGTTCCTACTCTTCCACTCCAGGACTAAAGATCTCCTTCGTGTTTGTTGAACACTATTCATCACACTTGTCAGATATCAGAATTCAGGAAAATCTCCCAAACCTAAGTCTATTCCCTGCTCTCTCTGATCAGAGGAATGAAACACCCAGAATGATCTCAGGTCAACCAGCACATGTCACTCAGGAAAATGCTCCCCCTGAGTTGTCCACACAGAAAACTGGAGCAACTGGATTTACAGAACTTCAAGTTTCACTTGTGCAAGTCACACAACATTTTCTTTGGCAAAGACTGGGTTAAATTCAAGTCTACAGTCAGACACCTGCCTTCCTCCCCAGACCTGTCTGGCCAGACCCCTGGCCTAGCTGGAGCAGGCTCTGGCCATACCTGCATTGAAGCCAGTGATGCTGGGGCTAAGGAAGGTAGCCGTATGTCCAAATTCAGGCTTACCTCCACACTCGAGGCTAGGATGGCACCAGCATCAAGGCTGCAGGTCCCCTGGGCATGAATGTCAGACATCCATGCATCCATTCAATAAATACTCATCAAGCACTCACTATGTGCCAGACACTGGGTGCATAGTAGCAGACCAAAGACACAATTATGGGAGTTCCATTCTGGTTGAATGGAAAGACAGAAAACAAGATAAATAACAGTACACACACACACACACACATACACACACTCCAGCTAGTGATTAATGCTAAGAAAAAAAGCAAGAAAAAGCAAGATGAAGAGTTGGAATTTAAGGCCGAGCAGCAGAGGAGGTGTTGTCTGAGTAAAGGTGGTTAGGAGGCGGTATGCCAACATCTGGGCAAAGAATGGGGACAGGAGATGCAAAGATCCTGAGGTGGCAGCTGGAGGCCAGGGAGGGCTTCACCCCACACCACTCTCTTAGAGGGCCTCACCCATACCCCAGCTCTGAGTGGCCAAGGGTTGAAGAAAGAATCCAAGCTCAGAAAATCCCTCCCCATCCATCTTCCTCACCCAGAATGGAAAGATGGATTCGGGGCCTGGTACTCCTGGCAGTGACCCACGTTTGCTGATCCCCAACATCCAGACCCAGTGACAATTTTTAAGTTCACCCTGGCTAGAACATAGAGGAAGGGACCAACCGCTGGCCAGGACCAGCATGACTAACTAGGCCTGGGGTAGAAACAGATGCTTTGAGGTAGATGAACCTCGTAGTGAAAGAAGTCAGACACAAAAGGCCACATAGTGTATGAAATGTCCAGAATAGGCAAATCCATAGAAACAGAACACAGATTCATGGTTGCGGATGGGAGGAATGGAGAGTAATTGCTTAAGGGGTGTGGAGTCTCCATTAGGGGTGATGAAATTGTCTTGAAACCAGATAGAGCTCATGGTTGCTGCGGCTGATGCAGAGTTATGGCCTCATGGGAAAATATAGGCCCAGCTCTGCACCCTCGGACAGTGAGCAGCGGGCAGGGGTGGCCGAGAGCAGCAGTGGTGACTGGTTGGCCTGGCTTCCCAGGCACAAGGAGTGGGACTATGTCTTTTGGGCAGCAAGGAGTCTCCAGCCACATGCCCCAGGAGCAGAGGCTGTTCCTCTCCTGTTCCAATGCCTGCTTAAACTGACCTTTCAAGACAACTAGGAAAACGCCAGCCTGCTGAGTACTGGTGTCAAATGCAGGCCAGATTCTCTCTAGGGACAGCGCCCACTTGGGAGCCAGCCTTTGCCAGAGATCAAAGGAAGGTACTGAAGGTACTGAAGGGAGGAAGGAAAGCCAGGATGGTGATAAGCCTAAGAAGCTTTCTTTCTAAGAGGAAAGGCCAGAAGAACAGCGAGGTCTTAGCCAAGACAAGGTGAAAGTTCAGGGAGATCATGAGTGACATCTTCGACCATCAAGACACCAGAAAGAAACCAGATTAATTCCACATGACACCCAGACAATAGAATTAGGACAAGTGAATGGAAATTAAAGAGTGGAGGTTTTACTCAACACTAAGAAAAACACTCTGGGTGGGTGCAGTGACTCACACCTGTAATCCCAACACTTTGGGAGGCCGAGGTGGGAGAAGCACCTGAGACCAGGAGTTCAAGACCAGCCTGGGTAATACAGCAAGACCCCATCTCTACAAAAAATAAAAAATAAATTAGCCAAGTGTGGAGGTACATCCCTGTAGTCCTAGCTACTCGAGAGACTGGGGCAGGAGGATCACTTGAGACCAGCAGTGTGAGGTTACAGTGGGTTATGATAGCACCACCATACTCCAGCCTGGGCAACGAAGCAAAATCCTGGCTCTAAAAACAAAAACAAAGCAACAACAACAACAAACATGTTCTAGAATCTTAATATCTGTGAGCAGGGAGGCAGCTAGCCCATGCAGTACCCCTGTAGGAAAAAGGAAATGGTGCTCTCCGGGCAAGACCACTTACAAAAAGGCACCTCTTCAGGCTAACACAGCCCTTAGCTCTGGACCAAGTGAGCCCAGAGCCTGTGCTGAGCAACAACCTGGGTGGGCAGCCCTGTGTGTGAGCATAATGGGCTGTACTGGAAACAATGAATTCAGGATATTCCAGTTACTATGGCTGCATAACAAACTATGCCAAAACTCAGTGGCTTAAAACAATAACATCATTTATTTTGCTCAGAAATCTGCAGACTGGACAGGGCTCAGCAGGGATAGGTTGTCTGTGCTCACTCAGCATAAGCTGGGACAGCTTGCAGGCTGAGGCCTGAAGTCATGTGAAGGCTCTCTCTCACGCATCTGGTGGTTGATGCTGGCTGATGGCTGAGATTCAAGCTGGCGTGCCTGCCAGAGCACTCACAGATGCTTCTCCATGTCACCTGGGCTTCCTTCCAACATGGTGGCTGGTGTTCCATAGGTAAGTGGCTCAAAATAGAAAGAGCCAGGTGGAAGCTGTGTTGCCTTTTAGGATTTGTCTTGGAAGTCACATGATATCTTTCTTGCCATAGTCTAACCACTGAGGCAGTCTTAAGGGGAAGGGAAATAGACTCCACCTTTAAACTGAGAGAGTGACCGGCTCTAGAAGCACATATGGGACTGGAAGTATTGTTGCAGGCACTTTCTGGGAAATATAATCTGCCACAAGGAGGAGGCAATGTGATTACCTGTCTGGCAGGGGCCTGGGTGCACATATGAAGGGGCAACTACTGCCTCAAACCACCCCACAAAGCCAGGTTCCTGAGAGACCAATATTCTGATACTCCATGTTTTCCTATAGGTGATCACTGCGGAGTGCCAGAGCCCCACCAAAGCAATCAGTACTAAGGGGTCTCTCCTTTCCTATGGACAGGAGGGGAGGGCTTTGAGTCTCTAGCAGTCCCCTGACATATAATAGATGCATCCTGATACCTCCACAGTTATTCCGAAAGTGTGGGGTTTGGAGATAGCCCAAATTGGGTTCAAATCCCCTTCTGCTGCTGTGTGCCTTTGGGAAAGCTACTTGACTACCCTGAGCCTATTTCCTTAGCCTATAAAATGTGGAAGATACAGAACTGTTGTGAGGATGAAATAATATATTCTGCATATACAGTGTCTTGCATCAGAGCCCTGATGAGGCCAGGTATGGCACTGAGAATGGTGCTGTTGGGGGGACTTCTGCAGAGAGGGAAACTGGTACCACCTGGGTATACAGCTGTCACAGTGGTCCATCCAGATTCAGTCCTGAAGACTTCTGCTCCTTCCACACCACACCCTGGCCACACTTGCACCATATCCAAGGAGCAGCTCACCCAGATGCAGCATCCCTGGACAAGGAGCTCTCTGTTCCAGAAGTTTCTCCTCTGCAATAGCCCCACAGGAGCTGAGGAGACCAACAGGATTAAGTTAATGAGGTCCTGGCCAGGGTAGCCTTCCTGTTTCTTAGGTGCTTGCTTATTCCAGCCGGTGATTAAGAGGCAGGCCCTGCAGGGTGCAGGTTCATTCCTTCCCATGTAATTGAATCTCCTCCCAACGGCCAGCTAAGGCATGGAGAGGCTAACTACATTTCCCAAGATCATGAAGCCAGCCAGGCTGCCATCTGAGCTCCTTGGGGACAGTTCCCAGATACTGGGAAGTATGAGACCCTTTGCAAGTGTGCTTGATTAGAAAGCTACTTCTGCCAATTGGTGGCCCACCCAGCAGCTGCTTTGAGCATAAACCACAGATGAAACCTCAGCCGCTTCTCCCCAGCATCACCCAGTGCTGTCCATAGCAGAGGCCTCAAGCTCAAAGTGCAGGACTTGGTGTCCTCACTGACGGGGGCTATGGGAATAAACTTGGAGGTGGGAGTGGCCTGGGGAGGGCGCCTCAGCTGAGCTGCTGGGGAGCACAGGCAAGAAGGGTGGTGAGGCAGCATGACTAGGTGGTAAAACGCAGGACTCTAGAATCCAAACTCTGCCATTTACTAGCTCAGTGACATTGGGCAAGTAGTAACTGCTGTGCCTCAGCTCCCTCATCTGTAAAATGAGGATAATAAAATTACTTCTCTCATAGGTTTGTGGTAAACGTTTAAAAAGTAATTGACATAAAGCCCCGGCCAGGTGTTTGCTGCTGGACTCCTCTCTTGGTTCCTGGATTCCCAGAAGCTTTGCCATTGCAATGATCCACGAGAATCCAGGTTGCACTTCATCCCTTTCTCAAACTGAGCGGACGGCAGGAGCATTAGTTGCTCGTGTCTGGGACTCCATGGAATGTGTGATAAGCACTTACTATGCTCCAGATACTCAGCTAGGTGTTTACTTACAAAGTCTAATGTACATTTCATGATATTCAAGGCAAGTGAACATTATACGGGAACAGGCTCAGACACTTGGGGAGGTAAGGACCTTACCCAGGGCCTCACACCTACAGCCAGCGAGTGAAGGGGCTGACATTTGAACCCAAGTCTTTGGGACTCCCGTGTTCATGTTCTTGCCTATAATTGATGGTGGTCATATGTTCCAGGAGAGAATCGATAGGAGAGTAGTCTGAAGAGGTTTTATTCCTCTTTGTCAAGGGAGCACAGGTGCCTTAAGAAAGGAAGAACAGCATATACTGTTAACGTGTAATTTATGTCTGCATTGCTTTGCTTTATTTCTTATTCAGCATTGACCCAAGAGTCTGCATATTCCTCATAGCACTGTCTGCATCACTCTGTCTGTGGTAGACAATAAATTTCCAGGAGGATCTGATATATTAGGGCAAGCTGTCTTTAACAAATGAAGATCTGGTTTGCAACGAGAAAAACACAAAAAGCAAAAGGGACTTGCTGATTCCACTAATAGTTAACACAAGTTTTCTTGATCTCAGCTCTACTGATGTTCTAGGCCAGATAATTCTTTGTTGTGGGTGACTATGCATTATAGGATATGTAGCAGCACCCCTGGCCTGTAGCTAGCTACTGGATGCCAGTAACACACACCCCTCCCTCCTCACTGCTAGTTATGACAACCAAAAATGTCCCTACACATTGCCCAACACGCACTTAGGGGCAATGGTGGTTGAGAGTCACTGTGCTAAATTTTAATAATATAAGTACAAGCCATTGCAATCAGATAAGAAAATGAAATATATAATATATATATATATATATATATATAAAAGCCGGGAGAGGTGGCTCACACCTGTAATCCTAACACTTTGGGAGGCCGAGGCGGGCGGATCACCAGTGGTTGGGGGTTCAAGACCAGCCTGGCCAACATGGTGAAACCCCTTCTCTACTAAAAATACAAAAATTAGCTGGGCGTGGTGGTACGTGCCTGTAATCCCAGCTACTCGGGAGGCTGAGGCAGGAGAATCGTTTGAACCTGGGAGGTGGAGATTGCAGTGAGCAGAGATCACACCACTGCACTCTAGCCTGGGCAACACAGCGAGACTCTGTCTCCAAAAAAAAAAAAAAGAAGGAAAATGAAATAAAATTAGTTCACTTCCTTATATGACATAACAAATTGAATTTCAGATGAATTAAATAATTTAAGGCTTTGGCTGGGTGTGGTGGCTCACACCTGTGATCCCAGCACTTTGGGACGCCAAGGCAGGAGGATTGTTTCAGCCCCAGGGGTTCGAGATCAGCCAGGGCAACAATGTGAGTCCCCATCTCTATTTGTAATATATTCATTTTTAAACTAACTAACTAAATAAATAAATAAATATTTAAGGTTTAAAAATAATCAAAAATGTAAAAGATATAGGTGAGTGTTTATCTGGCCCCATGGTCTTAAAAATTAGAACATCTGTAAATCAAAAACACAATAAAAGATAAAATTCAATATGACATATTCTATATGACACATGATATATATGAATATCTGACAGTCTACATTCATATAAAGGATTAATAATCCTACATTATAAATAACTTTTACAAACAGATAATAAAAACCACTGCTCTAATAGGGGAAAAATAAAATGCAAAGAGTATGAACTGGTTATGTGTAAAAGAAGAAAAGCAAGTAGAGATTTTGTCTGATTTTTTAATAATCAAAAAAATGCAAATTGAAACAATTGCAATGTACCCCTGCATAGACAATTGGAAAAAAAATGATTTTAAATAGTAATATCCCGATGCAGGAAAAATGTGCAGAATCTGGCACTGCAGATGTGAATTTATGCAGTTTCACCTTTGCAAAGGAGAGTTTGGGGTTAAAATGGGCACATATTTTAACAAAAACATTTCACTTCTATAAATTTATCAGAAAAATATCATGAAAGTGTTCAAAATGTATCATCAAGACTCCTTATCACAGCAGGACGCCACCTGGTGCATTAATGATGCTACATCCATAAAGGTAAATCCTGGCCAGACGCGGTTGCTCACGCCTGTAATCCCAGCACTTTGGGAGGCTGAGGTGGGCGGATCACCTGAGATCGGGAGTTCAAGACCAGCCTGACCAACATGGAAAAACCCCGTCTCTACTAAAAATACAAAATTAGCCAGGCGTGGTGGCACATGCCTGTAATCCCAGCTACTTGGGAGGCTGAGGCAGGAGAATCCCTTGAACCCGGGAGGCAGAGGTTGCAGTGAGCCGAGATCGCGCCATTGCACTTCAGCATGGGCAACAAGAGCAAAACTCTGTCTCAAATAAAAAGGTAAATCCTATGCAGTCTGTTAAAGGGATATGTAGACAGTGTTTTGCAAACTGGCCTTTTCTGAGTCCAAGTGGATCCCTGAGGTGTTTCAGTGGTTATGTCTGGTGGGAGGGTGGCCAGGGGACAAGAGCACACGAGACTGGCAGCTTTGCACTTGCATTTCAACCAATCCAGCTCAACTTTTGTCTATTTCACCTATTAGGCTTCTGGAAAAGCTCCCTGAGTGCATTCCACAGCCAAAAAGGGCTTGCAAAACTCTGCTATAGCATAGTGTAATTGTGGGAAGAGCATGAGTTTGTAGTCAAACAGATCTAGCTATCATCCTAGTTCCGCCACTAAATTGGCTGTGTGACCCTAAGCAGTATATTCTCTCCCTCTGTGAAATAGGAATAGCGATGGTTTCTATCTTATCGTTACTGTTGTGAGAATTGAGATAATATAGTAAGTGCACAGAGTTTTTTGCACAAAAAGCAACAGTGAAGGTTATTTGTGATGATTATTTGCAATAAAATGAAATGCAAAAATGTTCACAGAGACACTTAACAGGGATTATACACAGCATAGTAATATGTGTGGAAAGGTATACACGGATCGTGCGTGAGAGAGAATGTATATATAAAAGCTAGCATTCATTTTTGCTGGGAGGTTGACTTATCAGTGGTTCAGAGATAACTTTTTGCTTCCTCTCCCAGAAAGTACAGACCCTGCATCTCTGTATCTGCAGGGGAGGTCATCTGATATTAACCCACATTCCTTTTCGCTATGTCCCCACAGTCAGACAGAGCCAGACTTTACCTCTAGCCTACATAAGAGGTAGGAGTTATATCATCTTCAGCACTCATCTTGTCTGCTAATGCTGGACATTGAGGAGATGATATATTCATGTCAATATGATATATTTGGGGATTGCTTAAACCCAACAGAGAATTTCTCATGGGAGCTGATGGAAGGATGCTGTACATCACAGGATGCCAGTGTCCCCTAAGCCCTGAAGACAAATATCTCCAAAATGGGGTGGGGACAAGATGGCCAAATGTGCCAGTCACTTTTTCTGTCACCTTTGATAGAAATGCTTTTGCTTATTATGGGATGTCCTTGATATTATGATAGGAAAGGACAGAATAAGAAAGGAATTTTAGAATGTGAGAAAAGGCATGGCCCATATAAAACGATCTCAGTGCGGTGGCTCACATCTGTAATCCTAGCACTTTGGGAAGCCGAGGTGAGCGGATCATTTGAGGCCAGGAGTTCAAGACCAGCCTGGCCAACATGGCGAAACCCCATCTCTACTAAAGATACAAAACAAAACAAAACAAAACAAAACAAAACAAAAAAAGCTGGTGTGGTGGCAGGTGCCTGTAATCCCAGCTACTCAGGAGGCTGAGGCAGGAGAATTGCTTGAACCTGGGAGGCAGAGGTTGCAGTGAGCAGAGATCGTGTCATTGCACTCCAGCCTGGACGACAGAGCGAGACTCCATCTCAAACAAAAACAAAAACAAAAAACGATCTCAGTTTTATATGAGGCTACATTATCTGGCAGCCATCAGGAGGTCAATGAAATGTCCTAAGAATCTTCAAATCAGACTGACCCCCGTCCTTTCCATGCCAGGAACACCACAACTACTGATAGGAGTATGGATGAGTGCGTTTTGCAGAGAATTCAAGGGTTGAAAGGATCCAGGTCAGGTGTCCAGGCCTGGTGCAGAACTGTCCAACAGAACTCACTGGGAGGGGGACATGTTCTATATCTGTGCTATCCCACAGGGCAGCCACTAACCACATGCAGCCAGTGAGCACTTGAATGTAGCTCATGGAACTTGATGAATTTTTTGCTGTTTTTCATGTTAATGATATATATTTAAGAAGCTGTATGTAGCTCGTGACTACCTTATTGGGCAGCTGAACATAGTGGTTAAGAACACTTTCTGGATCCCGATTGCCTGGGTCTGAATGGCAGCTACGCTCACACTTACTTTGGGTAACTTATTTAACTTCTCTGTGCCTCAGTTTCCCCAATCCTTAAAATGGGAATAATACTAGTCCCTAGGCTTCTTCCCAGAATCACATGAGTTTCCATACACACTGTACTCGTAACAGCTCATAGGAAGCCTTCTCTATGCTGTTATGTGGATTTTCTCTATTTGCCCCTCCTGATCCACTCTCCACTCCTCTCTGCTCCATGCTCCAGTAGGTTAGCCTTTATGGACCACATCAATGGTGCCCATTCCCTTGGACTTGCAGCTGGCTGGAACCAGTAAGAAGCACTGACAGGAAACTGAAGGCAGGAGGGAGGAGAAAGAGGTTGGGGTATTTATTCCCCGTTCCCTCCCTGCTGGGTCCCAGTGGTGTACCTCTCCACTCAAGGCCACAGCCCCAGCCAGGCAGCCCTCTCCTCCAACAATCCTCTCCAGATTCCAGTTCCAGCTCCATCTCCTCACCCCTGGAGCCTAGAAGTAGTAGGGATTGGCTCCTGGTTATTGTCAGTCCTGGTGCTTCCTCAAAGCTCTTAACTGCCTTCTCTTCATCCTGTCCACACCCTGGAAAAGAGTTCCTTGACTGGACTCTCTGCAATGGCTCCATTTGAGGATGCTTTTCACTTTCTGCCAGATCTGACATGGAGTTATTGTTCTGCCACTGTTATCATTTCACCACCCCTCAAACAGCATGGCAGCCAGTGAGTATGCAGGGGCCTTAGAGGTGTCCCCAGCACTGGTTGGTTTTCTCTTTCTGATGCACCTTCAAGTCTTATTCACTGATCTCAGCTGGTTGGCTGGGGACTGTTAGACGTGGGAGATGATCATCAGTGAGAAGAAAATGTGTTTTCTCCACAAGAATCCCTATCCCCAGAGGACAGTTGCATGCACTTAGTTAGCCAGCCAAAGCCACAGAACATTCTAATTGCTGCATTTCTGAGTTTTACATGGGGATACTGAAAGCTTAAATCCATTTATCCATTTTCTCTGCTCCAGTGGGAGCAGGTCTCTACCCCCTCCACAAGCCTGCCTACCTGTCACACCCTTACCCACAGCCATCCTGAGGACAGACGGGATTAAGTTTGTCTCCCTAAAGAAGATACACAAGCTGTGACTCTGCCATTAGGCCTCACTGGCTGGAATGACAAAGCCAACGGCCAAGGTTAAGGGTTGGGTTGCCAGGTGCTTGGGGTGGGGCCAAGGGTGCACTTAAATGAGATTGAGATGAAAGCTGGAATGGCAGCCCTGAGCTTTGGGGTGACTTACTCCTGTATCAGCAAATATTTACCATGTGTAGGTGCTGGTGTATCTATGGGGTTTTCATACTTGTAAGTGTCAAAGAAAGTCTACTCTGGTACATTTAAGGAGAAAGGTAGTTAATTGAGAGGCTATCAACTGGGTCCCCAAATGGCCACGAACACTGGAGAGCCAGATTCTGAGAATGGGAAGCTGATAGGGAGACTAAGCCAAACTCATGCCAAAGAGCCAGCCATCCTCCCCCGCCGTGTGAGTGCCGGGGTCCCCAGCTCACTGCACCGCAGTTGCTTCTGGGAACTGGACCCTTGGAGATGCCACCACCAAAGCATTCTCCACCTTCTCTGCTGCTTTGGGTCACCAGCTCCTGATTCAAAGTCTTGGGTTAGTGAGACTGCTTGACTGAGACAAGGCCACATGTCCATGTCCCCTGTGCCAGGGAACTGGGCTAGCAGAATTTTTCAGATGCTATGGAGAAATGGGTTTTGTCTTCCATCAAGATGCTATGGCAGGGTTAGATACGCATGGTTGCACACACCTATGGTCCCAGCTACTCAGGAGGCTGAGGCAGGAGGATCGCTTGGGTTCAAGAGTGCAAGGCTGCAGTGAGCTATGACCATGCCACTGCATTCCAGGCTGGGTGACACAGCAAGACTCTGTCTCTAAAAAAAACATAAATAGGCCTGGTGTGGTGGCTCATACCTGTAATCCCAGCACTTTGGGAGGCTGAGGCAGGTGGATCATCTGAGGTCAGGAGTTTGAGAACAACCTGGCCAACATGGTGAAATCCCATCTCTACTAAAAATAAAAAAACTAGCCAGGCATGGTGGTGGGCGCCTGTAATCCCAGCTACTCAGGAGGCTGAGGCAGAAGAATTGCTTGAACCCAGGAGGCAGAGGTTGCAGTGAGCTGAGATCTCGCCATTGCACTCCAGCCCGGGCGACAGAGCAAGACTACGTCAAAAAAAAAAAAACAAAACCCATAAATAAGTAATAATTTTGAAATTAAAAAGTAAAAAAAAAAAGATGATATCACAGGGAATTCCTCTAAAATAGGACAGGGGTGAGGTGCTGGAGAGCCATTACAACAGCATATATGTGGATAAATAGTATAGCCAGTAGCATGAAGGAACTGACACTCTAGACCAGTAAGTCTCCAATGTTAATGTGCACATGGATAAGATCAGGAGAGGCGGTTCATGCCTGTAATCCCAGCACTTTGTGAGGCCAAGGCAGGCAGATCATGAGGTCAGGAGTTTGAGACCAGGCTGACCAACATGGTGAAACCCGGTCTCTACTAAAAATACAAAACTTAGCCGGGTGTGGTGGCGGGCACTTGTAATCCCAGCAACTCAGGAGGCTGAGGCAGGAGAATTGCTTGAGCCTGGGAGGCGGAGGCTGCAGTGAGCCAAGACTGTGCCATTGCACTCCAGCCTGGGTGACAGAGCAAGACTCTGTCTCAAAAAAAAAAAAAAAAAAGAGATCACCTGGGCTAGTTCAGTAGATGTCCAGATTCACCACCCCACCTCAATAGGCCTATGGCAGGGTCTGGGAATATAAATGACGCTGAGACAGGTGGTTCCCGACTCAGGGTCCTCTGAGAGTACAGAGGAGGCTCTAACCTATTCCAAGGAGATAAGCTGAGTCTTGAAGAAGAAAGTAGGGGGCAGGGGGTGGTGGTGAAGGAGAAGAGGACAATTTGGGCAGATGGAATGGGGTGAGCAAAGGCACCAGCATGAGACCCAGCATAGGGTACATAAAGGAATTCAAAGAAACAGAAACTTATAAGAAACTGAAACGGCAAGAATGGGTAAGGTCTGGGAGGCGGGTAAGGTCTGGGAGGCGGGTAAGGTCTGGGAGGCGGGTAGGGGCTGGGAGGCGGGTAGGGGCTGGGAGGCGGGTAGGGGCTGGGAGGCGGGTAAGGTCTGGGAGGCGGGTAGGGGCTGGGAGGCGGGTAGGGGCTGGGAGGCGGGTAGGGGCTGGGAGGCGGGTAAGGTCTGGGAGGCGGGTAGGGGCTGGGAGGCGGGTAGGGTCTGGGAGGCGGGTAACGTCTGGGAGGCGGGTAGGGGCTGGGAGGCGGGTAGGGGCTGGGAGGCGGGTAGGGGCTGGGAGGCGGGTAAGGTCTGGGAGGCGGGTAGGGGCTGGGAGGCGGGTAGGGTCTGGGAGGCGGGTAGGGTCTGGGAGGCGGGTAGGGGCTGGGAGGCGGGTAGGGTCTGGGAGGCGGGTAGGGGCTGGGAGGCGGGTAGGGGCTGGGAGGCGGGTAAGGTCTGGGAGGCGGGTAGGGGCTGGGAGGCGGGTAGGGGCTGGGAGGCGGGTAGGGGCTGGGAGGCGGGTAGGGGCTGGGTTACCAAGGAACCTTTGATACCATTCCAAAGGAGTTTGGCTTTATCCTTTAAACCAATATTTTACACACAGATTGTGACCCTCTATGGGTAACATGAAATCAGTGTACTGGGTCCTTGGCCATCAGGTTTTAAAAGTGATACAGCATATAAACTTAAACTCAGGTCAGTTTTTGTTTATTTGTTTGTTTTGAGACGGTCTCACTCCATTACCCAGGCTGTGCAATGTCACCATCACAGCTGACTGTAGCCTCGACCTCCCAAGCTCAAGCGATCCTCCCACCTCAGCCTCCCCAGTAGCTGGTATTACAGGTACACACCATCACACCCAGCTAATTTTTGTATTTTTTGTAGAGATGGGGTTTCACCATATTGCCCAGGCTGGTCTTGAACTCCTGGGCTCAAGCAATCCTCCCGCCTCAGCCTCCCAAAGTGCTTAGATTACAGGCATAAGCCACCACACTTGGCCTCAGGTCAGTACTGATTCTTCTAAATGTTACTTCTGTTATATAAATAAGTGTACTGTAAAATCAGTTGCAATGTAAAATAAATTTCTTTCATTGGTCAGGGTCACAAATCTGTGAGCTTCTCTGTGCCCTTCCCATACCTGTCCTTTTTGATTAATTTAGCCAAAGCCATTTTCTTACCACCAAAAAAACAAAACAAAACAAACAAAAACAAAAAAAGCCATTTGCTTATTGCCCGGACTAGTGAAAAACCCTGATTGGTAAGCAACGCCCACTCTGTTGACCTTGTGCCTCTGGGTGGTGATTAACGAGCTCAAGTTTCGAAGTGCCCTGCAACTATTTGGTGCTGGACAGGTGTAAAGAATTAGAACCAGACAACATTGCCATCTCCCTTAAGTCCTTAGGATGCCGTTTATTCATTGGCTCACTCAGAAAATCCTTACTGTGAACTTCCAGGGAAGCACCGTGGTGCTAAATTTGGCTATAAAGAGTACAGAGATGAATACTCCATGGTTCTGAAACCACGCACACGCACAACTGTCATCCACAGTCAACTGCAATCTATGATCCCCCTTCACAGATGAGGGAGCATTTGTGTGGATGTGAAAAAGTCAAGGTGGGATTTGGATTGAGATGGGCCAGGAGATAGGAGGAGGACAGTAACCAGGCAGAGGGGACAGGCATGAGCAATGTCCCAGAAGAGGCACCCTTGCTAGACTACTCAGTTGCTGCAAACAGCCTGCCATGCATTCCTCGTGCTCTGGACAAGAGAAACGGGGTGGGGCCAGCTGAGGCCTCCTTGATGGGGGCAGAGGCTTAGCTCAAGGAGGTATGACAATCAGGGCACAGACTTGAGCTGATACATAGCTGGAGCACTTAGGAAGGAATCTGGGGGGCTTAAAAGCTGTCCCATTAAAGGAAGGGGAACAGAGTAGACTTGTGACTCAAAAATAGGTATTGAATGTCTTGTCTTCAAAGCCCCCTCAAACCACACCAGCAGGACTGGGTTAGAGCCTCCTCTGTGTCACCCCTGTGCTTCCCCAAGGGTAATTATCCCTTCCTTGCTTGTTTTCCCCAAACTCTGAAAATCCAAGAGGACAAGAACAGTATCTTGTTCACTGTGCCTTTTACATGGTGCCTTGGGTTCAGCAGATGCTCCATAAATGTCAAATGAATGAAAGAACCAGCCCAACGTCCCTCTTCCCCAGTCCTCCCCTTGACATATCAGACCCAAATGCTATGTACACTTCCACTCTGCCTCAGAATCTACCCGCTTGGTTCCTTCTCCCTGGGGCTGTGTGCGGAGCTCTTGTTTACCCTGTAGATAAGCAGAGCCCAGGTCTGGTCAAAGGGAGGTGACCACATGGCCGTGAACCAGGCAGTGGTGGAAAATCCCAGCCTGGCCCCAGGCTGCCGGGCCCAATGCCACCCCCAACCCCCTTCCCAGCATAGGAAACTCCTGGGGATAGAAGACGCCCTTTATTTAGCTTCAGCCTGGAGGACTACCCTTCCTTTGGATGGAAGAGAGTGGGTGGGCCCACCTGCCCCGGTCCTTCTACCACATCACATTCTACCAGACCCCTTCAGGGTCTGAAAGGGGTCGGTAGACTTTTTCTGAAAAGAGCCAGATAGTGAATGTCTCAGACTTTGCAGACCAGATGGCCTCTGTCGCAACTACTCAGTTCCACCCTTGTAGCAAGAAAGCAGCAGAAAGAAGATGACAATGAATGGGTGGGGCTGTGTGTTCCAGTGAGCCCTTATTTATAAAAACAGGTGGCTGGCCTGATTTGGCTTGAGGACAGTAATTTAGAACTTGGCCTTGCCAAGTCCCCACAGAGTCCACTCCACCCCCAGGACAAAGAGTTCTAGAGCAGTGGTTCTCAATGTTGGGGTGATTTTGCCCCCATAGGAGATATCTGGCCAGGTTTGGAGACATTTCTGGTTGTGGCATGTGGAGGAGGGTTACTACTGGCATCTGGTGGGTAGAGGCCAGGGATGCTGCCCAACATCCTACAGTGCACAGGACAGGGCACACAACAAGGAATTATCCAGCCCAGCATGTCCATAGTGCCTGGATTGAAACACCCTTCTCTAAAGCAGTGGCTCTCAGAGTGGGTCATTATCATCTGGGAAATTGTTAGAATTGCAAATCATCTACTCCTCCCCTGCACTGAATAGGAAACCCTGGGGGTGGGGCCCAGCAATGTGTGTTTTGACAGGCCTTCCAGGTGACTCTGATGCTTGCTAAAGCTTGAGAACACTGCTGAAAGAGACCAAGGGGGCCGAAGGAGAGGGAGGGAAGGAAGGCAGGACTGGCAAACTCAGAACTCCCACCATATGCCAGGTTCTAAGCCACAGAGGGGCCTCCAGGGCAGTGAGACATTGACTATTAGGAGACACAGAGAGAAGACTCAAGGTGGCAGCAGGTGGGGTGGAGGAGCATGGAGGGGGCCAACCCCAGACACAGGGCCCAGGCGAGGCTCCCAGGATGAGAAGGGCTCAGCTAAGCCTAGAGGACAGCAGTCTGGGTAGGGAGAACAAGGTGATATAGAAAGGCAGGGAAACCCGAGAGAGAGACAGAGAGAGAGAGAGAGAGAGAGAGGAAGGGAAAGAGGGGGAAGAAAGGAAAAGGAGGGGGGAGGGGGACAGAGAAAGGGAGAGAGAGAGAAAGAAAAAGGGTAGAGAGGAAGAGAGAGAAAGGGAGAAAGAGAGGGAGAAAGGGGAGAGGGAGAGAGAGGAGGAGGAAGGGTAAGAGAGAGGGAGGGAGAAAGGAAAAAAGAGAGGGCGAGAAGAAGAGAAAGGGAGGGAGAAAGAGAGGAAGGGGGAGAGGATAGAGAGGAAGAGAGAAAGGGAGAGAGGGAGGAAAAGGAAGAGGGGGAAAAAGAGAAGAAGGAAGAGAAAGAGACAGAGGAGGAGGGAGTAGAGAGGGAGAGAGAAAAAGGGAGAGAGGGAGGGAGGGAGAGTGAGGGAGAGAGGGAGAGAGCCCTCTGGGAAACTGTAAGATGTTCAGCAGCCTCTAAGAGGCAGGGTTGCGGGATGGGAGGTGGAGTGAAGCCAGACAGAGTGACAACAGCCAGGACAGAGGGGCCCTGTTGTTGGCCAAGCAGCCCACAATGGTTCTCAGCCCCTACTCAACCCATGAATCACCTGGGGAGCTTTAAAAAAAGTAGCCAATGCCCTAGTCTCATTGAAGATCCGCTGAGTCAGAAAGGCGACTGGGAGACCCGCAGGGCGGCATTCAGATGTTCTTAAAGCTCCCAGGTAATTCTTCTGGGCTGCCAGGGTGGAGAGCGCCTGAGCTGTAGCTGAGGGAAGAGGGGAGACATTCGCTCTATTTCCTTTGATTCCTGAGGCACTCCATTTTATAAATAAGAAAATCAAGGCTCAGAGAAACTAAGTGACCTTTGCAAAATCACAGAGCAAGTCGGTGATGGGACCAAGATCTCAGAGACGCGAGACACAAAGATCCCGCGGCAGGCAGGAAGAGCCCAGCAGAGCTCCTTTATCCAGCTAGGGGAGGGGCTTAGTGATACTGCGGTGTTGGACAGCAGAAAGATGATGGAGGAAGGCTCAGAGGATCTTGACTTATATCCAACCAAGGAGTGAACAGCATGGGCTTGCAGAGGCCTGGGCTTCCCAGTCAGTGGCCTTTCGGGACTCCTCTCCCCAGTGGCACAAAATGGGCTCTGCATCCACTCCTTCCCCCTAGCCTCTCTCTACAGGCTGGACCCAGGCACGCTTCACTTTTTGGTGAGGTAGGTTGTTTTGCTATGACAAATGCTTCCCTGGATGATGACAGCTAAGGGGCTGTTGGAAGCTCTTTGCGGTTTGCAAAGCGATTTCATTCAACATTAAGAGGCCTCCCATGTGCTGGCTCTGGGCTCAGATGTGGATTATACAGGTGGTCAGTTTTCCAGTGTAAGAGATGAGAATGTAATGAGATAACAATGTGAGCAAGGGTAGCCCCAGGTGTTCCAAAGGGTACCGGTAGATGAGGAAGAGGAGCCAGCTTTCTGAGTGCACGCAGACTCAGAAAGATGCTGGGAGGAGGGACAGCTTGAGAAAGGAAGAGCAGGGCCCCCAGATGGAAGAGGAGGAAGGGGAAGAAAGGCCTTTTGCATAGTCTTATTTACTTCTCACAACAATCCTGAAATGTAGGGCTGACTATTGTCTCTGTTTTATGGCTGAGAAAACTGAGGCTCAGAGAGGTTATGTAACTTACCCAAGGTCACACAGCAAGGACCTGGCAAAGCTGAGACTCAGGCTCCTCAGGAAGAATCCCACGCCCTCTGCTGGCAGCACGGAAGTGACTAGAAGTCAGAAGGGGACTTGGAGCAAGGCTTTTACCTTAGGGGCCTGCAGAAAAGCAGATAGCCATCCAGTTACTGCAGTAGCCAGAATATCTCCAGCATCCTTCTCCACACCTCCCTTCCCCATCTTAAATTTTATAATTTCTCCTTCAGAGGAAAATCAGCCAACGGAGGCAATTATTCTAAGTTTCAAATAGACATAACCCTGGGAGGTGAGAATTCTTTTTTTTCTTTCTTTCTTTGAGACGGAGTCTCACTCTATCACCCAGGCTGGAGTGCAGTGGCCTGATCTCGGACACTGCAAGCTCCGCCTCCTGGGTTCATGCCATTCTCCTGCCTCAGCCTCCCAAGTAGCTGGGACTACAGGCGCCCGCCATCACGCCCAGCTAATTTTTTGTATTTTGTTTAGTAGAGACGGGGTTTCACCATGTTAGCCAGGATGGTCTCGATCTCCTGACCTCATGATCCGCCCGCCCTGGCCTCCCAAAGTGCTGAGATTACAGGCGTGAGCCACCGTGCCCAGCCAAGAATTCTTGTATAAGTCTTTTCTTCGTGAGGGACTTCACAGGGGACTCCAAGATAACCACTCCTGTTCTTCTCCCCAGCCCTTGCCTGCCCCTGCTGATATTTTAAACTGGAAAATACTTCTGATTTGAATATTCTCCCTGTGCAAATTTTCTTCCCTGGCATACTTTCTGCTAGATTTCAAGAGGGAACCAAAGATGTGTATCTTTGCAATTTAATTAAAATGTTTTTTGCTCACTGGTTAATAAAGACAAGCTTCACCACGGCTCACACCTTTTTCTGTGAACTTTCCCAGCCATTTGAAGCATCCCCTCAATGGATAACTGGGCTGGGCAGTTATCCAAGAGAGTGGGGGACCTGTGCTGCCAGATATACAGTGGCCAGAGCCCCCAACTGCCTGAATGATGTCAGTACAGGACTCCCTAGTTGGGACCCAAATTAACCAGAAAGGAGGACATGTCGGGTGCGTTAGATGAGCAAATAGTGCAAATGTCATTCGCTCTCTACACAGAAGGAAATTGCCCAAGTAGCTGATGGTTCCCTTAATGGGTGGCTTTGAGATCATGGGAGAGAAAAATGGCAACAGTGAGCAGCCACTGTCTCCCAGGCAGCCCTTCCTGGCCAGCCCCTTGGGGAAAAAAGCACAGACTCCTGGAAACAGCCAAAGTGCCGGGATCTGCACAGTTGCCTGGAACAAAGAGGGTCAGAAAAGAGGTCAGTAGTCAGTGTCCCAAAACACATCCCTCCTGGATGATTTTCTTTATCCAAGCTGACTCACACGCCCTCACCCAGCCCCACCCAACCCCACCCAGCCGCAAACCAGCGAGTCCTTTATGTGGTTCTTAGAGTGCAGGTGTTAGGGAGATAGAGCACCTCAATCGGTCTGAGTGGTCCAGCCAGCCCGAAGTTCAAGTACAGCCTTCGCTTCAGACTTGGTTCTTAAGAGAGCATATTTTCTAGAAAAGCGGAGGAGGAGAAAACGTGAGGCGAGCAACTAGGAGGCAAGTCAGAGAGTGTTTGGAGGCAGCCAGGTGGTCCTAACAGAAAAGGGGGGCAAATCCTCGTGTCATCAAACCCTCTTTGTCTTCAGCACAGGCAATATATTTGGGGCATGTTCTTCACTTCTCAGAGCTCCACATTCTTCTTCCCAAGCTGTACAGGTGCTAAGGGTCTCCCACACCTGAGCACACAATAAAGGCTGCTCCTCCCTTGCTTCATCCTCCTCCATCACAGGTGCCTGGAAATTTCTCCTGCGTGCTTCTGCTTTACAGAAAATTCATATTAGTCCTTAGCTTTCCTGGGAGTGGATGGCTCTCCCAACCCAATAAAAAACTACTGGAGGCCAGGCGCAGTGGCTCACGCCTGTAATCCCAACACTTTGGGAGGCTGACGTGGGCGGATCACCTGAGGTCAGGAGTTCAAGACCAGCCTGGCCAACATGGTGAAACGCCATCTCTATAAAAATACAAAAATTAGCTGGGCTTGGTGGCGGGCGACCGTAATCCCAGCTACTCTGGAGGCTGAGGCAGGAGAATCGCTTGAACCTGGGAGGTGGAGGTTGCAGTGAGCCGAGATTGTACCACTGCACTCCAGCCTGGGCAACTGAGTGAGACTCTGTCTCAAAACAAAACAAAACAAAAACTACTGGAGGTCAAGGACTGTGTTTTAAATTCCCCACTGTTGCACAGCATATTCAACCCATATCTCAACCAACTTAATATTCCCAGAGATGGGCTCAATAGATAGACACAGTAGAGATACAAAGTATACCTATTGAATGAATCAGTGAATGAATGAATGAATGTAGCCTCCATGTAGCCTCCTCCCCAGGGTCCTTTCTCTGGGCCTTTGTAGCACAGAGCTCTGAGTAATGGCTCCAGTGGGGTGGGCAGGGGCCAGGCTAAAGTTCTCCAGAGAGAAGGGTCAACAGCACATCCAGGAGCTTCCCAGGGTAAACACTGACACAATGCCCACAGTGAGCACGGAAGACTCTTTTGTCTCATCTGCCCTCTGTCTGTGGTTCATGTGCCCTGGGGCTGCTAGGATGCTGTGCTGTTGCCAGGGAACCACCTCACTGAGCATCCAGGAAAGGAGGACCTACAGTCACCGGGGGTCAGAGGCCCAGTCCTGCTCCCTGCTGCTGAGAGGACCCTGCGGGGATTTGTGATGGGATCAAATGAGCCCTCACCTGGACCATCCCTTGTACTAACTGAGAGCTTTGTCCAGTGCCCAATACAGTTTACGCACGGGATGAAATTAGAAGCCCAGGTTCTCCTAGAAAGAAACAATGGCTGCCAGTCCCTCCCCTCCAGGGAGAGAGAGCAGTGGGTGCTCAGTCCTGTCTAATGAAGAAAGTGATGGCCAGGCCGCAGCCTCAGGGAGGCTGGGAAGTGTTGAGTGGTGTTTGTGCCTTGATGTGTAATCACCAAGGGAAATGGATAAATGATTTTTCCCGCTCCCTTTTCTTCTTTAAATATTTTTTTAAGAGACAGAGTCTTGCTCTGTTGCCCAGGCCACAGTGCAGTGGCATGATGATCATGATTCACTGTAGCCTTAACCTCCTGGGTTCAAGCAGTCCTCCCACCTCGGCCTCCCTAGTAGCTGGGACTATAGGCATGAGCCACCACGTCCAGCTAATTTTTTAATTTTTTGTAGAGATGGGGTCTCACTGTGTTGCCCAGGCTGGTGGTCTTGAACTCCTGGCCTCAAGTGATCCTCCTGCCTCTGCCTCACAAAGTGTTAGGACTGCAGAAGTGAGCCACCATGCCCACCCCCCTCTCCCTTTTTAAAACCACTAATTCTCCACCAGGGGTGATTCTGACTCCCCCTCCTCCCCAGGGTCATTTGGCCACATCTGGAAACATTTTTGATTGCCACTCAATGCTGGTAAGATTATCCAAGTCATGACGAAACGCAAATACCCTTATAAATGATCCCACCACCAGGAATTTGTTTTTTAAATCCTTTCAACAGCCTGAAGTGTGGTCATTATTATCCCGATTTTACAAATGAGGAAACTGAGGCACAAAACGCTGAAGGGGCTTGTCGAAGAGCACGGTTGCAGGTTGGGTTCCCAGAGAAGCAGAACCTGAGACAAAGCTCTGCGTGCAGGACTGCCAGGAAGAGATGGGAAACATGGAGCTGCGATGCCGTCTTAATGAAGATTTCAGTCAACCCTGAGAGGAATTTTGGAGCTGAGCTGACCCTTTGGAGTTATCTCAAGTTGTGTAGAGGGAACCAGGCCTTTATACCCTGGCTTGGATCAGTCCCTGATCACAGGCTGCCCCTGGAAAGAGGCATGACTTTGGGAAGGGCTATTTTTTTCAGGTGAGGTGATCCAGGGCGGACGGCTGAAAGCCACCTCTGGCAGCACTCCCAGAAGCTGGGCAAGTAAGTCCTTCATTCCTGAAGAGGGGTCTGGGTGCATTTCACAGCATCTACCAGTCACCTTACTAATAAGGCCAGAGGTGGAATTGTGTCCAGATCCTCTGCTCACCCCCTTCCCTTTGCCATCAAGTCTCTGTCCTCAGTCTCTGATTTACAAGGGGATCAAGAGGCCCCAGGAAAAGAACTCAAGTAGTCTCCATGACTGGAATTCTAGCTGGACTAGAACTCAGCTGCAGGAGTGAGGGCTGCGCAAGAGAAGCCCAATTGTAGGGCTTGCGACAGTGCAGCTGCAGGGCCCAGAAAGGAAGAGAACTCGCTCCTGGTCACAGAATGGAACCACCCTTTATACCCTCAGACCCCATAGTCTGACTTGGCCCCCTACACTCTTTCCCCTTCCAACCCCTACAGACCCTTGCAGGATGGTTCCATCTCATTGCTGCAGGACTCAGAACCTAGAATTTACATAATCATGGGATTTTCGCACTGGAAGTTAGTAATCTCCAGTGTTTTCCCCTGAGGAGGTGAAACCCAGGTGTGTACCGTGTGTTCTCAATAACACATGAGTAACTCCTCTGGGGACACAAAGCTAGGGTGCCACTGGAACCCAGGTCTCCCAACTCCAAGGTCCTGGCACTGGGCACCACGACATGCTGCTGCAGGCAGCAAGACAGAGAGACAGTACTGCTTTACCGGGCACCACCCTGCCCTTTCCTCTCTGTGCCCAGCCCCCATACTCCGCAAACAGTGCGGAGGTGAAGAGATCCCCTTCGCTCCTGTGCTCTGCTCATTCCTGCTCACTCTCGGGTCTCCTACTCCCTTGGAGGCTTTTTCAGACCCCCTTCCCCAAAGGCTAGGTCAGTTTCCACCCCACTCCTCATTTTATTCTCTCATGACATCCTGTAATAATCCATCACGCATATTACTGTTGTGGTTAGTCAACTACTGCACAATTGCTTAGTCAATGTCTGTCTCATTAGAACATAAGCTCCCATGACTGTGGGACCAGAGCTGTGTTATCCACCAGTGTGCCCTCTACCACCAAGAATGACTGAACTAATGAAGAGTCCATGCTGTCCTGTATGTTCTCCAATTCTTTCATTTCTTAGCCACGGTTGTCCTGACTTCTTAGACAAATGTCAAATGCCTCAAAGGCACAGAATGAGATTTAATGAGTGTCCCCACCTCCTCAGCACCTAGTCCAATGTCAAGCACAGAGTGGCCAATCGCTGATTGATTGATGATTGCTTGCTGCCTGAACCTCCGGAACTCCCCTGCCGAGAAAGGGAGTGAGGGATTCTTGTGCTTCTCCAAAGACTGAAGGGCAGAGGCCTCAGTAATTTCTGGACTGAGCTTAGGCAGAGAGGAGGTAATTAGCTCAAATCACATTAACATGGTTCTCAGGAAATGGCTGCTGAATTAGATATTCCAGCCACAGCAGCCACCTCTATTTAATAGGACATTAATGCTCATTCTGAGCAATTACTGTATTTGCAATGGTTTCTTAATGTTCAGCTTCTGGAGCCCTGAAAGGAAAGGGCTTTGTGCTTCCAGTAACCAGCTCTCCACCGTAAGGCAGAGGAATGAGCTGGGGAAATGCTCCCGGCCAGATCAGGGAGCCAACGCCCCAGACAGTCTGGAGAAGAGGCCAGGGACTCCAGGCTCCTGTGCCTGGCTTCTCCGACCAGCCGATACCCCCAGGGCCTCGCTAAGGGTGGGCCTATACAGGCAGAGGCAGGAAGGTCTCTATGCACAAGTGAGCCTCACTGAACCTTCTCTACTGCTCCCTGCAGTTATGCAGCTGCCTAAAGCCAGTCCCTGCTAAGTGCTCCTAACAGCATCCAGTACCTCTCCCAGCACAATGCTTACCATACTTATCATTTTGATTCTAATAGCATTTCCCCCCTTGATTTTAGAGTAATTAAGGTTCACTGCAAAAATAAAGCAAAGTGTAAAATAAGCCAACAGATCACATCTCTAATGTTTTCCTGTGCATAGGCACACATAAACATATGTAAAGACTGGCTTTAAAACAATGGAGCCAATCCAATCATCCACTCTCTGCTTTGGGACAATGGAGTGACCACTTTGTTTTAATTGCTTACGTAATTATCTGCCTTTTCCTATGAGACGTAGCCTCAGCGTGGGCAGCACCCAGCCAGGCTCACTACTGCTTGTTGGCAGAGTACCTAGCACATGGCAGTCACCCCACAAATGATAGCTGGCTAGATGGCCTGTCAGGTAGCATCCTTTGGGTTGCAAGCAACCCAATTAAAACTGGCTAAAGGAATGTAATAGCTAAAAAATCTTGGATGTTCAGGAATAGTTCTAGCTTCAAATGAGACTTGATCCAGTAACTCAAACCATGTCATCCAGTATCTAATCAACCTTTCCCTCTCTCTCTGTACCTGTCTCCCACTCCATCCTATCTTGTGTGGCTCCTTGGGTTGGCCCAGAACACCCAGGCAGACAAGATCTTGTTCTTACACCACATGGTCCAGATAAGAACCAGCTATTCTCTCATTAGCCTAAATTGGGGTGCACGACTTTCTCTGAAGCCATTCCAGTGGCCAGTGCAATGGCTAGATCTGGGGTGGGGTCCATCCCACCAAAGCCCCATGGGAGGAACTGGAGAAGGGAAAGGAAAACAGATACTCAGTAGCAACAAAATACGAAGAGATGGGTGGACACGTAGGCAGGTGGATGGAAGAATGAATCAGTGACTGAGGAGAGCAGCAAGAGGAGCTAGATCATTGCAATGTTCTCTCTCTTGGGAATCTGACCATGACTAGCAGTATGGGAGTGCGGCGGAAGAGGCAGAGAGGCTGCGGGCAGGAGATGGGCAGAAGGGCACAGAAGAGAAGCAGCAGCAGAGGGAGCGAGGAAGCCTCCCCATATCCTACCTGATACACCATCTAGCCAGCTACCATTTGTGGAGTGACTGTCATGTGCTAGGTGCTCTGCCAACAAGCAGTAGTGAGCCTGGCTGGGTGCTGCCCACGCTAAGACTGCACCTCATAGGGAAAGGCAGACAATTACATAAGCAATTAAAACAAAGTGGTCACCCCACTGTCCCAAAACGGGGCATGAGAATGAGTGGACGATGGGCTGTTCCAGCAAGAAGCCACCAGCTCCTGCTTCTGAAGACCAAAGGGGACGTGGCTGTTCCACCTGCAGAAGCCACATCGCATGGGGTCCCGCATTCAAGAACCCATTCTCATCCTGTTCTGAGATTTTTGTCTCCTCTTTTTGCCCATCATTATGCTTATAATAATCACTATGTTCCCTATCCTATTTAATTTGTTTCTTGAGCTATCCAGAGTAATTTTTTCTTCATTCCAACCAAAGGGGCTAACCAAATAAAATGTCTTTATTAATTTGACCAAGCATCAATATTAAAGAATGGAGTGACAGAACTAGTTATTGAAGGGAATTTTGACTTCTCCCCTGATTAGCAATTCGCAACAGCTGCTTAATCTAACCTGGGTTTCCCACCCCCGAGTTAAAAGCTAAGAAGGCAGTTGCTGAGTGCATTTTCTAAGTGTGTCACGTACATCCACTCATGTAACACTCTCAACCCTAGGAGGTACAGCTGCTTCCATCTATCCATTTTACAGATAAAGAAATGCAAATCATATGAGGCATAGCTGGGATTTGAATCCACGGAGTCCAGTTCTAGAATCTGTGTTCTTAGTTACTAGGTTTTCCCAGTCTTTTAGTGTGGACTACCCTTTCTAATGTACCTTCCCTTTGTTGTATTTTCAAACCTCTTTTTTTTCTGTCAACCTACTACAAGATCCTGAATGCAGAAAATATTCTGGCTTTTCAATCTGCCATCTGCAGTGGAACCGCCACCAAAATACAGATTTTTTAATAAAAATCTTTACGGGGAAGACCGTCATCCTCAAGGTCGAACCCTTGGATATGACAGAAAATGTAAAGGCCAAGACCCAGAATAAGAAAGGAATTCCTCTTGATCAGCAAAGGCGGATCTTTGCTGGAAAGCAACTGGAAGAAAAAGATGGATGTACTTTGACTCTTTCTTTCTTTCTTTCTTCCTTTCTTTCTTTCTTCTTTCTTTTCTTTCTCTCTTTCCCCTCCCTCCCTCCCTCCCTTCCTTCCTTTCTTCAGAGAGAGTCTTGCTGTGTCACCCAGGTTCCCAGGTTGGAATGCAGTGGCACAATCTTGGCTCACTGAAACCTCCACCTTCTAGGCTCAAGTGATGCTCCCACCTCAGCCTCCCAAGTAGCTGGGATTACAGGCACACACCACCATGCCTGGCTGATTTTTGTATTTTTAGTAGAGACAGGGTTTCATCATGTTGCCCAGGCTCATCTTGAATTCCTGAGCTCAAGCAATCCCCCACCTCGGCCTCCCAAAGTGCTGGGATTACAGGCATGAGCCACCGCGCCCGGCTGATTTTCTTTTATTTGTAGTAGAGACTGGGTTCCACCATCTTGGCCAGGCTGGTCTCGAACTCCTGACCTCGTGATCCACCCGCCTTGGCCTCCCAAAGTGCTGGGATTACAGGCGTGAGCCACCGCGCCCAGCTGACTACAACTTTCAAAAAAAGTCTACTCTTCATCCTGTGGTAAGACTTCATGGTGGTGCTAACAAAATGAAGAAATCTTACACCACTCCCAAGAAGAAAAGCAGGAGAGAAAGAAGGTTAACTGGCTGACTTGAAATACTAGAAAATGGATGAGAATGGCCAAATTACTTGCCTTCTTTGGAAATGCCCTTCAGATGATTGTGGCACTGGAGTGTTTATGGCCAGCCACTTGGAGCGAAATTACTGTGGCAAATTGTTGTCTGACTGATTGCTTCAACAAACCAGAAGACAAGTAATTGTGTATGAGTCAGTAAAAGACATGAACTAACATTTTTTTTTAAGTCTGAGTGGAGCCGCTCTGATTAAAGATGGGCGTGAGAGTCACAGCTGCCTCGGCACCTCCCTCCTCCCTCTCAAGGAGCGTTGTTTGAAAATCTCCTGTGTATGTGTGGACAGAAGCAGGGGGGTTGAGAGTCTGAACTGTAAGATTCCAGGGGGGGTCCCCACTCCACTCGCTCTGGGATCCTGGTAAGCCATGTCACCTCTCAGATTTCAGGGTAACCTCCTACAACTCACAGGGGACCAAATGCTCCCTGCCCATCTCAGGGCTCTGCTTGTTGGTTGGGCCAGGCTGGTGACAGATTATTTTCTGCCCAGATAGGCTAGAAGCTAAAAAGAGAAAAATAAAAGGAAGGAAATAATAACTCTTACTCTGCCCCTAGCTCCTAGCTCACCAACTAGGTGCAGAAGTAAAATACAGTAAAGCCCGTAGCTGTCATCAGCTGGAATCCTTTCCATCTCTCTCAAATTTGAAGAGTTATTTTGTCTCTCTCCCTCTCCCTCCCACCCTTTTCCTCGCCTTCTCCCCCTTTCCCTCTCTCCCCTCCTCCCTGTCTCTCTCCCTTTCTCTCTTTCCCTCTCCCCACAATCTATGCCTATGTGTGCGTGTGTGTGTGTGTGTGTGTGTGTGTGTATCAATATCCTCCTCTGTTTTGCTCCTTTCCATCAAGTATTTGAACTTCATCAAACAGTCACTGTATGATCAGCAGAGCAGGCACCGTATATTTGTTCTGTGATTGTAGAACCTACAATCTCCTTTCTGATAAAGGAATCCTACTTGTTTCCATAGAGTATGACGTCCTCAAAATAAACTTACACAGAACATAATTCGATTTTTTAAAGTGCTATATATAAAGCAGGTCTCCCCACAGAGATCAAAGGCCCACTTCCTGCCCACAGTACACGGGGCTGTATCTATTTGTCTGCGGAGATAAGAAGTTCCAATATCTGAGCAGAACTAATTTCAAAGCCTGCTCAGCAGAATTCTGATAAATGTCTTTTAAACGGCTCTGTTGAAATGTGTAACAGCGCTGTCTTTTTTTTTTTTTTTTTTTTTTTTTAAGACAGGGTCTTGCATTGCAGCCACTGGAAAGCTTTATGCCTTAGGGGTGGAATCACTGGGTGGTAGCATGCTCAGGGTCATTTCAAAGAAATGCACGCAGGCCCCATAGCAAAACCTCATCTCTACAAAAAATTTAAAAATTAGCTGGGTATGGCGGTGTGTGCCTGTAGTCCCAGCTGCTTGGGAGGCTGAGGCAGGAGGATCACTTGAGCCCAGGAGGTTGAGGCTGCAGTGAGTTATGACAGAAGCACTACACTCAAACCTGAATGACAGAGTGTGACCCCGATTCCAAAAAAGAAAGAGAGAGAGAGAGAGAAAGACAGAAAGAAAGAAAGAAAGAAAGAAAGAAAGAAAGAAGGAAAGAAAGAAAGAAAGAAAGAAAGAAAGAAAGAAAGAAAGAAAGAAAGAGAAAAAAAGAAAGAAAAAGAGAAAGAAGGAGGAAGGAAGGAAGGAAGGAAGAGAAGGAGGGAGGGAGGGAGGGAGGGAGGAATGAATGCACCCTAGGCAGAAACAGGGAATCTGGAGTCAGATGAAGAAGGAATTTAGGCAGGAGAACAGAACTATTGGCCAGGAAAGTTCTGGGCAGTAATTTCTGGATCAAATGACAATCTATCTTCCATGCCAGAAAAGGAACCTCTGATTCATACTAATGATGAAACTGCCCAAGGGATTAAGTATTTTTCCATTCAGGATCTAACTTTAAGATCAGAATCAAGTTCTTCCCCTCTAATTTGGCCCATTTTCTCCATAAAGGACCATTATTATGATACAATAATCATTTTGTGGGTGCATTTTCTAGGCTAGGCACTAAGCGAGCCATTTTTTTTTTACTCACTCGTCCATCCTACAAACCTTTATTGGCAAACCACTGGGCGCCAGGCTCTGTCCTAGGTGTTGCGGATACAGCAATAAGGAATATATGTGAAGTCCCTTTTGTCACGTGGCTCACGTTCAAGTAGGAAGACACATAATCTTTTTAATGAGCAAGTAAATACACCATGCCAAGCAACAAGGAAAGCAAAAAAAAAAAAAAAAAAAAAAGCAGAACGAGGAGATTGAAATAGCATGCAATTTCAGATAGAGGAGTCGAGAGAGACTCTAAGATGAGGTGCAATTTCTACAACCCTGGCCAGCTGCCTTGCAAAGAAAGACAAGCGACCGGTCACAAAGGAAACCAGATTAGGGAGAGATAGATCCGGTGAACCTGTCATCCCTACTACAAACATGTGTTCAGCTGGTAGCAGATCAGTAACATCTTCTCCAGGAGTAAAGGAGAATTTATTTACATGCTCATTACATATGCAGAGTTGTGACCAAATTGCTGCAGGTGACAGGTCCAAGTTCCTATAAGGATGTTCTATGGCTTAATACCCAGACTTTGTTCCGGACTTCATCTCTTAAGTGCTGTCATTTCTTCTGTATAAGCTATGGTTACTTTGGTTTCTTTTCTTCCTCTTAGACAGAAGATTCCAGCTATTATCACATAGCTTCCTCATTTACACTAAATAGAGTAAACCATTATTATGGATGTAAGACGATGGGTTTCATAAGTGAACCCACTGTGAAGGTAGCCTGGACAGGTGTATTAGTCCGTTTTCAAGCTGCTAATAAAGACATACCCAAGACAGAGTAATTTATAAAGAAAAAAAAAAGATGAGGTGCAATTTGAGCAGGAATCTAAAAGCGGTGGGAGATTCAGCCTTCTAGATATCAAGGGAAGGGCAATCCAGTGGAGGGCACGGCGCAGGGAGAGGCCGTGAGGTGGGGGCGCATTGGTGTGTTGGAGGGGTAGCTGGGAAGTGAGCAGTGATGGAGCAGAATGAGCAGAAGGAGGGCATGAGTCCAGAGGGGTCACAGGCCCTGGGAGCATCCTGGGGACATGGATTTTATTCTGAAGCTGTTGGAGAGCTTTGAGATGAAGGAGAGTCATGATTCTATGCATTAAGGACAATTCTAGTTACTGTGAGGAAAACAGGGTTTAGGGAGACAAGAGTGGAAGCTGAGAGACTGGTTAGGCAGCAGATAGCAGATGCCACAGTCCAGGTACGAGGTGTTAGGGTTTGGGTTAGGCTCCTAACCATGAGGGTGGACAGGAGTCGCCCAATTGCAGATATGTTTCCAAAGTGGAAGCAATGAGATTTGTTGTTGAATTAAGCATGGAGGAGAAAAATAGGTCAAAGATGCTTCCAAGATTGTGGCTGGAGCAACCGGGAGAACTGATGGTGCCATTTAGAAAGAGAAGAAGACTTACAAAGAAAGGAGCTGGTTGTGGGCAGGGTATCCAAGATTTGGCTTTGGACCTGTTTGAACAGAAACTGCATAGGAAATGGGGCAGGGTGTAAGGAGAGCCCAAAAGAGGGCTGAGGACTGGGCCCCGGGGTTAGCCCAACTTGTGATTTGGGCGAAGAGGAGGATTCACCAGAGAAGGATTCACCAAAGGAGGCTGAGGAAGAGTAGCCCGGGAGGTTAAGAGAGACCTAAGAGAGAGTGATGTCCCCTGGCAGAGAGCACCAAGTGTTTCAAGGCAGAGGGCCTGATCAACTGTGTCACAAGCCACTGATAAAGGGAGCAACAGGGGACTGAGGCTTGACCTCAGACTTGGCAACACACAGCTGACCTTGATAATGTCAGAATATGTAATTCTGATACCAGCCCTGCAAGCTAAATATTATTGTCTTCATTTTACAGATAAGGCAACAGAGGCCAGAGGAGGTTCAGTGATGCACCCAGGGCCACATAACCAGTGAATGTTGGGGATCAGATTAGAGTGCCCACGTCTCCAGCCTCCTTCTGCCATTGACACCATCACATCGACCATCCGGGCAAGACCCCCGCACCGCCCCCAAGGGCGCAGGCTTGATTTCACTGCCAAGCCAATAATGTCAGCAACAGCACTTATGGTGCTGGACCATAAATGAAACAAGCTTTGAGAACTAACTGCCACCCCAGAGGCCTCAGGGAGGAGGTGGCTGCCCTCAAAGGCTCAGTCTCGTATTCTGTAACCTCTCTACCCTGAAGAAGATCCCACCAGCTGCCTCTTCTTCCAGATCCTGCCAAGAATTAGGCATCTCCCAACCCCACTCCTGGGCCTCTTCTCCACATTCTCCCTGCCAATCATCCCCTTTAATAAAAAACGGTGAATAATTTTCTAGCATGCATCTTTGGATTGTTTACTGATTACCATAAACATTAGCTGCTTTTGAAATGCATTTTTTCAGCTTACTGTATTTTTTTTTGACTGATTTTTTTTTTTTTTGAGATGAAGTCTCACTCTGTCACCCAGGCTGGAGTACAGTGGCTTCATGTCGGCTCACTGCAACCTCTGCCCGCCAGATTCAAGCGATTCTCCTGCTTCAGCCTCCCAAGTAGCTGGGATTACAGGCACCTGCCACCACGCCCAACTAATTTTTGTATGTTTAGTAGAGACGGGATTTCACCACGTTGGCCAGGCTGGTCATGAACTTTTTTTTGACATTTTATAATGAAAATTTTCAAACATACAGTAAAGTTGGAAAGTTTTGAGCAGTGAACACCCACACCCCCCCCCCACTAGACTCTACATGTACCATTTTACTCTCCTCGCTTTACCCCGCGTCTGTCCATGCATTCCTCCCTCTGTCCACCAGCATCCATCTTATTTTCTAAGCAAGCTACAGACGTCAGTACGCGTCACCCCAAACACTTCAGCATGCATGTCACAAACTACAGTTCAATATTGGTTTAAGAGTTTGTTTGGTTTTCCAGATATAATTTGCAAAGAGAGAAATTAACATATCTCATGAGTATGGATGCTGACTTTGGACAAATACATACACAAATAGGTTACTGAAATCTCCATCAAGATACAGAACATTATCATCACCCCAGAAAATTCCCTTATTCTCTTTCCCAGACACTCCTTGTCTCACCCCAAAGGCAACTACTGACCTAATGGCTCTCACATCCATGGTTTTTGCCTCTTCTGGAATTTCACATAGAGTCACACAGCATGTAGTCTTCTGTGTCTGGCTTCTTTGGTTCAGCATGTTTTTGCAATTCATGGATGCGACAGCATGTTAGTAGTCTGTTTCTCTTTTTTGCTAGTGGTATTCCATTATGTAATTATATCACAGTTTGTTTATCCATTCTCTTGTTGATTGCAATAATTCTTTTAATAAAATAAAATTATTCTTTCATGAATTTCTAGTTAGGATGCTTCTGACTTTCTGTTAAGAATTCTCTCATCATCATTTAAAGCAAACTGGGCTTGAGTCGTGGCTGTTTAGAGCCTGATCTTTGAAATCAGAAAGCTCTGGATTTCTACTTCAGTCTCCACTGTTACTAAGTGGGTGACCTTGGGCCAGTTACCTAACCACCCTGCACCTGCACCTTACTTTTACATCTATAAACTGGGAACAAAAATATCTAAAGGATAGGAGGGGCTTATTAGGATTTAAATAATTCATTTATTCCTTGGCTCTTTCCTGTAGCAATAGTTAATAAGAACCCACCGAGTTCAACCCGCTAAGCCTGGGAAGGTAGCAGGAACCAAAAGCAGAGAGAGAGATTGTTCTCATGGGCCTGTTGTTCTGTGGGCTACACAGACACTAAACAACTAATTGTACAGTTAATTATTTAATGGCCATTGTGGTCAGTGCTGCAAGGGAGATGTGACAGCTGCTAAGAGCCTGTGACAGGCTTACGTAAGGAGGCTAAGAGTGGAAAGAGGACAAAGTAGGCAAAGCGGGACCCTTCCCGACAGAAGGAAATGCAGTGTCTGAAAGCTCTCTGGAGGGCAGAAGCACTGCCCTTTGGAAGGACTGAAGAGGCTGTGTAACCACAGGGCCAGGGGTGTGTGTGTGTGTGTGTGTGTGTGCACGTGAAGTGGTGAAGAAGGAAGGTGAGCTGGAACAAGTGGAGGCTGACCAGGCTGGGCAGTGCTCTGAGTACGCAGGGCTTTGCAGACCAGGTTCAAATGTTGGTTTTTAACCCCAGAGCCATAGGCAGTGAGGGGTGCTGGAAGGTAAGCTTCACACAAGAACATCAGGTGGGAGTTGTCTGTTTCGTTCACTGCTATATCCTTAGTGCTTAGATGAGTGCCTTGGATCCATCTGTGGGAGGAAGCGAGGGAGGGAGGGAGGAAGGAAGGGAGGGAGGAAGGAAGGAAGGAAGGAAGGAAGGAAGGAAGGAAGGAAGGGGAAGGGAAGGGAAGGGAGGTGAGGGGAGGAGAGAGGAAGGGAGGAAGGGAGTGGGGAGGAAGAGAGGAGAGGAGAGGAAGGGAGGGAGGGAGGAAAGGAAGGGAGGGAAGGAGGAGAAAAAGGGAGGGACAGAGGAACGGAGAGAGGAAGGGAGGGAAGGAGGAGAGGAAGGGAAGGAGGAGAGGAAGGGAAGGAGGAGAGGAAGGGAAGGAGAGTGGAAGAGAGAAGAGGAAGGGAGGGAAGGAGGGAAGGAGGGAGGGAGGAGAGGAAGGGAGGGAGGAGAGGAAGGGAGGGAGGGAGGAGAGGAAGGGAGGAAGGGAGGGAGGGAGGAGAGGGAGGGAGGGAGGGAGGGTCTTAAGCAGAAATTGGAGATTTGTGTCTCATACAGTCACTGGCTGCAGTGTGGAGACTGGGTGGGACGGAGCACAGAGTAAGTATTCTTCTGCTCAGGCTGCCAGAGCACTACAGACTAGGATGATGCTTAAACATTGATTTCCTCATAGCTCTGCTGGCTGTAAGTCCAAGATCAAGGTTCCATCAGGGTTGGTGGCCGGTGAGGCCTCTCTTCCCGGCTTATAAATGCCCTCTTCTCCCTGTGTCCTCACATGGCCTTTCCTCTGTGTGGGCCAGGAGAGAGCCAGCTCTGGAGCCTCTTCCTCTTCCTGTAAGGATACCAGCCCTGTGGGATTAGGGCCCGACCCTTACTCCCTCATTGGCCTTCATTATCTCCTTAAAGGCCCTATCTCCAAATACTCAACTTATGAACTAGGGAGTGCAGGGGGAGCACAAGTCAGTCCATAACAGGGTGGGAAGCCAGTTAGGAGGTTAATGTGTTCAAAGAGGGGAAATGCTGATCGCTGGGACCAGGTGTCAGCAATAAAAATGGGGGACTACTGAGCAGAAAAGTTCACCAGAATCAGTGGTGGACTGAGAGAGGAGGAAAGATGAGGTGTCAGGAATAACTTCCAGGTTTCTACAATGATCATGGTGGCTCCCATAAAGAGATGTCTACATCCTAACCCCTGGGACCTGTGAATGGGACCTTATTTGGCAAAAGGGTCTTTGCAAACATTACATTGAGGATCTCAAGATGAGACATCCTGCATTGTCCAAGTGGGTCCTGAATCTGATGATACATTGCCTTATAAAAGAAGAGCAGAAGGACAGACACAGAGAAGGTAACGTGAAGAGATTGGAGTCATGTGGCCACAAGGAGCCACTGGAAGCTGTCAAAGCAAGAAAGGACTTTACCCCAGAGCCCTCAGAGGGAGTGCAGTCCTGCTGACACTTTGACTTTGGGTACCTGGCCTACAGAACTGTGAAAGAATAAATTCCCCTACTTTTAAGGCAAGCTGGTGATAATTTGCTAAGGCAGCCCTAAGCAACTGATAACAAGGAGCACTTGAATGGGTGAGAGAGGGAAACCGGAGGGGCTCAGGTCTTGTGGGATAGGAGGGTGGGTATGAGTTTACACGTAAAAATTCAGAAATTGTGGTGGCTTTCAGATATCAGGAGGTGAAAGGGCCGTAGCTGGGCTTACAGTAAATACTCATCAATTCATAGTTGTTATCATCATTTACTTTTAGAGTACGCCTACATTAGAAGTGATTGCTCCTCTCAAGCATATCTGAATTTCCTGGAGTACTGGGGTGGCAGTTTCAAGCTCTGCCAGCACCACAGCAAAGCTTAGCTCTTTTCTTGCAACACCCTTGTTTGGGGATGAATATTTCCTGGTACAAAGTTCTATTTGAATCACTTCTCCGCCTATTGGTTAAGATCAAGTGTAAAGCTCTGTTTGCACTTCTTCACCTCCAGCTGATGCCAACCTCGTACCCACCCAGAAGTCTACATCACAGGCTTCCTGGGAGAGCCAAGGGGAGGCACAGCCCACTCTTCCCTCCTCCCCTCCTTCGTTCCATGCCCGCACGACTCCATTCCCAGCAGAAGTCCGCCATCTTGTGGACACATACAATTCCAACAGCCCAGGCCAAAATCAGAAAGTCAAGATCAGAGAGAAGATGGCTTCAAAGTCACTCAACTTCTCTTCCTACCTCCAAATACAGCTTCATCTAATTGGCTCTAAAAGTCAAGGGCATGAGTGGAGAATCTTCCTGGTCTTTAAAATAGCTAAGACATAAGAAGAATGGCATCAAAGGAGGACCTCAAACATCACCCCTTCAGCCTTTGGAGAATTGAGCCCCTGGTCTACAGATGACCCCTTCCACCCTCTCCAGTTCATGGAAACAGGGTAGCTGTTGAGTTAAATGCTCCACTCTCATGGGAGAGAGAGCCCACTTCACTCACTCCCTTCATAAACCTGCAGAAGGCCTCACCATGAGCTTGAAGAAGTCTAATTTCTGACTCACTTATTGCTTAACCAGGGTACTTAAAAGCTAGTGTATGCCTTTGTTTCTCTATCCATAAAATGGGGATGATAGTACTATCTACCTAATAGATCTGTTGTGGGCACAAGACGAGTTAATATATATGAAGTGATTAGAATACTGCCTAACTCAGTAAATTCAAGACGCTACCTATTACATCCCCCACCACCAAACCCAATATTCCTACAACATTTCATTGTATCCCCACTCACCTTGGATATTGTTTATATCCAGGTATGTCAGGTGCTACTGGAGAGAAGAAAAAATTAACAGGTTATAGTCCTTACCTTCTGAAATTTGTGGCATAGTCTAGGAGCATGAACAACACACATACACACAGAACAATTATTGCGAGATTAAAACTAAGAATTTCCAGCCAAGTGCGGTGGCTCACGCCTGTAATCCCAGCACTTTGGGAGGCCGAGGTGGGCGGATCACCTAAGGTTAGGAGTTCAAGACCAGCTTGACCAACATGGAGAAACCCCATCTCTATTAAAAATACAAAAAAATTAGCTGGGTGTGGTGGCGCATGCCTGTAATCCCAGCTTCTCGGGAGGCTGAGGCAGGAGAATCGCTTGAACCCAGGAGGTGGAGGTTGCAGTGAGCCAAGATCCTGCCATTGCATTCCAGGCTGGACAGCAAGAGCGAAACTCTGTCTCAAAAAAAAAAAAACAAAAAAACCCACACACCCAAAAAAAACTAAGAATTTCCATAAAGGGAAAAAAAAAGTGAAAGTATAAGGAGAAGAGCATCCACAGTCCCACCTAAGGAGATCAGGCGACTCTAATTGAGGCCAGGTAGGTGCTAGCACAGGCTGACACTCAGCGATTCTGGACGGAGCAAAGGCAACACTGGGAAGTGCTTTGCCATTCCCTTGAAGAGCTCACCTACCTTCTGCAGTCTGTTCTCAGCCATGCAGAATCAAAAACTTGTTTTTTTAAGTACTTTCTATCAATTATTTTTATTTATTGTGTAATCTGCCATGTATGATTTTGAAAGTCCTTTTTTTTTTTCAATGGGGTCTTGCTCTGTCACCCAGGCTGGAATGCAGTGGTGCAAATCACAGCTCACTGCATCCTCGAGCTCCTGGACTCAAGCAATCCTCCCGCCTCAGCCTCCCAAGAAGCTATGACCACAGGCACATGCCACCATACCCAGCTAATTTTTTAAAATTTTTTTGTAGAGATGGAGTCTTGCTCTGTTGCCCAGGATGTCTTGAACTCCTGGGCTCAAGTGATCCTCTCACTTTGACCACCCAAAGTACTGGGATTACAGGTGTGAGCCACCACACCCAGCCTTGAAAACTTAACTTTGTCATAAGGAGTGGAGGCATTTTTTTATTCCCTGCATACAGTCTGATTGACTTTATCTCCCCAATGTCACTCATTCGTGCTTCTTTCCCTCCATGGCCACTGCTACCCTGTTAGCCCTGGCCAGCATCATCTCTCTCCTGGCCTACTGCAAGCACCTCATGGCCAGTCTCTGCTTCTTCTCTGGGCTCTCCCCAGTGCATCCTCCTCCACGGGGCAGCCCAAGCACACCTCCCATCATGCTCTCCCCACTCAGTGCTCCAGGGGCTCTTCAGCACACTTGGGATAAAACCAAACTTTTTTTTTTTTTTTTGAGATGGAGTTTCACTCTGTTGCCCAGGCTGGAGTGCAATGGCGTGATCTCGGCTCACTGCAACCTCCGCCTCTTGGGTTCAGGTGATTCTCCTGCCTCAGCCTCCTGAGTAGCTGGGACTATAGGCATGCGCCACTGTGCCTGGCTAATTTTGTATTTTTAGTAGAGATGGGGTTTCACCATGTTGGTCAGGCTGGTCTTGAACTCCTGACCTCAGATGATCCATCTGCCTCGGCCTCCCAAAGTGCTGGGATTACAAGCGTGAGCCACCACACCCAGCCAGGATAAAACCAAACTCTTTACCTGCATTGTGCTAGCCTCATCTATGTCTACTTGTACTCTCATTCTTTGCCAGGCCCTGAAGACCTTCAGGATTTGGTCTTCTCATAAGCACTTCTCTCTCGGCTTTAAGCACTGGTCCATAAAGTCTTCACCTGTCCTCACCCATTCATCTTTCAGGGCACACCTGAAAATCACCTCCTCAGGAGGTTTCTGGAACCCCTGGGAAGAGGTCAGATTCTCTGGTTTCACACATTCCCATAGCAGCCTCACTTCTCCTTCTCAGCATCACCACCATTGTTGGCTGGAACCCCTACCTATTCGTGTAATTATTGTTTGGCCTGTAAGCTCTACAAGGGCAAACACCGTGTCCCGTGAGGTCACAGTCACATCCTCAGTTATTAGCATAGTGCCTGACACGTAGGAAGTCTTGAATAAATGGACAGAATAAATGGATAGAATAAATGGCTCACTGAGTGTTTCATGCCAATGAATAGGGTGGATATAAATACACGCAGAGGGTTCATTTAACCATATTCTCCTTTCAGTGGCATAAGGGGATATTTGAGGAACATTATTCAAGCCAAGTGTTTTTCATTGTCCATCAATATGCGTAAGCTTTAAGACTTTCATAACACGGGCTATATTTTGCTAACAGTAGAAACCCAAGTCCTTCATAGAGACTAGATGGGTTTTGTAGAAGCAAATCAATCCTTGCCGTGGCGAGGTGCTTTTCTGATTTCAAATATTTTAGCAGAAGGCTGTCTAGCTCCTAGTAGAATTCGTCCACTGCTCCTAGTAGAATTCCTCCACTGTTCTGTTCCAACCCTTTCCTGCCCCAACACTTCATTCACATGGAATCAGCAGAGCCTGGAGACAGCATGGCTTGGCCTTTGCTGATCTGGTGTGCTGGACAGAGGGAGGTAGACGGCATGGGCAGCAGTTTCTGATCCTTGTAATCCTTGTTCCCAATATGTCACCTTGGGAGCATCACCAGCACACACACACTCTGGACATAGAGCACAGGCAGGAGCCACTCACTGGTGATGACCCTGTTTCAGACTTTGTCCGGCCTCCACCCCTGCCACATTCCGGAGTAGCTGACCACACCTGGAAGGACAGATAATGGAGACTACTAAAAGGAAAACAAGTCTATAAAAGAGAATGGCATGGGCATTCCATTGATACACACTTTGAAATGCACCTGGCTCAGAGAGCCACATGTTCTCCACTCTGTAGGCCAGCTAGGTGGGAAGCCAAAGTCTCCAAAATTGGCCTTCTGGAATCACAGCAAGGGGAGGGTTGAGCCTGTGAAATTTTCAACCCACATAAGCCCCAAAGAGGTTGGCCCGACCAAGAAATGTGAGTGTCCACATCTGGTGGAGCAAAGCACTCTCTCCAGTCTGTGTGAGGATGGACTTGGTCTACGCTTGCCTTTCAGATGACCTAACTTGAAGCCTCCAAGCCCATCAATCCTCCTTTGCTGACATTCTTCTTTTACGTACTTTCATGCATTCATTTTCTCTCTCTCAATCCTGTGACCCTGGGAGGCCATTTGTGTCTTTATATGAGCTTCCTGTCTCTGCTCCAACTCTTAGCATTGGATTAACAACCCTACTCTCAGGGAATAAGCAAGCACCTCTATTTCCAAGTTCTCAGAGGGCAGATGTCCAGCCATTCTCGGATTCCAGCGGGGAAGTGAGTCCAGCTCACCTCACTCCTGTGGCTCAATTGCTTTTATGATGCTGTCACTGACTGGGCAGCCAGGGAGTGTCCAGCAGGATGAAGGGTCCTTTGTGCTGCCCTTTCTGCAGAGGGAAGCCAGCTTTGACAAGACCCTACTGCCTTTAAAACCTCATCTTCTCTGCAGTATTGTATCATAGCCTTTTGCTAAAAAGGGAAATGAAATTACTCTTCAAGCAGAGCTGTCTGAGATATTGGATTCATTTAAACGTATTTTTCATTACTTTTCAGACTAAGCCTTCTCTTCCGTGTCTCTGCAAAGCCTGGACAAACCTATAGCAGGAGGTTTGCAAGGATTTCACACATTGCCTTAACTATTGAATCATGACTTTACAAGTCATCATTCTTTGTTGCAAATTACAAAAACCCAATTCACACGGGCTTATGTAAAGAAGAGACTCTGTTGGTTGTGAGATTCTTCCATTTTCAGGCATGGCTGGATCCAGGCTTTTAAACTTCACCTGCAGAAAGCCTTTCTCCCTGTGAGGCTTTCTCCTGACAGCTCCAGGCTCACATTCTACCAGCTCTACACATTCATCACAAAGAAAGCTTCTCTTTAATAGTGTGAGTAGGATTGCCAGATTTAGCAAATATTTGGAACACATCATTGATGATCCAAAATTCAGTTCAACTGAGGTTGTCCTTTACTGACAACCTAAGTCCCATATAGGTCCTAGGATTGAATCTGGGCAATTTGGATCCTATACCCATCCTAGACCCAATCACAGTGGTCAACAGAATGGGATATGTCAGCTGGCAGGCCAAAGTCACCTGCCTATCCCCAAAAGGAGGGGAGCACGGTCAACCCTGTAGTCCACATCCACCCATAGTGCATGTGGTAATCCACAGTACTAAAGACACTGATCCTCGAAGAAAGGGGACTGAACCCTGCAAAGGCAAAACCAACAGACGCTCACTAAGGTGACTTTGAAAGTCCCAGCCGGGTGCAGTGGCTCATGCCTGTAATCCCAGCACTGTGGGAGGCCGAGGCAGGCAGATCATGAGGTCAGGAATTCGAGACCAGCCTGGCCAATATGGTGAAACTCCATCTCTACTAAAAAAAATACAAAAATTAGCCCAGCATGGTGGTGGGCGCCTGTAGTCCCAGCTACTCTGGAGGCTGAGGCAGGAGAATCACTTGAACCCAGGAGGCAGAGGTTGCAGTGAGCTGAGATCGTGCCACTGCACTCCAGCCTGGGCAACAGAGCAAGACTTTGTCTCAAAAAAATAGAAATAAAAAAAGAAAGTCCCAGACAACAGTGAAAACTATAAAACTTCATGGTGGTTGTATGGCATTCAAGAGCTTAAAAGCACTTCCATGCCATTGTTTCCTTGTGGGTATTATAATCATTCCCTGTATTAATTTGCTAGGACTGTCCCAACAAAGTACCACAGTCTAGGTGGCTTAAACAACGGAAATTTATTTTCTCACAGTTCTGGAGGCTGGAAGTCCAAATTCAGGATGTTGGTAGGGTTGGTTTCTCATGAGGCCTCTCCCCTTGGCTTGCAGACGGCCGTCTTCTCCCTGTGTGCCCATGTGGTCTTCCCTCTGTAACTGTCCCCTCTTCGTATCAGGACACTAGTCATATTGGATTAGGGTCCACCCTATAACCTCATTTTAACTTAATCATCTCTGTCAAGTCCCTGTCTGCAAATGCAGTCCCATTTTGAGGCACTGGGGGTTAGGGCTTCAGCATATGAATTGGGGGTGCAGGGGGAATGCAAGTCAGCCCCTAGCACTCTCGCTCTCATTTTTTTCTTTTATGTAAGGAAAAGCACAGTGAGAATAGTCTTCGCTTGTTTCCAATCCCAGGGCTGATTTAGCTGTGGAACTCCACCCAGTGCTGGTCCCCGCTGTCCCCACCCCACCTCTGCAAACACGGGTGCCCACCCCCGCCAGCCGCCAGGCTCCCTGCCTAGTCCCGGCACGGGACCTTCACGGTCCCAGCACCAGGCACAGAGCAGACAACGTTCTTGAAATAAGTGTTTCGTGAAAAGAATGAAACTGAGAGGGAAAGAAAAAAAAAACTAGACAGTTTTAGGAGATTTAGCTCAAAGGAAAAGAGGACAGGCACAGAAGCTCCTGATTTGAAGCGATAAAGACTCTTTAGAACAGCAGAAATGAGGCCTATGGATGTGTAAATGAGCCCGGGGAGGAACTAAGCAGAAGGGCGAATTACAAAACAGAAAAAGACCAGACAGACTAGGGGAGAACAGTGAATATTTCAGTGTCTTCGGTTCATAAGAAATTCATGAGCAATTTTGGAAATTTTGTTGGTTTTGGTGGTGGGAGAGAATTGTAAATATGTATAATATGTAAATATCTTTTATAATAAAAGCCCATGAAGATAAATGAGCCTGTCTGCCGAAAAGCTGTGAGCCGTATAAGATGTTAATATAACTGTCGTCACTCTAGAAATTACCATAATGCTTACAGGGATTTGAAAGTTCCTGAGCTTTGGAAGGAAATGCATAAATACTAAACAGAACACACACACACACACACACACACACACACACACACACACACACATCTCTTTTTCTTTCTCTTTCTTATTTTTGTAAAAACAATTTTTATCCTTTTTTTTTTGAGGAGTCTCGCTTTGTTGCCCAGGCTGGAGTGCAGTGGCACAATCTGGGCTCACTGCAACCTCCGCCGCCCGGGTTCAAGCAATTCTCCTGCCTCAGCCTCCTGAGTAGCTGGGATTACAGGCTCCCGCCACCACGCCCGACTAATTTTTTCGTATTTTTAGTAGAGATACGGGGTTTCACCATGTTGGCCAGGCTGCTTTCGAACTCCTGACCTCAGGTGATCCGCCCACCTCGGCCTCCCACAGTGCTGGGATTACAGGCGTGAGCCACTGCGCCCAGCCCTTTCTTTCCTTCTTTCTTTTTCTTTCTTTCTCTTTCTTCCTCTCTCCCCTCCCGCCTGCCTTCCTTCCTTTTTTCCTTCTTTTTTTTCTTTCTTCTTTTTTTTTTTTTTTGTGAGGAAGGTAGCTTTAGTGAAAACAGGGTTTGGAGTTGAACCTATACGGGTTCAAATTCGACTTCCGTCCACCACCGAGACCTGCGCTCCCTGAGGGACTCGCTTTCCCATCCGCGAAACCAGGACGGCGCCGCCTACACCCCGCGGCGTTCGGGGCGGGCTGAATGGGTCGCTGAGTGGGGGCTACACCCACGCCCTTCGCTCCCCGCCCCCGGGCGGAGCGACGGCCACGGCAGTGTCCCCAAGGCACCGAAACCGAGGCGGGGGTCTCGGTCCCTCCGCGCAAGGAGGAAGGCGGACCGTACGTGGCAGGACTCACCGCCCCGCACGTGGCAGGACTCACCGCCCCGCGCCGTGTTCTCCGAGCCATGGCGCCAGCGCTGTGGCGGGCCTGCAACGGACTCATGGCCGCCTTCTTCGCGCTGGCGGCCTTGGTGCAGGTCAGGCGGCCGCGGTGGGAGGGGGACCCGCCCGGCTCCCAGCTCCGCCCCCTGGCCTAGCGGGCCGTGTAACTGACTAGCGGGCAGAGTCGCAGGGGCGCACAGTTAGTGGGGAGGACGGGACTTGGGCTTTCTGCTTGGGGAGCCCCCACTTTCTCCCCCGTCTAAGAGACGCGGATGTGTTCATGGAAGCGAGTCCCATACCAGGGCTCACACCCTGGAAGGGGCTGGTTCCGCGCGTGGAACTTCCCAGGGGACCTCAGAAGAAGCGGCCCTGGCTCCTGCGTTAACGTCCGGCCCGCGGACGACACTGAACATATCTCAGGGCCTAGGAGACGAAGCCGACCAAAACCCTTTATAGCATCATTAAACTTTTTAGTCGGCTTGGGGACCCCCTTCATAATCATTTCCCTCATTTCTTGAGACTGGTGGGGGTGGAGGGCCCTTAAAATACCCGTTCTGGGTTGGCGAGTCCTCTCCAGAGCTCCCGTGAAGGCTTTTCAAAAATGTGTGGCTGCCTGTTAAAAACATCTGTTGTGTCAGCCAGAAACCCCTTCACCCGTCCTCATCTGGACTATATCCTGTTCAGATTTTGTACCCTCGATGCCTATTGCAGTGTCTGGCACTTAACAAATTAATAAAAAATGTGCTTAAATGAATTTAAAAGGAATGGAACAGCACAGGATGTCTGCTAACACCTTGGTATTCTGGCGTTCCAGGTAAATGACCCAGATGCAGAGGTGTGGGTGGTGAGTATGAGCCGCTTCCAGGCTTTCCTCCGTTTGGAAGAATTGGGGAACGGCACAAAACACACGGTTTTATGTCTTTACCCCTCCTCCCTGCTTAATTTTCTGAGAAACTTAAAAATCAAACCCTTGGGAAGCGCTTTTTCCTAAAATATTAATAGGCAGGATCAGAGTTCTAATGTAATGTGTGTGTGAATTTCGAACTTTCTGGAAACAGGTCTTTCTGCAGTATTCCCTTTGGTTAGATGGCCCAACTGAGGACTTTCTTGAGGACCTAGAGTAGGCCTCTCAAGATCAGTTGAACAATTCCTTATGAGTTTCTAGCCAGACACTCAATGCAAACCTTTGACCGGAAAATAACAGGCTTAAGTTCTGAGGTTCTGCTAATTCAGTGACTTATATTTCTAGAAAGTATTAACTCCTGGCTGGGCAAGGTGGCTCACGCCTGCAATCTCAGCACTCTGGGAGGCCAAGGCGGGTGGATCACTTGAGGTCAGGAGTTCTAGATCAGCCTGAGCAACATGGTGAAACCCCGTCTCCACCAAAAAATACAAAAATTAGCCAGGCGTGGTGGCATGCGCCTGTAGTCCCCAGCTACTAGGGAAGCTGAAGCAGGAGACTCGCTGGAACCCAGGAGGCAGAAGTTGCAGTGTGCTGAGATCGTGCCACTGCACTCCAGTCTGGGCGACAGAGTGAGACTCCATCTCAAAAAAAAAAAAGCAAAGAAAAAAAAGAAAAAAAAAAAGCAAAGAAAAGTATTAAATCCTGTAAAACCTACAGTCTTCATATAAGCAAGGCTCTGATTTGAACCATTTGGAGGAGGGGGCCATTGTTCCATACATCTTCTAAATATCTTTTTTTTTTTTTCTTTTTGAGACGGAGTTTTGCTCTTGTTGCCCAGGCTGGAGTGCAATGGCGCAATCTAGGCTCACCGCAACCTCTACCTCCCAGGTTTGAGTGATTCTTCTGCCTCAGTGTCCCAAGTAACTGGGATTACAGGCATGCGCCACCACACCCAGCTAATTTTGTATTTTTAGTAGAGACAGGGTTTCTCCATGTTGGTCAAGCTGGTCTTGAACTCTCGACCTCAGGTGATCCACCTGCCTCAGCCTCCCAAAGTGCTGGGATTACAGACATGAGTCACCGCGCCCGGCTCTAAATATCTTTTATCTTCCAAAATATCTGAATTTTGCCCAGTTTCTCTCAATATAGATACACAAGACTGTACAGTACACCAAGGAGATGACTCTTAAGCTTTAGAATAATATTGACAGAGGAGCAACAAGGATGATGGTATCTGGAATTATAACATGAAATTCTATCCAGGTTTTGTTTTTTTAGTGCAGTAAAACCACATTCTGATATTTACTATCCAGATCAGTATGCCTCTGAATCAAATCAAACTGCCTTTGCCTTGGCACCCTGGTCCGTATCTTGAATTCCAAATATTATTTCCCTGCAGACAAGTCTCAGACATCCAGCTTAATGGTGAATTTCCAAAAGACTGCTGCGTATATTCACCTGCATGTCACACTGCTCCTCAGATATGCCCAAGGACCTACCTAGCATCTTTCCCTCCAAAATCTACTTATCCTGACTCACCCATTTCTGTTATCAGCAGAATCATTCTCTGAGTCATTCTTGTTCAGAATCTCAGTCATCTTTATCATCTCTCTGTTCCTTACCACTGCCTTGGAGAGCCCCTCAAAACACAAAATAAATTTGAGTCGGGCATGGTGGCAGGCATCCGTAGTCCCAGTTACTCAAGAGGCTGAGGCAGGAGGCTCACTTGAGCCCAGGAGTTCGAGGCCAGCCTGTGCAACATAGCGAGACCCCCCCCATCTCCAAAAAATTAATTAAACAATCGAGGTCTAATTGCTTATCTCTATAGTACCTGCACATTTTACCTTTCATTCATGCTCAGACGATATAATAGGAGGAATAGACCCCATGTCCCCATAGACATCCTCCCTCATTCACAGTTCAGCCCTCCACTACCTCCCACATGGACCCCTGGCACCTGCCTTAACATCTTCTGATATAAGCACAGAAATTGATGTGATTAGACAGCTACATTGTTTGGAAAGTCCCCATCCTTCTTATAAACCCACCCTCCCTACTTATTCCCTGCCAACAACACACACAATAGTAAGTTTGGCTAGAGCCTGCTTGTTATGAACAAGGCTTAGGAATAGGGCCTCTTTAGGGCTAGTCTTCTCATTTCCAAACACTTATCAGCAGTTCCAAAATGAAGAGCCTGACCTTATTACTGGGCACAGCTGATTGTGTATGCATTATTAGAAAACTTTCTGTGGTCTCACAGAGATGCAGTACTGGCCTGGATGGTCCATTGGGTCCAAAGCCAGCAGGGCCATCTAGCATCGTGGCTGCTCCTGCCCTACTTTTCAAAGAACATTTTCTTTTATGCAAGTGGGGAAAGGCCATTTGGGCATGAAAGTTGCTTGGGAGCGACTGGAAAGTTAGTGTGTCTTAAGACCAAAACCCTGTGCTCAGTGTTAGAGCTCAAAGATAAATGAGCTTCTGGAATAGCCTATAGTCTAGGAGGAAGGTAGATAAAATTGCAGGCAGACGTGCTAAGTGCCACAAAAGGAGAATCTACCACTTTCTCAATCACCATTGAAACTTAGAGGCAAATCATGGGGCACAGCAGCCACTGATCTCATCTTTCTTTACTTCCTGTATCTCTGAACATCTCATATATTGGGCATACATCTTAACTCATGTAATTTCCTCCCTTTTTGCTAACAGGTGGTGTACACAATCCCTGCAGTACTGACCCTGCTTGTTGGACTTAACCCTGAAGTCACAGGTATAAGCCTTGCATTCTAAATGGAGAGACAGCAAATCAGATTTCCTCATAATAATGAGGGTCTATCTGCCCAACTCCCAGGAGTAAAACGGGGCTCTCTAGGCCTTTCTTCTCATTTCTGATAATAAAAGGGGCTAATTCTAATCATCCTTACCCATCTTCAGGAAAACGTCAGAAGGATCTGCTATAAAACAGCGTCTTCTGTTTTATAGAAGTGAGAGGACAGATTCTTCTTCACTTTCTTTAAAACAGTTTCTCCTAGTGGGGCTCGAATGTTCTCAGGGGCCTTAGAATAAAGACTAATGAGTCCCACCTTAGTGGGGAAAATTCTAGTTCCCTAGATGCCTGGGCTCCTTGTATAGGCAGCTAGAACTCCGTCTGCATCTTTAAGGTAGATCAGTTAGGGCTCCTTTAGATACAAGCTAGAAAATAACTCAAATGTGCTATGAGCTGAGAAGAAAAGGTATTGGTACAGTTTACTGAAAAGGTGAAGGGTGGTGCTGGCTTCAGACTGGTGGACTCGGAACTTTACCTTCTCTCCACCTCTCAGTTCCACCATCTGTCATGCTAACTTCACTCTTGGGCTCCACACAGTGGCCCTGCAGCCCCCCATTCACATCTTCACGATGCCACGTCCAGTGGAATATGGACTGTGTTTCTTCACTCTACCAAAGTCTCAGAATGCAGTTGCTGGCTCTGATTGCTTGTCCGTTTGTGCTGATCCAAATCACTGTGGCTGAGGAGATAACATGTATTGATTGACCTAGCCAAAGTCCAGTTCACTGGGAAACATGGACTGTGAGTGTGGACATGGTGGATCCCCAGAGAAAATAAGGGTAATCATCCTAGGAAGGGGAGCTGCTGAACAACCCAAACAAGAAATGGCCACTGAAGTTTATAATTAGTGCTGTGACCTCTGTGTTGTCCTAAAACAAAAAGGGGCGATGGGGCTGAGGGAGTCTGAATGTCTTTTCTGAAAGCAGACTATGGCAAAACATACAAAAAGATCATTTTTTTTTTCTGTGGGCTGTGATTCCGTGGTTAACAACATCAGAACATCTATTTTTAGGTAATGTTATTTGGAAAAGTATCTCTGCAATACACATACTCTTTTGTACGGTGTGGGCTGTTGGCTTGGCGTCCTACCTCTTGCATCGTACACAACAGAACATCTTACATGAGGAAGAAGGCAGGTGAGCGGTGACGGTTACCCTGTGGAGGGATAGAACTGTGGGATAGAACTAAGGAATCGTGTTTGCAACACCTCATCTGTGCACAATGATAACTGAATTCCCCCAGTGTACCCTGTGGAGGAGGCAAGGTATTATCTTCTTTATAACCTGATGAAACTGAGGAAATAATGGAGCCAGGATTCAAACCCAGCCCCATCTATCAGGCTTCATTATCACTGCTAGTGGCAGTCACTACATATTACATTATATTACTGTCAGGCCGTTGGACTTTGGCCCCCTTGTAACTAGCAACGGTATGATACAGTAATACTCAGTCCGATCTAATATGGTGATAACTCTGTCAGCCTCAAATTCAGTTCTGGTTTAAGCCAGAATCTTATCTACAAGTATGAGCAGCCATCTCAGAGGTCAGTCCTTTTTTTTTTTTTTTTGAAACGGAGTCTTGCTCTGTCACCCAGGCTGGAGTGCAGTGGCGCGATCTCTGCTCACTACAACTTCCGTCTCCCAGGTTCAAGCTATTCTTCTGCCTCAGCCTCCTGAGTAGCTGGGATTACAGGTGCGTGCCACCACGGCCAGCTAATTTTTGTATTTTTAGTAGATACAGAGTTTTATCACGTTGGTCAGCCTGGTCTTGAACTCCTGACCTCGTGATCCGCCTTCCTTGGCCTCTCAAAGTGCTGGGATTACAGGCATGAGCCACCGCACCCAGCCAAAAGATCAGTACTTTAAGTCAACCTGTTAGACTTGCCCTGGTATGTCTTGTGTCATTTCCTTGTCATGACCACTTGCTCCTATTTTATCACCTCTTCCTTTGCTTCCTCCCACCCTTGTCTCTGAGGACTTATTAATAGGTCCTTTTGTTTCTTTTCTACTCCTACTGCCATCTGCCAACAACAAAATTCATAGACCTGTAAGTTAAACATCACTGAAAAGGTGTTTCTTTGTTATAACCCCCAATCTTTAGAACACTGGAGAGCCAAACTATAGGTTGGGTCTGTAGATAAGAATGTAGACCAAATGGGTTGAATCACTTCCAGCATGAAGCCCATGGGTTATAGTGAACTCAGCCTGGGGCTTCTAGTGGTATTATGGCTGAAGTGATTGTTTTTTATTCTATGTAAAAGATATGTGCATATAATACATATTTATAGAAGCATATACCCACCCCCAAATTATTAGTCTGATTTGTACTACAAATCATTCCTCTCCCCTAGGAAGTGACCCAATCTCTTGTAGTATATACACAGATCATGTATTGGTTTGGGCTCATTCTGCCTCACACTGAAGCCTCTTTAAAAATGTAAAAGTATTGACTGATCAAATCTGGGATTTTCTTAGTTGCACTGTTTCTTCTAGCGACCTGAAAAAAGTGATGTATCTGTGGATTTTATAAAATATTCATTTCATTTTGGGGGGATCCACTTATAAATCAGGGCATAGTCAGGGATCTCATACCTGCCTTTTAAGATGAAATGTATTTTCATATGAGGCTTTAAATTCTCTGAAAAAAGTAATTTATGAATCATGGTCAGATTTGAAAATATTCCATCGATGCCATAGATCTTGAGGGAGAGTCAGTCACTCAATCAGAATGCGCTATCAGGTGGTCATGGAGAGAATGTGATGATATGCATCTCACTTGTAGCCACTTCCAAAATCTGAAATGTACACCCTTTTATAGGGAGCTGTCTGGTCTGGTGATTATTACAGCATGGATTATCCTGTGCCACAGTTCCTCAAAGTAAGTATTCAACTCATCACATCTTCACTTTGGGAGGCCGAGGCGGGCAGATCACGAGGTCAGGAGATCAAGACCATCCTGGCCAATATGGTCAAACCCTGTCTCTACTAAAATACAGAAAATTAGCCCTGTGTGGTGGCACGCGCCTGTAGTCCCAGCTACTTGGGAGGCTGAGGCAGGGGAATCGCTTGAACCCGGGAGACAGAGGTTGCAGTGAGCCAAGACTGTGCCACTGCACTCCAGCCTGGGCGACAGAGCAACACTCTCTCAAAAAAAAAAAAAAAAGAAATCACATCTTCGAGGCTGACAAAATCAGGTAGTAAGTGAAAATACTGCCATACAAGTAAAAACAGGAATCTTTTGAAAGAAATCTTCCCTTTTCTTAAGGGAAGTTAATAATAGTTGATTTAAAGTATCCTGGTCACTCTTGTCCACAAAAACCGTAGTTTTCTACAAGGCCCAGTATAGTCATGGGCAGTTGTCAGCCTAAAGGGTGTTCTTCAGGGTGAAGGGAAATGATCTCAGGAGGAAACTTAGAGATTCACGAAAGAATGAAGAGCAAAGACAATATAAGTGCGTGTGTACATATCGATGAATGTTAACTAATTAAACATATACAGGATAGAAATACATGACAACAGTGGCATAAAAGCTGGAAAAGAGTAAATGGAGTTTAAGCATTCTAAGGTCCTTTAATTGTGTGAGAAGAGATAAAAGTATCCATTTATATTAAACTTTGATAAGTCAAGGATTAATGTTGTAATCATTAGGGTAACCACTGGTAGCATTAAAATGAGTACAGAAGGCAGGAGAAGGGGAAGGGGAAACAGAAACAATAGGACAAATAGGAAGCATGTGTTAAGATATAGATTTAAACCCAAATATATCAGAAATTACATTAAATGTAAAGGTAAAGATTTCAGTTAAGAGTCAAAGAATCTCAAAGTATGTAAAAAGATTAAAAACCCAACTCTAGGCCAGGCGAGGTGGCTCACACCTGTAATCTCAGCACTTTGGGAGGCCGAGGCAGGCGGATCAACTGAGGTCAGGAGTTCGAGACCAGCCTGGCCAACATGGCGAAACCCCGTCTCTACTAAAAATACAAAAAAATTAGCCAGGCGTGGTGTTGGTCACCTGTAATCCCAGCTACTTGGGAGGCTGAGGCAAGAGAATCGCTTGAACCCGGGAGTCGGAGGTTGCAGTGAGCTGAGGTAGTGCTGTTGCACTCCAGCCTGCGCGATAGAGCAGGACTGCATCTCAAAAAAAAAAAAAAAGAAAGAAAAACCCAGCTCTACACTGCTTAAAAAGACAACCCTTAACTGTACTGATATAGAAAGATTTAAAGTCAAAAGATGAAAAAAAACTACAAACACCAGCCAAATGAAATACAATATTGCAATTTTAACAACAAAGTAGAATGTAAGACAATTATTGGAGAAAAACAACTTTTTGTGAATATTTTTAATTTTTTGTTTTAACTTTTTATTTTGAATTTTCAAACATATATAAAAGCAGAGAGACTAATATCTTGAATCAGATATACTCATCACCCAGTTTCAACAATTATTGGTATGTCCAATCTTGTTTTATCTGAACCTTATCCACGCCACACTGCCAAACTATTTTTTTTTTCTTTTTTTTCTTTTTTTCTTTTTTTTTTTTTTTGAGACAGAGTCTTGCTCTGTTGCTCAGGCTGGTGTGCAGTGGCGCGATCTTGGCTTACTACAACCTCTGCCTCCCGGGTTCAAGCAATTCTCCTGCGTCAGCCTCCCAAGTAGTTGGGATTACAGGCAGGTGCCACCACATCCAATTTTTGTGTTTTTAGTAGAGACGGGGTTTCACCATGTTGGCCAGGATGGTCTCAAACTCCTGACCTCAAGTGATCTGCCTGCCTCAGCCTCCCAAAGTGCTGGGATTACAGGCGTGAGCCACTGCACCCGGCCAGTTTAAACATATTTAATGTGTTTCAGTCCGTGACAGTTATTGTCTTTATTGATGCTCAGACTGTCCCATTTTTGTCCAGTGGCACTTATTCAGGTCTGCTCCTGAATTCTTTCTGACATGACCCTAGTAAACCTTTGATAGCTTCCTTGCTTTCTGGTATGACAAGATGTTCCAGGCGCATGTTATACCCAGGATCATGTTTTAGGCCACAGACCTGGAATCAACAGTGTTTGCAATGTTCGTGAATTCATATATATGTCATAAATGTATATGCATACATAAATATATACACGTACACATATACATTTAAAGTTAAGATGTCTTATGAGTTTATACTAACTACTCAAATTCAGAGGTACCAGTTCTTATTAACCTTATTGAACATTTTATATCTGGATCTCCTTTTAATCATGGCAAAATTTCTAGTCTCAGTGACCTCAACATAATCACCCATTTGATTTATTCTACAATACAAATGCAATCTCCAAATGATAATATGACTACTGAAAACAGGTTCTCTTGTTTGTTTTTGTTATTAGGATATAACCTACTAAGGGATGTACACTCAAATTACTGGGCATAGTGTTCTGTATGCTAATCCCACCAAGTAAATACACAGTTAGATTCATTTATTTCTAGGGCTAATTGTATTGAAAATATATTGATATTATTTTATAATTATGTAAAATATCTACATGGCTCAAAAGTCAAATCTATAAAATAAGATATATTAAAAGAAATTCGGCTTCTCCAGCCCCCTGACCCTATAGCTTCCCTTTCCCTATGGGGGAAAATTTTTTCAGTTTTATAGTTTATCCTTCCATGATTTTTCAGTGGAGCAAATGTGTGACTTAGTTGTATTCCTGCTTATCTAAGGTAACTGGCAGTGTATTGTACACAGTTGTATTCCACTTGCTTTTCCAGTTACTACATCCTGGAGATCATTCTATAGTATAGAAAAACTTTTCTTACTCTGCTGATGGCTCCATAGCTTAATCAACCAGTTCTCTACTATTTAGATAGTATCCAGGCTTTTGCTATTAAAAATAGTGCTGCAGTTAATAGCCATATGCATATATCTAACATATTTTTACCAGTGTGTCTTTGAGATAAATTCCTGGAAGTGAGACTACTGGGTCAAAGTGTAATTGCATAGTTCATATTTCTATATACTCCCGAATTCCCCTCCAGATGGCTCTTCCATTTTGCATCCCAACCAGCCATGGCTAACAGTGTCTGTTTCCCCATAGCCTTGCCAGCAGAGTATGTTATCAAAATCTTGAATTTTTACTAATCGGATCGTTGAGAAAGGGGTAGTTTTAGCTTGCATTTCTCTTATTAAGAGCAAAAGTGAGCACATTTTCATATGGTTCAGAGCCATTTATATTTCTTTTTCTATAAAAATCTTGGTCTATCTCTGAGCAATGTAGGTTTAACCTGATTCTAAGGTTGCTGGTCTTCTCTATTTTTAGAAGCTCTATCTGTGATGTAAGCTGAAAGTATTTCTTTGCAGTTTGTTATTTTCCTTTAACTTTGCTTATGCAAAGTATACTTTGCCATGAAAAAGTCTTTTGTTGTTGTTTTTTCATGTAATTGTATTTATCAGTCCTTTTCCTTATTGCTTCTGGATTTGGAGTCATAGTTAGGAAAACCTTCTCTCTCTCAGGTTGTAATGTAACTTACCCAAGTTTTCTTCTAATACCTGTATGGTTCCATTTGTACATTTAAATATTTGATCTGTTTAGAATTTATCCTGATGTAGGCCGGATGCGGTGGCTCACACCTATAATCCCAGCACTTTGGGAGGCTGAGGCGGGCAGATCACAAGTCCAGGAGTTCGAGACCAGCCTGGCCAAATGGTGCAATCCTGTCTCTACTAAAAATACAAAAATTAGCCGGGCATGGTGGCGGGTGCCTGTAGTCCCAGCTACTTGGGAGGCTGAGGCAGGAGAAACCGGGAGGTGGAGGTTGCAGTGAGCCGAGATCGCGCCACTGCACTCCAGCCTGGGAGACAGAGAGAGACTCCGTCTCAAATAAATAAATGAATAAATAAATAAATAGATAGATAGAATTTATCCTGGTGTAATGTTATGAAGAACATGTCCAATTTCATATTTTTCTATGTGGCTATCTGGTTATCTCAACACCACTTATTAGAAAGTAGATTCAAGATGCCAAAGGAAGACACTTTTTAATGACAAAAGATTCAATTCATCAAGAAGATATAACTGCTAAATTTGTATGGACCTAATAACATAGCTTCCAAATAGAACAAAAATTGACAGAGCTAAGAAGAAAAATGGAAAAAGCCACAATCATCTTGGGAGACTAACACACCTCTCTCAGTTACTAACAAACAAACACAAAAAAGAAAAATAACAATATAAAAGATTTTAACCACACAATAAACCAAGAATGGCAGGATACACATTCTTTTCAAGTGCACATTGAGTATTTTACAAAAAGACTATATGTTTGGCCATGAAATAAGTACTAACAAATTTTAAAGGACTGAAATCCTACAGAGTATGTTATTTGACCACGGTGCAGTTAAGCTAGAAATCATTAACAAAAAGATAATTAGGCAATTCCTGTGTATTTGGAAGTTAGGAAATATACTTTCAAATAACACTTGGGTCAAAGAAGAAATCACAATGGAAATTAGAAAATATTTTGAACTGAATAAGGTGAATACTACATATCAAAATGTGTGAGATGCAGCTAAAAATCATGCTTAGAGGGAAACATATAGACATAAGTACATTTTTTTTTTAAGCTTCCAGGAAGTTAGGAATTTTTCATTTCAAGAAGTTAGGAAAAGAACAGCAAGTTAAACCCCAAAGAAACAAGAAAATAAACATAAAAGCAGAAGTCAGTGAAATAAAAAATCAACATAAAAATAGAGAATTAACAAGGTCAAATATTGATTCTCTAAAATGATTTATAACATTGATAAGCCCTGACAAGACAAAAAGGAAAAAAGAGCACAAGGAAGTACAAATAACAAATATCAGGAATAAAAAAGAGAATACTACTATAATAACTATTGTAAAAATCATAAGTGGATATGATGAAGAACTTTACACCAATAAATTTGAAAATACAAATTAGACAAATTTCTTGAAAAAATACAGTTTACCAACATTTACATAAGAATAAATACTCAGAACAGTCCCATAACTATTAAAGAAATTGAGTTCATAGGGCCGGGCGCCGTGGCTCACACCTGTAATCCCAGCAGTTTGGGAGGCTGAGGTGGGCGGATCACCTGAGGTCAGGAGTTCAAGACCACCCTGGCTAACATGGTGAAACCCCATCTCTACTAAAAATACAAAAAATTAGCTGGGCATGGTGGCGGGCACCTGTAATCCTGGCTACTCGGGAGGCTGAGGCAGGAGAATCGCTTGAACCCTGGAGGCAGAGGTTGCGATGAGCCGACATCACACTGTACTCCAGCCTGGGTGACAAGAATGAAAGAAACTCCGTCTCAAAGAAAAAAAAAAATCGAGTTCATAATTTAAATTTTTCCTAAAGGAAAACTCTAGACCTAGATGGCATAGCTGGAGATGTCTACATAATATTTAAGGAAAAAAATAATACCAACTTTCAATAAATACTTCCAGAGAACAGAAAAAGAAGAAACACTTTCCAACTAATTTTATGAGGACAGGTAACCAAAACTTGACAAGAACATGACAAAAAAATGAAATTACATGGCAGTCTCACTCATGACCACAGATGGAAAACTCCTAAACAACACATTAGCAAATCAAATCCTGCAATATATAACCCAACTACCAAGTTGGGTTTATTCTAGGAATGCAAAGTTAGTTTCACATTACAAAAACCAACCAATGTTTTCCACCACATTAATGGAATGAAATAAGAGAATAAACTATCTTCTAGAGCCATACAGAAATAGCATTTCATAAAATTCAGCATCCATTTATGTTAAAAGCTCTTAGAAAATGGGCGTAGGAGGGAACTTAACCTGATAGAAGATATCTACACTGAAGCCTGAGACTTAATGGTGAACAGTTGAAAACTTTCCCTCTGAGATCAGGAATGAGATGAGGCTGGCCATATTGCCACTTGTACTCAATGCCATGCTAGCTATTGTCCCAGCTATTGTCCCAGCCGGTAAAATAAGGCAAGAGAAAGAAATAAAATGCCCAATGATTGGACAAGAAGAAATAAAATTTTCATGATTTGTGGGTGATATGAATACATGTGTAGAAAATAAAAAAGAATCTAAAAAATTACTAGAATAAGTGAATTTTGTATGATCACTGGATCAGGATACAAGAGTTAACTGCTTTTCTGTCAGGAAGTAACAGAAAGTGATAAAACAAAAAGTTAACATTTATAAAAACATTCAAAAAATCCACTCCGTAGGAATAAATCTAGCAGAGATATGCAAAATCTCTACACATAAAACTATAACACATTATGGGAGAAATTGAAGAAGACCTAAATAATTGGAGGGCTAAACATATAATGACAAAAGGATGAATAAATAAAATGATAGAACAATAGAATTTAGAAACGGATCTATACATATGTAGGGTTTTGACTTATGGCAAAGATGGTACTTCAGGGTAGCTGAGAAGGCAGTCTTTTCAATAAATAGGCTAGGATAAATTCAATGTCCATTTGGAAAAAAGTGAAACAACCCCTACTTTCCAACTTTCATAAAAATCAATTCCAAGGGGATCACAGGTCTATTATAAAAAAGCAAAACAGAGTGTTGGGTGCAGACCGCGGTGGTGCAGCTTTCTTTTAGAAGTTCAGTCTCAGTTGTCTTTTGCAAGCCATGAAGAGTGACTTTTATCTGCGCTACTACGTGGGGCACAAGGGCAAGTTCAGCCACGAGTTTCTGGAGTTTGAGTTCTGACCGGACGGGAAATTAAGATAAGCCAACACAGCAATTACAAGAATGATGTCATGATCAGAAAAGAGGCTTATGTACATAAAAGTATGATGGAGGAACTGAAGAGTATAATTGATGACAGTGAAATTACCAAAGAGGATGATGCGTTATGGCCTCCTCCCAACCGAGAGGGCCGGCAGGAGCTTGAAATCATTATTGGAGATGAACACATTTCTTTTACAACATCAAAAATTGGTTCCCTTATTGATGTCAGTCAATCCAAGGATCCAGAAGGCTTATGAGTATTTTATTATCCTGTCCAGGACCCTGAAGTGTTTGGTCTTCAGTCTTACTGGATTACACTTCAAGATTAAACCAATCTAAACTGAATATTGATGTGGACATGGGGGGGTGGGAGTAGTTTTTAATTACCATTATCAAGAACATTTTGTGTCAGGGCAGTATATTTTTATAAACTATAAATGATTATCTTTAATAAATATGTGATAAAATTTAAAAAAAGCAAAACAAAACTTCTAGAGAATACCTTCAAAACCTTGGTGAGGGAAATTCTTAAACAGCACAAAAATCATTAGGAAAAGATCAACTTTAACATTGTCAAATTAATCAATGACTTCTCTTCCTCAAAAGACATCAAATGGGACAAGGTATTTGTAACACATATAAACAAGGATTTATATTTAGCATATATATAAATAATTTCTATAAATCAATGTTATATTTCAATAAAACAACTGAGATGAGAACATACTAAAATGTAATTATGTGTTTTATCAATTCAGTCTTTATACTTGTTTCCAAAGCAATCCATGATTTTTATTTATAATAATTTTTGTGTCTTTATAGGAATCCAGTTGGTGGAAGAATTCAATTGGCTATTGCCATTGTAATCACACTTTTCCCATTTATCTCATGGGTCTACATATATATTAACAAGGAAATGCGGTCCTCTTGGCCAACTCACTGCAAGACAGTAATTTAAATAAATTCAAGAACTTCGTTTTTAAAATGAATATTTTCAATCAATTTTTTATAAACATTAGGGGAACAAGCCAGGAGTTTATTTCAGGTAATTTGGGCTAATAGTTTTAAAACTCCAAATAACTTTTTAAGGGTGCATATAATTCGATGTAAGATTGGATGGGACAAGTAAGAGATGGTCTGATATTTTCCAGACGACTTTCTGCAGGGTCTTGTGTCATAATGTAGTGGAAAAGGCTAGAGAATAGAAGTTTAAAAATACGAGTTCTAACTTAACTTTGTAACTATGTAATTTGGGCAAATATATAAACCTCCTGGTGGATATTTATCTATAAAATAGGATTAATGCCAGATCTACTTACTTACACAGTAACAAGGATCAATCTAGATAATGTAAGAACACTCTGAAGATATAAAGTGTTTGGAAAGATTACGGAGGGCTGCCCATGATTAAAATAGAGGGGAGCAGGGATTGGGTAATATACTGAAATAGACATTCAAGAGAGGGCTATACCCCGATCTTTTTTTTTTTTTAAGACAGTCCCACTCTATTGCCCAGGCTGGAGTGCAGTGGCATGATCATGGCTCACTGCAGTCCTGACCTCCCGGGGCTCAGGTGATCCTCCTACCTCAGCCTCCCAAGAAGCTACGACTACAAGTGTGCACCACCATGCCCGGCTAAATTTTTTTAAATTTTTTGTAGAGGCAGGGTTTCACCGTGTTGTCCAGGCTGGTCTTGAATTCCTGAGTTCAAGCGATCTGTCCACCTTGGCCTCCCAAAGTGCTGGGATTACAGGTGTGAGCCACCATGCCCAGTCCAGCCCTAAACTAATCTTATCCAGAGCTGGCATAGTGCAGTGAACTAAAGGAGAACTCTAGATGAATCAAATGAGCAGGCATGTCTTGGAAAGAAAGGGAAGCTGGATAGAATAAAGGAATTAGGGACCAAACAAGAAGGCAATAGGGACTATAACTACATTCTAAATGAGAAATAAGGTCAAAATCTATATACATTCTTTATAAATGGATGTCCAAAGTAATCCTAGGGAGGAGAGCTTTTTTTTTTTTCATTTCCATTTTCATTTAAAAATGGATACTTGATTATTGGAAAACTTACAATTGTGTTTGGAACAACTTGGGTATTTGAATCTAATTTTCCAATTGCAAATTTTATGATACCTAAATACAGATAAAGTATTTCCAATGAAAATTTAGTGTCCAAATGAGTGGGGCTATAAATGTAAAATACACTGGATTTTAAAGACATGGTAGAAAAAGAACAGAAAATATTTTTTGTATTGATTACATGTTGAAACAATATTTTGGCTATAATGGGTTAAATATACTATTAAAGTTGATTTTATCTGTTTCTGTTTACTTTTATTTACGTGGCTTACATTGCATTTCTGTTGGACAGTCCTGTATTTAAGTATCTAGATGGCAACATTTTACATACACAAGCATCAAACTCTGTGGTCAGATACTGTTTTTTCTGATCTAGGAAAGAGATCTGGGAAATACTTCACTCAAAAAGAACGAGTAGTGCCTTCCACAGGTTAGGAGAGTGTAAATGAGTCTGGTAGTTTGTCTATTTTTATTGTCTTTATTACTATAGTAAATATTCTATAAATATTTGTTAAAGGAGGTATGTGTATTTTGTTTTTGTTATTGGCACAGTGGCCACTGAATGGTGAGAAATTATCTAAGATTAAGACTTGAATGAGTAAAAAGGGGGAAAACAAATCTAGTTGATATTAAAACAGTCAAAGTGAAACTTAAGGGTCAGTAAAATACACATAAAGGATTTGAGTTTTCCAGTGTATATTTTGCTTACATATTTGTGGCTTTTATAACTCCTTTAGTATTAATAAACTACTGAAGTCACATGCAAAAAAAAAACAGACTCATTTGCAAATTCCCTGTGGGCTCTATCCATTGACCAAGTCATGTTTACTTCTGTGCTTAAAGACAGTAATGTTCAAGATGTGCTTTCATCATGTATGCCTCTCCCATATCAGACTACGAAATTATGTGACTATTCATAGTCTCTTTCGCATCTTCAGTTAAGCATATAAAAGGCACTTTTGGTGGAATAGTCTTTTGAAGAGTATTAATGAAATTGAATTTAAGTATTATTATTAAATTTAATATTTCTATTATTAAAATCTTTTTTTTTTTTTTTTGAGATGGAGTCTTGCTCTGTCCCCCAGGCTGGAGTGCAATGGCGCGATCTCAGTTCACTACAATCTCCACCTCCTGGGTTCAAGTGATTCTCCTGCCTTAGCCTCCCAAGTAGCTGGAACTACAGGCACCTGCCACCATGCCCAGGTAATTTTTGTATTTTTAGTAGAGACGGGGTTTCACCATGTTGGCCAGGCTGGTCTGGAACTCCTGACCTAAGGTGATCCACCCACCTCGGCCTCCCAAAGTGCTGGGATTATAGGCATGAGCCACCATACCCAGCCTCTATTATTAAAATCTTTCACACCTTCACATTTTTCTTCCATTTTTCTCTATTTCACACAAATCTAATCACGTATTCCCCAGCTCAGAAAGCCCTAAGGGCTCCACACTATCTGGCAAGTTAAATTCTAACTCTTGGCTCATCATTCAAGGCTCTCCATAATATGGCCCCAGCCTGTCCTTTTCTGCCATATTTCTTGCCACATCCCCCTTCTCCCAGCCCGGCACCTTTCTGGTGAATCGTCACAGCATGACTTGCCATGTCTGACTTTGGCATATCCTTCAATGCCTCTGCTTTTGCTATTTTACTTGATATACTCTTCCCCACTTATTCAAGCCATTTTTCTTCATTTTGCATGTCATCCCCAATCCCTTCGAACAAAATTAAATTCATCCTCCATGTTCCCTCAGTCCTTTCTTTGTGTGACAGCAAATTTCACACACTTGAATCATGGATGTCTGTCTAATTCATGGTAAGGTCTATGAGTGCAAGAGTACATTATAGTCACCTCTGTGGTCAGCTGAACAGTGGCCCTCAGAGAGATACATGTCCTAATCCCTGGATATATGTTACCTTATATCACAAAATAAATTTTGCAGATGTGATTAACCCACCCTGAGATGGGGGTTACCTGGATTATCTGGTTGGGCCCTGAATGTTACCACAAGTGTCCTTGCAAGACGAAGGCTGAAGTAGATCTGACTACAGACAGCAGAGAATATGATACGACAGTAAAGAAAGATTTGAAGATGCTACACTGCTGGCTTTGAAGACAGAAGAAGGGGCCATGAGCCACAGAATGCAAGAAGTACAGCTCTGGAGGCTGGAAAAGGATTCGTCCTAGACCCTCCTCAGGGAGCATGGCCATGCCAACACCTTGGTTTCAGCCAAGTGGAAATGATTTCAGACTTCTGACCTCCAGAACTGCAAGAGAACAAGTATATGTTGGTTTAAGTCGCCAGGTTTGTGGGAATTTGTTACAGCAGCCATAGAAAGCTAACACTCCTTTATATCCCTATAGTGCCCATGTATTCAACAGGCATGCTTATTTCTTATAGTTGTTTAGGCCCTGAATCAAACTTTCTCCACACCTGAATAGTCCCCATTTGCCATCTAATGTTTCTACACATAAGCCTTAGCATATATGAAAACGGTGTTAAACATGTCCCATTAGTGTATAAAGGGAGTCAGTGTAAATTTATTTACCTGCTGTAGCTTCACACAGCAATGGCTGGTGGCCCAAACAGACCAGGCCAGGTGGCACATGGCTGCACTGCCACTTGGTCCTATGAATCCCAAGAGGACTACATGACTTTTCTGGAGGCCCTTCTTACAGGGATGGGAGTGCCACACGCTTACCCGTGAAATAACTATTGGTAATTTTGTTTACAAAATGGGAATACAAGCCTATAAAAATCCAAGTATAGGTGTTCTGAGCAGAAATTGTCCAAAGCTCATTTACACAGCAGGGTGAATAGAAAAAGCTTACCTGAGCTTATATGCTGAACTTGAAGTTACATAGTTAACACATGTGAATACAATCTCCTTGTAAAAAGTTAAAAAAAATCAGGTAGGGCCAAATAAGATCCCTCATGAGGACTATATGCCCCTTATGAGGACTATACACCCCTGCCTCAGTTTCCTCCCTGGTTTGTTTCTAACTTACAATGGATACATGATCCAAAATAACATTTCTGAGTATTTTATCAACCATCACACACTGAAACTATAAATACATTTTGTTATGCAAGCTGAATACTAAACAATGAGACAGAGGATTTTTATTTTTTTGTTTAGGAGGGACAAACACAAAGCTCATTTTCTATCAAGTTAAAATAAATTAGACTAACAATGGAAGGCTCTTTCTTTCTTGTAATTCATAATTCTATCTGGAACTCTGCCTCTCCCTTTCAACATCATTTTGTCAGGATAGACATGAACTGTGCCAAAGGCTTGGCTGTCTGGAGCTGTTTCAATAACTCCTTCTAGGTTGACGTGGTATACACCAAAAGGATCCTCAGAGTAGCCACCATCATGGGTGTGACCAGCAAAGAAACACACCACACACTCATGAGACCAAATGACTGCCAGGGCATCTCTGTAGTTCCAGGCCAGGCACACATTGTCAGAGGCGTCCGGGTAAATGGGAAGATGGCCTGTTAGTTAAAGAAAAGAAGAGTTATGAGCCAATTAAGAAATATCTCTTCTATAAAAATAAATGGCTAAAAGCTAGTACTCAGAAAAAGAAAAAAAAATTGCTATCTCATTATGCAAATGAACTGAGACCAGAGAGAATTCACACACAAGAAAACTAGGCCATCTACAGCCACATCTCTGGAGCATAGAAGAAGGGTAAGACAGTTCACATGAGGCGCGACAGGCTGCTGTAGAGGCAAAACCCTGAATCTCTGAGGCCTACGTCATCTCAAGTTGCCGAAACACCGAGGAAGATCAAGGGTGTCCTATGCAGGGCAGTCTGCAAAGGCAGCCTGAAACTGGGCAGATGCTGTGCTGGAATCCAATCCAATTGATTTCCTTAAATATGAATGTTATATACACAGAATGATGTAACACTAAATAAAAGAACAGGCTGGGTGTGGTGGCTCATGCCTGTAATCCCAACACTTTGGGAGGCCAAGGCAGCCGGATCACCTGAGGTCAGGAGTTCAAGACCAGCCTGGACAACATGGTGAAACCCTGTCTCTACTAAAAATACAAAAATTAGCCAGGCGTGGTGGTATGTGCCTGTAGTTCCAGCTACTCGGGAGGCTGAGGCAGAAGAACTGCTTGAACCCGGGAGGTGGAGGTTGCAGTGAGCCAAGATCACACCACCACACTTCAGCCTGGGTGACAAAGCGAGACTCCATCTCAAAAAATAAAAATGTAAATATAAATAAATAAACAAACAGTTTAGGCATGGGCCATGGATTATGTGTCATTGACATAAACAATGCCTCCGAACTGATTTATGGGACTTTAAACACTCATGAGATCAAGGTAGCCATACCCACTTTTCAGATGAAAAACTGAGTTAAAACAGGGAAGATTTATACTGGCATCCACAGGAGATACGTGGAAGTAGAGTTAGGAGAAGTTCTAATTTCTGACAGCAACACATCTATGATCAAGCCACGGTTCTCACTCTGAAGTACAGCTCACGTTGCATCTTCCCATTAAATCACTTTTTGTCTATTACCGTTCATTTTTATTCCAAAATTTAAACATGCTTCTATTTAATATCTGTTTGTAATACAATTTTTTTTTTAAAGTGCATACATGTGCTGATTACCACCTTAGGGCTAAGCGTCCAAAGGCGTGTGCTGCTTTCCAGCACCTCGAAGCCATATTGACTCATCTATCAAGTCCCTGCAGCATTTGACGCCATTAGTTGTTCCCTTCTCCCTGAAACACTTGGATTCCAGGACACCACTGTTTCTCCCAGGGGTGTCTTTCTAGTTTTTCCCCAACTTCAATGGCCACTAATTTCCAGTCTCCTATGCTGGTTCCCCCTCATTTCCCCAACGTCTTACCAGGAGTGCCTGAATGCTTGGTCCTCGGACTTCTCTATTTATACTGAATGCACTGGTGATCTCTTAGTGATTTACATGCCTTAAATGTCATCTACACTCTTTCAACTTCCACGTTTATTATCTAGCCCAAATCTCTATTCTGAATTTCAGACTTCTAATGTCCAAACTGCCCACTCAACATCTCCACTGATGTCTAGTAGGCATCTGAAACTTCTATTTCCAAACCTGAAGCCCTACCCTCTCCACTCGCACTTCTCATCCTGCAGTGTCCCCTATCTCAGCTAATGGCAATTCTATCCTTCCAACTGCACGGCCAAAATTCAAAAGGTATAGGATGACCTTGGAGTAGCCATAATGAAAGTTAAAAAGCAAAAGAAAATTTTTTTATTACACTTTAACTTTTAAACTTTACTAAAGAAAACTTCAATCATTCCGTTTTTAAAAGTTTGCTTTTCCAGTTTCTAGGCTTACATCAAATGGTAGAAGAAATGTAAGAGACTGCTAAATTAGATAGGTGTACCGCCATGAGTAAAAAGAAAAGGGAAGAACACAGGATCACATGGGAAAGGGGATGGAGACATAAAGCATGGATTCTAGTCTCAGTGCTGTCAGCAGCTCCATGATTCTGCTATGCAATTCAGTCTCTTTGGGCTTCAGTTTCCTTATCTTTAAAATTCAAAGGTTTGGCTATATGACTCTAGCTTCCTTTCAGCTCCAGAACAGGCTGAGAGTGGAAAACTTAAAAGCAGACACAAGTCAAGAAGTATCCTAGTTTCTGAGACCACTTATTATAGAGCCAAAAGGTGTCACATCATTCCAACAACCCAAGGGCACTCATCTCTTCCAACCCTTGAATGACACCTGGTATTCCAGTGTTAGCAGAAACACTTCTGCTCCTTCTACGTGTTTTTACCACATCAGTGGAAGATTAGTAAGTAAAAACTACCTTTACAGATAGAAATATAGTTTTATATAATCAACTATCTGAATAGCCTATCATTTTCAAAGGTTTTTTTTTTTTTTTTTTTTTGAGACGGAGTTTCACTCTTGTTGCCCAGGCTGGAGTGCAGTGGGGTGATCTTGGCTCACTGCAACCTCTGCCTTCTGGTTTCAGGTGATTCTCCTGCCTCAGCCTCCCGAGTAGCTGGGATTACAGGCGCCTGCCACCACGCCCGGCTAATTTTTGTATTTTTAGTAGAGACGGGGTTTCACCATGTTGGCTAGGCTGGTCTCGAACTCCTGACCTCATGATCTGCCCACCTCAGCCTTCCAAAGTGCTGGGATTACGGGCGTGAGTCACCGTGCTTGGCCAGGGGTTTCATATTCATAATTTCATTAGATACACTACTGAGAACACTGCAGTTTGTAGGTTTGCTATTTGCCCAGGACTACACAGTTCATATAAACCAGAGCCAGAATGGCATCCTGTCCTTCCAGCTCTCAGTCTAGCCTTCTCACCTGTTATCCCACATCAATTCTAACTCTAAACCAAGGGTTCTAATCTCAACCTCCAAACCAAGTCTCCCAGCCATGCTGCAAACCCAAATTCAGTTCCGTGTATGTTTTCACGTGCCCATGCGCACATACACGCTTGTATGTTTTAAGCACCCCTGGATTCCTACAATCTCTGATGGCAGTGTACCCATCAAAAATGATTCTATATGAAAATACAAATCTAACTTCCTTGTGACTGTGTGGGAGGCACAGCTTGCACAGTGCTCAGTGCCAGCCGAGCCTGTAGCACACATGCCCTGTGATACCAGTTTTGCTGCATCTGGGCAGCAGTGGCCTCTGTTTGGTGGCCACTTTGCTGATAGGCAGGTCTCTAAGGCTGAGATTTGGTATGGTCCCCTAACTGAATTTCTCACTTAGAAATTACTTCATTAGAGTTTATGAAACTCAGGGCTTCCCTACCTTGAGGAAAGGATCCAAGCCCTGGTAATGACTTCCACTAACAAATTGTTTAGTGTGGTGTCAAGCTCCTTTATAAGCTGATTGCAACCTGGATTCCACACTTTAGAATTCAGCTTGGTGTTTTTTGTTTGTGCTTGGTTTTATTTATTTATGTATTTATTTATTTATTTTTGAGATAGGGTCTTGCTTTGTCACCCAGGCTGGAGTGCAGTGGCACAACCTTGGCTCACTGCAACCTCCACCTCCCGGTTCACGCAACTCTCCTGCCTCAGCCTCCCAAGTGGCTGGAACTACAGGCACGCACCACCATGCCCTGCTAATTTCTTTTTTGTATTTTTAGTAGAGAGAGGGTTTCACCATGTTGGCCAGGCTGAATTCAGCTTGTTCTTAATTTTGAGTCAAGTTTCTTGGTAATTTTTATGTCTTAGTTATCATGGTGAAGTCATCTCACCTTTGGGTTCTTGCTTCTCTTATGGAGAGAAGGTTCAAAAAACAAAAAACAAAAGAAACTTAGAAAAAGCCAAACTTCTGGAGTTTTTATTTTTGTATTAATGTCAATATTCTGCTTGTGATATTATACTAAAGTTTTACAAAATGTTAATGTTGGGGGAAACAGCAAAGCATATAAGTGATTGCTCTGAATTATTTCTTACAAATGCACGTGAATCTACAATGATTTCAATAATAATATTAATGTTTAAAAAAGAAATTACTTCATAAACTGATCTCATTTGAGGAAATTCGACTTTGAACCTAAAAGGCCAACTCACAGGCTCCAATATATGGCAAGATGTTTCTGTTATTTACCTTTTCCTGGTTCATCCTTAAATGTTAATCTTATATTCAGGTGGTTTCTCAATAGAAATTTTTAAACTAAGTGTCCATTTTATAGAAAGAGGATATCGAAACACAAATATTGTTAGTATGCTTTAACGCCTAACTTTTCCCAATCTCTAAAATGTTAGTGTAATCAGATAAATTAAATACTTACTCACAATCACCACCTTTTCTTGGTTTGTGTCAGAGAATGTTAGCACTTCATTCAACCAGTTTAGCTGTTCTTGGCTGAATCCTCCATTAAACTGGACAAACTGGGGCTCAGAAAGTCCTGAAATGAATTCAGTAAGTTAGCCCCATCAAGTCATTTTTCCCCTCATTTGGACATTCAAATTTAGTTAATGTAGGGACACTTGTTTTTTCTTTAGGAATATCTGATTAGCAACAATCAACTTAAAATAGGAAATCACAAGCATTTAGAGAAATATATATATATATATCACACTGCATCTCACTCTTGACAGTCCCCTGCTTACTTCGCTGGCTTTCCATTATATTAAAAATGCAAACTTCTTAAGTCCACTCAGCCGCTACATATTCTTGGCCCCGTTTACACTCTAAAATCACCTTGTACCCCACTGGCCCTTTCCTGTGCTCTTCAACAATGCTCAAGTCTTACTCCATTTAGTGCCTTTGCAGGTTTTTCCCTCAGTCTGCTAACTCCCTATGCCCATTCATTCCAAGGGAGACTCCTCCTTGTCATTTAGGTCTCAGCTTAAATATCTTTCTCCTTGGAGAGACCTTCCCTAATCACCTAATCTAAAATAGCAACCCTAATCCTTTTCCGTAACACTCTATAACATCATACTCTATTTCCTTGGCAGCACTTACGACCGTGGAAATAATCTTGTTTCTGTTTCATTTATCATCTGTCTTGCCCACGTACTGTGTTTGTTCCCTCCATTCCATCCATCAAAAAAGTAATATTGTTAGTATTGTTTACAGCTCGGAATATCTACCCCTAGAAAAAGTGCCTGGCCTAAAATAGGCATTTAAAATATCTGTTAAATCAATCTTGAATCAACTGTAACCAATCCATGTGAGAAGGCTTGTGAGAAATCCTGACCCTGAACAAGTGACAATATACTTTTACCTTAATTGTCCATCTTCCTGCTGAATAAAAGGTAGCTGAAGAATTTAAAGACAATCTATTAGATTCTCAGCTCAAAGGAATAATTCACCTTGAGGACTATTCAGTTCCGTATTTGGATTGTGCTCCCTCAATATCTTCATACACTGCTCGTATTTTGGAGAAGACTGATCCACGCCCAAGACACTCAAGTCATATGCATCAAGTAAAATGAACCGGAATTTAGGGAATGGTACAAAATGATAAGCATAATAATCTTCTGAAGGCATGGTCTCAGGATGATGTACAATCTGATCTTCTAGAAACTTAGTGTTAAGTTTAGAGTGTGTTAAATACTCTCTACTGAAGTTATAGAATTCATGGTTTCCCCATGTATGATGAACTGGAACTTTAAGCCTCTTGAACATGTCCATAACAAGTTCTAGGGACTTTTTGGATGCATTATACTGTGCATTATATCCATCGATGATATCTCCAAGCTGAAGGACACAACAGGGCATGCTGCTTTCATTATTCCAGTCTTCAATGGCACCCTGTAAGTGAAGAAGACTATGTCTGTAGTATCGCCGCCTGGTTCCTTGGAAATTAAAGCCATCTTCTAAGTCTGCAAATTGAACATCTGCGATGACGCCAAAGGAGAAAAGACGCTCTGAACTGTCACTTAGGGCTTCAGGATTGGGTTTATCATCCATAACCTCCAAACAGGTTTCTAAATAAAGTAAAAAGACGATAACTAAATTATAAACGTTTTAATTTCCCAATTTCACTTAAGAAAATGATAAAGGGAATGTTAAAGGTTAATTCATTAGGCAGCTTGGTACAGGAAAAAGTACGTGGGCTTTAGAGCCCAACAGTCTTAGGTCTAAACTACTAACCCTCTAAAACACTTGCTTTCTCTTCTGTAAAACAGATGATAAACTCTTTCAGAAGAGTAACAATTTACAAAAGGTACTATCCTATCAATAAATAGACATTCTAATGCTAATAAAGCCCAATTTAAATCTGGAATAATTGCTAATTTTTAAGAAATACTCATTTTAAACACACATGCACACGCACACACATATACCCCTGTCCCACAAACACCAAATAATTCTATCAAAACTTCAAGTTTTTTTTTTTTTTTTTTTTTGGAAAGCTGTGTATTACATTCATTCACTGTATGTACTTTGTAAAAGGTTCCTGTTATGGGTTATTTTGTGTCAGGCTGAATCTTTTCTCTTCCTTGGTGGGTAGGTCACCCAGTTTCTCATATTTTATATCTGAATAGGTGAGTGGGAGGCAATGCAGATATGAAAGGAGAGGAATAATTTTAAACAACAACAAAAATCCAGCACAAAAACTAACTGACATGACTATTATCATTTCTGTGAGCAGTGGTTCCCGGTTCTTCAATAGCTGGGATTAAAATTTGCTTTGTTTGTGGTTTTTGTTTTTGTTTTTGACAGGGTCTCACTATGTTGCCCAGGCTGGTCGTGGACTCCTGGGCTCAAGCAATCCTTCCACCTCAGCCTCCCAAGTAGCTGGGATTACAGGTAAGAGACACCACACCCAGCCCTGGATCCTAATTTGAACCAGGATTTTTTTTTCTTTTTAACTTGAATATTAAGCTACCCCACAATCAAAACCAAAAATATGAAATCTTTTCTTCTTACAAATGATCTCTGCCCTGCCTCAGTGGCCAAAAAGAGCAAGATTTAAACTTGAAAAAACTATTATTCGATTGTTTAAACTGTAAATTATAATCTCTTAAAAGAGCCCAGAACGCTAATGATTCAAACAAAACTCAAAGGCCAAGATTCTAAATTGTCAACGATTTTTGTCATAAAGACTATAGTAATAAACTGTTGCTGTGGTGTCTGAATTATTTAAAACCTAAAAATTCATTTGACTTTCTAAAATTACTTTCAGACTCCCCATCTCTAGTCATTTGACAAATATATCTACAGAGTTCCTACTTAATCCTCTGTGGACATGTAAAATCCCAACTCTAAGAGTACTCCTATAAGAGATGAAAAGAACAACTCCACAATTGGAATAAGGATAAGACTTCAATTTGACTTATTTGAGAATTAGGGGCCTCTTTTCATCCTAAAACTGTTGTTACTAATGATACACTCTTTAATCCACCTAATTATGAGTTTCAGCTACTTTCTTCCTTAATCTGGTTGGGTATAACTAGCCCTAAAATAGGTAACAGCACCAGAAAGAGATGGAAATCCTTAAACATGGTGTTCTCATACTTTTTTTTAATTTGCCCATTTCTTCCTGCAGCCCCTACCTGAAAATCTCATTAGATATCAAGTCAGTATGTATGAGGGTGTATAAATGAGAGGTAATCTGATTTGAAAAGTGGGTAACTTCAATACAATTACAGGACAAAAATCCATCTAAGTCAGTTTAAAAATCTTTAGCCTTATGTTAGGTTTCAAATATTTGCGATTCCAAGTTCAGATTAATAGAAGAATCAAATCAGAAGATAACTTAGCAAGTATATAACATGAATATTATCACCAAGGTTGTATTAACCTTGGTGATATTAACCATTAAGGTTATATTAACCATTAAGAGTTATATTAACTCTTAAGAGAAAACTATTTCTGGGGGTGATCTTATCCCCTGCCAAGTGAGCTTGTTTTTATCTTTAAACTCAGAGCCTTTATGGTGATAATATGTATTGTGGATCTCCTAGAGGGGATTTAGTCCCAATGAATTGGATCTTCTCTCCAGTGGACAGCTGTTATTTTTGCCTACCCAGCATTCATTTCCTGTTCTTAAGGTGACAGCACCCAATTTTTCTCTAGGCATTTATCCAATTCCCCACTCTCAGTTCTTGTGGTCTGACCTCCAACCCCATTCACTGGCTGGGGAAGTGAAATAGCAGACACATGGCCCAGACCTGGCCCGTAAAAACCCAGTTTCCTCTGGCCAGTTAGGGGTAGGCATGTAACTCAACCTGGGTCACAATAAGCATCAGCCCTGGGACAGGCACTGCCACTACTACAAACGCTGATAAACTAAGGCTTCAATTTTTGGAGAAAATGAACTGACAAGAAATCCAACATAGAAAGAAACAATTCTGAATGATGGAAAGATGGAGATTTCTGAAAACATTAGTTGAATACCTAAATTCACCTGTCCCTGCTAGAACACTGGTCATTTAGTTACACATGTCAGCACATAAATTCTCCTGGGCTTAAAGCTAAATCAAATTGATTTTCTGTCATTTGATACCAAAATCCTCTCAAATACACCTTCCACTGGAACAAGTTCAGTTTAGAAAAACTCAAGGCTATCCTAAGAACTGGCAATTTTTAAGGAAAGTTAATGTGGAGAGAAGCACCAAGGGGCACACACTTCAAAACAGCGATGTGTTCTGGGGTAAAAAGAGAGATCCAAAGTGTTGAATATACATGGCTTTTAAAAATAAGGTTAGTATCTCCTTATCCAAAATGCTTGGGACCAGAAGTGTTTTAGATTTCGGACTTTTTCAGATTTTGGAATATACTTAACAGTTGAGCATTCCTGATCTGAAAATCCAAAATCCAAAATGCTCCAATTAACATTTCCTTTGAGCTTCATGTTGGTGCTCAAATTTCTGATTTGGGGCCATTTCAGATTTCAGAAACATATTCAGGGAAAGATAGGATCAGAAGTGAGTACGGCAGTGCAAAAAGAACCAGGTGGTCAGGGAATTGACTCTCCTGGCGAGTTTAGCCTTTCCTTTCTTGGTTCAGGGACATGTAGGGGGAGCTCAGAAAGATTGGTCCTGGTGAACAGAGAGATCAAAAACTCAAAGCCACCTCCAGTGAGGAAACTTAGAATTAATAAGCATTCTAATGTCAGGAAATGTTTTCAAAATAGCTCCCTCCCTCCATCAAATACAGACACACAAAAAAATCAGTGAGTACAGGATAATTGTGGAAGCTAGAAATGGGTGCATGAAGTTTATTCTAACTACTTTTATGTGTGTTTAAAAATGTACATATAGGCCAGGCGTGGTGGCTCACGCCTGTAATCCCAGCACTTTGGGAGGCCAAGGTGGGCGGATCACGAGGTCAGGAGATCGAGACCATCCTGGCTAACATGGTGAAACCCCATCTCTACTAAAAATACAAAAATTAGCCGGGTGTGGTGGCAGGCGCCTGTAGTCCCAGCTACTCAGGAGGCTGAGGCAGGAGAATGGTGTGAACCTGGGAGGCGGAGCTTGCAGTGAGCCGAGATCGCGCCACTGCACTCCAGCCTGGGCAACAGAGCGAGACTCCATCTCAAAAAAAAAAAAGTATACATAAAGTTTTTTTAAAAAAGAAAATTCAAAACTTTAGAGAAAATCAAATCTGGAAAAATTAGAAGACCTAAGGAAATATTTCGCTTTTGAATAGAAAGGAGAATGGCAAGTTTTTAGTGAACTTTGTTTTCAAAGTTTGCCTGCACCATTTATTACATGCTACGCTGTCTAAGTTTTAAAGAGGTATTATGAAGTGCTGAACCCTTTGAAATGAAAAACCCAGAACTGAATTATAGTCCTCGTGTTTCCTGAAGCAAAATAACCCTCAATAGGTTATCGTGAGCTTCAACTGAGTTATGATCACAGTAAACTATTACTCTGTAAATCTCTAAACCATAAAGTACTATACGCATGTTAAGAAAATAATTTTAAAATTATATATCTGAAAATCTGTCTAATGAGCCTCATAACTGAAACTACTGCAACATTTTAATAGAAGAGAATAATGTAGAAAAGTTTACAAGAGTTGCTCTCAAAATTCCTATCATGTCATAGTACAGGATAAGCAGCCAGTATTTTGAGAAAACTACCTTAGGCATGAGAGATTTTTTTTTTTTTTTTTTTCCTGAGACAGGGTCTGGCTCTACTGCGCAAGCTGGAGTGCAGTGGTGCGATCATGGCTCACTGTAGCCTCGACTTCCTGGGCTCAAGTGATCCTCCTAATTCAGCCTCCCTGGTAGCTAAGACTACAGGCATGTACCACCACACCTGACTTTTTTTGGCTTTTTTTTTTTTTTCTTTTGTAGAGATAGGGTTTTGCCATGTTGCCCAGGCTGGTCTCAAGCTCCTGAGCTCAAGTGATCCACCTGCCTCAGGCCTCCCATACCCAAGGATGCTTAATTACTGAAAAGTTACTACAAGATCATACTAATAGGGTTTTGCCATGTTGCCCAGGCTGGTCTCAAGCTCCTGAGCTCAAGTGATCCACCTGCCTCAGGCCTCCCATACCCAAGGATGCTTAATTACTGAAAAGTTGCTATAAGATCATACTAATAAAACTTTTCCAATACTTAAGATTGGCAGAAGGCTGAAGTTCCTTGTGGAAAGCCTTCAAGCATCAATAATGAACTTGTAAAAGAAGTAGCTCTACCCTGAAAAGAGTATGATTTCTTCACTCTATTGTCAAAGGTGAAGGGGGCAGCAGGGAAAGTCTAGAGATTAATAAAGAGAGACTTTGTTAGGAGAAACTATTGTAACAGAGGCTCCTAGCCTAAGGGTGCAGCATATGTTTTCTACGCAGATACCATACCAAAAGGAAAGTTAAGTTGGGGCAGGAAATGTTTGTGGTTAGGAGTTAGGCACAAGGGGCAGGGGCCTGGAACAAAAATGAAGTAAACACATTAGGGTGCTGGGAAGTTCACAAAAGTTAGGGCCTAGCTGTCCCCAGTCAAACCAGCCTAAAGTTATGTCAAGAACAAAATCTGATCACTATTGATAGAACCAATATCAGATGATACTAATCCATGCCCTGCTTCTCTCAAGAAAAATATCTAAATTGGGGCCGGGTGTGGTGGCGCAAGCCTGTAATCCTAGCACTTTGGGAGGCCGAGGCGGGCAGATCACGATGTCAGGAAATCGAGACCGTCCTAGCTAACATGGTGAAACACTGTCTCTACTAAAAATATATATATTTTTTAAATTAGACAGGCCTGGTGGCACGCACCTCTAGTCCCAGCTACACGGGAGGATGAGGCAAGAGAATCGCTTGAACCCAGGAGGCGGAGGTTGCAGTGAGCTGAGATCGCACCACTGCACACTCCAGCTTGGGCGACAGAGGGAGACTTTGTCTCAAAAAAAAAAAAAAAAAAAAAAGAAAGAAAAGAAAAATATCTAACTTGGAAAACAAAACATAAACCTCATTTGGTGACTTTGGTGGTTTCACAGCAGTAATAAAAGTGATAAGGTCTATAAGGGATAACACTGTAGGCGCCTTCTGGCACTAAAGTTTCATGGGTCCTTGCCATCAGGCTCAGGTGTTACTAGCAATTCATCCAAAATGCAGTTATAAAACACCTACTTTGAGCCAGGAACTATATTTTATATTTATTTTATTTATTTTTTAGAGGCAGAGTCTTGCTTTGTTGCCCAGACTGGAAGGCAGTGGCCCGATCACAGCTCACTGCAGCTTCAAACTCCTAGGCTCCAGTGACCCACTCACCTCAGCCTCCCAAAGTGATGGGATTACAGGCGTGAGCCACCACATCTGGCCCCAAGAACTGTTTTCAATGATAGCATTTTATTTAATATTATAAAATTAATATGAAGAAGTTGCTACTAAAAGAAGCACTTTAGCAAATAAAATTTAATAGATCAGGTAGAAACACTGACTTCAATCTTAATTTGGGTGGCTGATCAGGTAACCTACAATTGGGCAATCAGAGATGAACAATAATTTTGTATGCTATCTGCCTGACTACACAAGGTACTTTTATGTCTTTTTGTCAATTACAAGAAAAAATTATCCCTGGGCAAACAAATACACAAAGATAAAAGAGCAAAAATCCTACCCACAGGCAACTATAAGATAGAAAAAAATAGTTTGATTAACGACTTGAAGTGCTGAACAAACATTTAAGAACTTTGGCAGAAATTTCTGAAAATTCTAGTCCAACCGCGAATCAAGAAACACAGGTAACACTATGTTCCGTTACTGGGTTAGAGAACAGAACAGTTGGCTAGTTTGGCTAACTCATAGAAAACAAGCAAACCAACCATGCTCTGGTCCAACAATCATCAGAGCACGAGTTTCTCCTACTCAGAGTCGGTCCCATGGGGGAAAAAAAAGCCACACAGGAGCGGGATCTGTAGTTAAGGAAGATAATTAGAGGACGATTTTCCTTTTTTTATTTCTCTGTATTTTGTAAAGCAACCACCGAGGTAGGGGCGGGGAGGGAGTGGTTAATATTGCGGATATTAAGATATAAATAAAGGCAGATGAAATGAAGTTAGACTTTCACAAAGAACGAAAAACCTACGAATGCTCTTGGCCTCATTAACAAGGAACATAAGCAGTTCCAGATGAGGAACCCATAACAAACTTCAAATAACGAAACTGTAGGGAGCAAGGGAGTCCGTGAGAGTATTTTAAGAAACTGGGACCCAGGAAGACTAAGTTAACGGATGGGATATCATGCTGTCTATATTTCTTTACACACTGCTATGCTTTATTAATTAGGTTACATTATAATGTTAAATAACTAGAAGCGCTGGGCATTTAAAGTTCTTCCAGACCGCCCTAACCACTCAAATTATCCTAATTAGCAATTTTTTTTAAGTTAAAGACTATTTCAATCGCAATGGGTCGGTTTCTATTTCAAAGATGTAAAGGAGTCAACATTCTGGCACTTCCTCTTGGCCGGCAGGACGAGGTTGACAAAGTCGGCCAGACAAGGTAGGGTTATGGGGGCTGCCCAGTCCCGTGGGTCTCTAGGCAGTGTGTTCTCTCTTCCGAGGTGGGGGTGTCCCCGGCGCGAGGAGCTAGCTGTGGTCACCGAAGCCCACGACCAAAGCGGGGGCCCCCAGCGCTTGGGGCCGCCTTGCCTCGGCCCAGCCGCGCACCTGGACCCCTAAGGCAGCCCCCTTCCCGGCGCTCCGCTGTCCCGCGGCCCCGCAGCACCGCCCAGCCCGCGCCAGACCCGCCTCCAGCCGCAGGGAACTACCTACCGTGCGCCGGCCCCTGGGCTGAAAGGCCTCTGACTACGGGCTATGTAACAGCGCCACCAACGAGCGGGACGGACAGAGCGACTCCTTCCGACTTCCGGAGGAAGCGGAACGCTACCGGAAATCGCGGGGAGGGTCAAAGGAGACCCGGTCTCCGAGGCTCATGGCGATGCTGGTCCTAGTACCCGGACGAGTTATGCGGCCTCTGGGTGGCCAACTTTGGCGCTTCTTGCCTCGCGGACTCGAGTTTTGGGGCCCAGCCGAGGGGACTGCGAGAGTCTTGCTGAGGCAGTTCTGCGCGCGGCAAGCGGAGGCGTGGCGTGCCTCGGGGCGCCCTGGCTATTGCCTGGGAACCCGGCCCCTCAGCACTGCGAGGCCGCCACCCCCGTGGTCGCAGAAGGGCCCCGGAGACTCCACGCGCCCCTCGAAGCCCGGGGTGAGTGCACACCTGGAACCCTTCTGGTGCTCGTCGCGGCTGTCGGCCAGCCCAGCGGCCACATCCCACTTGGTCGTAACCTCAGACACTACTCCGCCTCCCCTAAAGTTGTCCTTAGCTTGCGCGCCTTACCTGGGTCATGGAATTTCATCCTACATTTCCCGTGCCTTGCGGGTAGTCCCAGTTCTCCACAGAGAACTTGAGACTTTACACCCTCTCCACGTGGCTGGATGCCCCGACTTGGATTTTATGTTAGCGTTTCCATCAAAAAAAAAAAAAAAATTAAGTTTCAGGTTTTCTTAAGGGTATGAACCTAAAGTTTACCGTGATTGAGAAGTCAGAGGACTTTTATAATTTGTCACTTGAGCCCCATCCAGAGTTCCATGTATACGTTGAAATTGAAACAAAAAGTGGAACTTAGTTATGTGTGGATCTGCCTTTTTCTTGGGGTTCTCTCGAGTTCTAATTCTGACCCAGAAATAACTTGAGAGCCACTACCCTGTGGTAAGAGAAGTGGGTTTTTGGAGCTACGGGAAGGTTAATGAGTTAGGCCTAGTCTAGTTGGCCAACATCATCTTCATTTGGGGAGTTGAATAAGGGTACAAAGAAATAATGGGTGTAATTTGCAAGAAGCTCCACTTTTAGATTCCTCTTCTACTTTGGCATTGTTACTTCTGGAAGCCAGAGTTAAGTTAACCTCCCAAATTTCGTTTGGTCTATTTATCTCAGTATCAGCATAAGCAGATAATTGTTTTTTGTGTGTGTGTTTTTGGATTTTGGTTTTTGTTTTGAGACGGAGTTTTGCTCTTTTGCCCAGGCTGGAGTGCAGTGGCCCTATCTCGGCCCACTGCAACGTCCGCCTCCCGGGTTCAAGCGATTCTCCTGCCTCAGCCTCCCGTGTAGCTGGGTTTAGAGGGGTCCGCTACCACGCCCGGCTAATTTTTGTATTTTCAGTGGAGATGGGGTTTCACCATGTTGGCCATGCTGGTCTCAAACTCCCGACCTCAGGTGATCCACCCGCCTCCGCCTCCCAAAGTGCTGGGATTACAGGCGTGACCCACCGCGCCCGGCCATAATTGGTTTTAAAGTCATTACTGGAGCTAGGGTCACACATAGTAACAATCGTGGTACTTGAGCTTTTTTTTTTTTTTTTTTTTTTTTTTATTTACATGAAGAGAACTGACTTAGGGAACTTTCCCCTGGAGATGAATGCCTTTGTAGTTCAGATCCCAGACCTAACTGCATCCACAGAAACTTTGAGCATTTTCTCATCCCTGAAACATTTTGCACATTTAACATCATGGCCTGTGTGTATGTATATTAAAAACTACTTTAATAAGTTTGTATGGTTAAATGTTTGCATCTTACTAGAATTTTTATGTTTGAAATCCCTGCCCCAGTAGCCTGTTTCCTGGAAGTCTTTAGCAATCACATTTGCTATTGGAGGAGCTTTACTGGCTGGAATGAAGCACGTCAAGAAAGAAAAGGCAGAGAGTAAGTAGATTATCATCTGCTCAGCCCTGTATAAAGGTCTTCCTGGCTATGGACTAGCACCTTTTTTGTTGTTTTTTAGCTTTTTGTTTTGAAACAACTTTAGATTTACCAAAAAATTGCAAAGATAGCATAGGTTCTACATACCTTTCACCCAGCTTCCCCTAATATTAACATCTTGTATAACCATGACACATTTTTCATGACTAAGAAATTTTAAATGGCACACAACTATTAAATTACAGATTGTATTTGGATTTCACTTGTTTTTCTATCAATGTCTTTTATTTGTTCCAGGATCCAAGCTAGGATACCACTGCATAACAATGTTAAAAGATATACTGTGGATAGATTTGACTGGGCAAGATGAAATCTGGAGGGTACGAAGATGAGTAAGATGTAGTCGAGCCTTTGAGGTGCACACGGAAGGGAAACAGACACAGAAGTAAAGTATTTTACTAGATGCGATTCTGCCAGGCCAGAAGGAAGCTTACCATGTTGTGAGAGCAAAAGCAAGTCCCAGCCTTGAGATTTGAGAAGGCTTCCTAGAGATCAGGCAAGGAGCATAGTGCGAGTAGATACTGCATGCCCTCTGTGGATGAGGGGGAGGTGAAAAGAGCCTGGTCAGGAAATGCCAGGAACTGCTCTGGATTAGCATCTTGAAATATTTAGAAATTATTTATAAGAACTTTGCATTTTAGTGAATATCCTAGGACTTTTAAGATTTGGTTTAGAGGTTTTAGGTAAATCTTTAAAGTATTGCTTAAATCTTTCCATTCTTTGGAGTCTCTTTTGATAACATTATATACAAAGGTTAATGATTAAATCTGGGAATTCATAGGCTTTAGGAACTTAGCAGTGTTAAGTTTTGTACTGACATACATATATATGAGACTCTTTGGCATAATAAGTAGTATTGGGTAAGATTTTCATAGTCTAATAAGCAGTAAGTTTCTTTAGTTTCACAAAGAAACAAAAGCTAGGAAAGTTGTGGCGGGAAAATTCTAGAATATGGAAGCTTTTTTTGACTTTAGTTTGGAATTTCAAGTGCAATTCTAACGTTTGTTTTATTTAAAAAATGTATTATTAAATAATCTGAAAAGTCTTCCTAAATAATTTGAGAGTATTTATTTGCTGACATGTTGCGTCATTAGCTCCAAACACTTTTTGGTGTATTTCCTACAAACAAGGACCTTTTCTAGCATAACCACAATACAACCATCAAAATTAGAAAATTGACGCTGATAATTTTGCTGCTGTTCAGTGTTCAGATAATCTTCAGGGTATTGTTTATTTGTTTGTTTTTTGAGACAGAGTTTCACTCCTGTTGCCCAGGCTGGATTACAGTTCAGTCTTCCAAGTTTTGCCACTTGATGTCTTTCAGAGCAAAAGGATCTGTTTCAGAACCATACCACCTTGTATCTAGTTGTTTACCTTAGCCTCCTTCATCTGTAACAGTTTCCCAGGCTTTAACTGACTCCCACAACCTTGACAGCTTTGACAGTTACAGGAGAGTTATTTTGTAGAATGCCCCTTAGCTTGGATTTGTCTGATGTTTCCTCATTCAGGTCATTCGGGTTGTGTACCTTTGGCAGGAATATCACAAAAGTGATGCTGTATTCTCCGTGCATCTGGTCAGATACCACATAGTACCAGTTGTCCCATTACTGATAATGTCCAGTTTGATCACTTGATTAATGTGTGTCTAACAGGTTTTCTACTGAAAAGTTACTCATGTAATTAATGGTGTTTCATGATTTGTATTGACATACGTATACTTACATATTCTGTTCCCCATCCCACTATCAATGTATTCATTTATTTATATCTGTGGACTTGTTTCCTATATATTCATTCAGTTTAAATCCATATTCTCTTTATTTTGATGCCCAAGTTGTCCCAGATTGATCAGCGGGAGCCCCCTTGGAGCAGGCTTCTGTGTCTTTGACACGTCTCCAATATTCTCTAAGTTCTGCTTTCCTTCTGCCACAACAAGAGGTTCCAGCCTCATTTTACACTTTCTTTGCCGCAACCCTGGTATCAGCCATTTCTCCAAAAAGCTGTTTCCTTTTAGTGAAGAATGATATTTAGAAGTCAGGTTCTGGGCTCATGGTTCTTGGAGTGTGTCTGCTCCCTGGTCCTCTCAGTGGACATGGTGAGAAAATAGATATATTTATGTACATCTATATTTATTTATATCTATATAGATAGAAGTTCACACTAGTACCTGCAGTGTATTTGCAGTACTGCAGGGTTCAGCCTAGCTCTCTTTCTCTCCATAGTTGACTCTTGTTTCCTATTGTAACTCTCTTCTCTTTAATATACTCATTTATTTCATCAATTTCCTGTGTGTAACTAAGGTCCCGTCACCACTATCACCTCCCCACCCAGCTGCCCTCCTTAGCACCCTCAGGATCAGACTCCCTATGCCAGGCCACCCACCGCACCCCACTTGTTTAGACATTCAGCTCTAGGCCACTGCAGCCCCTCCCTGCCCCCAGCATGGACACAGCTAATGGCTTAGGACTGAATTGTTCCTGAAAAAGAAGAAATATTTTTTCCTTTTTTACAACATACCATAGCATTTCATTTGATTTTGTTTTAATGTTTTGTGCTTATTTTTCTGAAAAGATTTTTTTAGCTTCTTGAAAACTGAAACTGTTTTTTCCACATTTTGTGCCCCCACCATGAGTAGCATAGTACGGGCCATATGTCAGGTATTTGAGTACCTCTGGTTAAATTGACTTTTTTTTTGGTGTCGATATGTTTTTGTCTCCTTAAGAGTTAGAGAAGGAACGGCAGCGACACATCGGCAAGCCTTTACTTGGGGGACCGTTTTCCCTCACAACTCATACTGGGGAGCGTAAAACTGACAAGGACTACTTGGGTCAGTGGTTATTGATTTATTTTGGCTTCACTCATTGCCCTGATGTCTGTCCAGAAGAACTAGAAAAGATGATTCAAGTCGTGGATGAAATAGGTAAGAAAGCCATCACTAACTAAACAAAGTATATGTTTACTTCATGTTACCAGGTTTTTCACACCCTTGTATTATTGTTAGGTGGGGTTTTGCAATTATGTGATTTGTAAGAACATAAAATCTCAGCATTTGGCTTGTTTGTTGCTTTGAATCTTGTGACCTTATTCTCCACTGAAAGAAGCTTGTTTTGATGTTAAATGTTAGATCACTTAAAAATGTCAGTGTGGTCTCCCTTAACTCTACTTTTGTGTCCCTTCCTTTGCATCACTGATGCTGCCATTGCCTCTTCCCCACTGATTGTGACAATTAAATTAGGAAATCTTTGCAATGGTCTGCAGTCTGTGGCATTTTACTAGTACTAGTAAGAAGGAAGGGTGCCTCCTCCATACAGTGAATTATTTCAGGATATTCAGCTCTTATTAACAATTTACCTTCTTGCCCTTGAGATATGGTGGGAGTGAAAAAAACTACAGATACTGGAGTGGATTCAGAGATAAGATAGCCACATGACATTATCCAGGGGAAGAACATTTATGTGCTGGTGCAGGCATTTGATAGGATATGTAACCTTGTATTATCCACCACAGATAATACTACTGTATATGGGTCTCCTCCTCCTAAAGGCCATCCCTTCTCCATCCCCTTCCCCGTCCTCTTCCTCTTCACCTGAATGTTAAGATGTCCATCTGCTTTCAAAACACCTAGCTGTCCAGCACGTCCTATACTCTCCTGTTATTGCTGGTTTTCTTTGTCTTTTCCCTTAGGGTGTGAATACGGACTAATTGGAACTCTCTTTCAGATAGCATTACAACTCTGCCAGATCTAACTCCACTTTTCATCAGCATTGACCCAGAGAGGGACACAAAAGAAGCCATCGCAAATTATGTGAAAGGTATTTTTTTAAATAATACTTTACATTTATTTAGCCTTAAAGTTTTTGGAATATCAGTTCATTTGAACCTTACAGTGCCTTGTGAAATAGGACAAATGGTATTATCACCAGTTTTATGGGTGAATAAAAAGGTGAAGCTAGGAATTGTTATGGATAGTTAGTGCGTAAGTAAGAAATGGGTTTCTCAATTCCTGATGCAGTGCTCTTTATATTTTGTCACAGAGAAAGGATTTGAACTTGGCCTTCATGTATCAACTAAGTTAATCGAGCCTTGAATTGAGAGTAAGGACACATTGCTTCTAACTCCAGCGCTGTAACTCATTCTCTGCATTGTAAAATCAGAACAAACATATATTCTGGAAGTATGTTCATTGGTAGATTAAAGATGAATAATTAAATACAAACATATTTTGAACTCAGTGCATGTTTTATAAATTTAAAACATTTACTGTAACAGGCCGGGCATGGTGGGCCTGTAATCCCAGCACTTTGGGAGACCAAAGTGGGTGGATCACCTGAGGTCAGGAGTTTGAGACCAGCCTGGCCAACATGGTGAAGCCCCGTCTCTACTAAAAATACAAAAATTAGCCAGGCACGGTGGTGCACACCTATAATCCCAGATATTCGGGAGGCTGAGGCAGGAGAATTCGCGTGAACCTGGCAGGCGGAGGTAGCAGTGAGCTGACATCACGCCACTGATCTTCAGCCTGGGCAACAGAGCTAGACTCTGTCTTAAAGATAAATAAAACATTTACTATGACAAAGTAACTGTTGTTTAATTGACACATAACAGTTGTACATATTTATGGGGTACAGAGTCCCTATCCTCCCCAACCCTTTCCAGCCTCTAGTATCCACAATTCTTCTCTCTACTTCTGTGAGATCAACTTTTTTAGTTTCCACGTATGAATATGCAGTATTTATCTTTCTGTGCCTGACTTTTTTCATTTAACATATTAATAGTATCCTCCAGGCTCATCTCCATTGCCACAAATGACAGGATTTCATTCTTTAATATGGCTGGGTAGTATTCCATGACGTATGTATACTGCATTTTCTTTATCCATTCACCTGTTGATGAGTACTGTTGGATTTCATATCTTGGCTATTGTGATTAGTGCTGTGGTAAACATAGGAATGCAGACGCCTCTTCAATATACTGTTTTCATCTCCTTTGGATATATACCCAGTAGTGAGATTCCTGGATTGTATTGCAGTTCTGTTTTTACTTTTCTGAGGAACCTCCATACTGCTATCCACAATGGTTATACTAATTTACATTTCCATCAATGGTGTGTGTGAGGTATCTTTGTTCTGAATCATTGTCAGCATTTGTTATTTTTTTGTATTTTTGGTGATAGTCATTCAAATTGGGATGAGATACCTAATTGTGGTTTTGATTTGCATTTCCCTTGTGATTGGTGATGTTGAGCATTTTTTCATATACTTGTTGGCCATCTGTATGCCTTCTATTGAGAAATGTCTATTTAGATCATTTGCCCTTTTTAAAAATGTTATTTGTCTTTTTGGTGTTGAGATGATTGAGTACATTCTGGATATTAACTCCCTAGTCTGATGAATAGTTTGCACATATTTTCTCCCATTCTCCAGGTTGTCTCTTCATTCTGTTTATTGTTTCCTGTGCTGTGCAGAAGCTTTTTATTTTGATATAACCCCATTTGCCTATTTTTGCTTTTGTTGCCTGTGCTCTTGAGGCCTTATCTATCAAATTTTTTCCCAGACTAATGTCCTGAAGTGTTTCCCCTATGTTTTCTTCTACTAATTTTATAGTTGCAGATCTTCCATTTGTCTTTCCTACATTTATATTTGATTTTTGTATATGATAAAAATAGGGATCTAGTTTCATTCTACTATGTAGGGATATCCCGTTTTCCTAGTGCCGTTTCTTGAGGAGACTGTCCTTTCCCCAGCGTATGTTTTTGGTGTCTTTGTCAGAAATCAGTTGGCTTAATTTCTCGGTCCTCTATTCTGTTCCATTGGTCTGTGTGTCTGTTTTTATGCCAGTACCATGCTGTTGTGGTTACTATGGCTTTGTACTATGTTTTGAAGTCAGGTAGTGTGATCCTACCAGCTTTGTTCTTTTTGCTTAAGATTGCCTTGGCTATTAGGGGTCTGTTGTGGTTTCATAGGAATTTTAGGATTGTTTTTTCTGCTTCTAAGGAAGGTATTACTTTCAATGGAGGAATTTCAATCAAACACCTCTGTATGCTAGTTAAAAGCTGTTAGGCACTTTTAAAGACTACAGATTATAGTAGAATTGAGAGTGGATGCTTAGGTTCTAATTCATCTGTGAAAATGGGCAAGTTTAATTTCTCTAGACTCAAGTTTCTTCAGCATATGTGCTTAAAAATCAGGAATCTGAATTTTAATTATGGTAACATTGATTTAATAACTGGTTAAAAGCACTAAAGAATAGTTTTATATTTATATTATATGACACATTCAAATACATATCTTCTAAACTTTGAGGTTATTTAAAAATATGTTTTATGAAGGATCTGCTGTATGTGTAATTACTTTTAACACATTTATTAAGGTATAATTGACATGCAATAAAGTATAGATATTTGAAGTATATAATTTGTTGCCTTTTGTAACTGAAACCATCCCACAGTCAAGAAAATGAACATACCTGTTACCCTGAAAAGTTTTCCTTTGCCTTTGTTAGTCCCTCCCTTTTTCCCTCCCCAATCTCCCATCTGCAGAACTGCTTTCTTTTTTTTTTTTTTTTTTTTGAGACGGAGTCTCGCTCTGTCGCCCAGGCTGGAGTGCAGTGGCGGGATCTCGGCTCACTGCAAGCTCCGCCTCCCGGGTTCACGCCATTCTCCTGCCTCAGCCTCCCAAGTAGCTGGGACTACAGGCGCCCGCTACCACGCCCGGCTAATTTTTTGTATTTTTAGTAGAGACGGGGTTTCACCGTTTTAGCCGGGATGGTCTCGATCTCCTGACCTCGTGATCCGCCCGCCTCGGCCTCCCAAAGTGCTGGGATTACAGGCGTGAGCCACCGCGCCCGGCCTGCAGAACTGCTTTCTATTGATAAAGATTAGTCTGCACTTTCTGTGTATCATAGTTCATTCCTTTTTGTTGCTGACTAATAGTTCACCTATAGACATTTGAGTTTTTTGCATTTATTGGCTGTTACAGATAAAGCTGCTAAGAACATTTATGTACATGTTTTTGTGTGGACACATGCTTTCATTTCTTTTGAGTAAATAGGATAGGAATGGTTAGATCATATAGTAGGTGTATTTTAACTTTCTAAGACACTGAGAACCTGTTTTCCAAAATGGTATATTTCTGCATTCCTGCCAGCAGTATATGAGAGTCCCAGCTCCTCCACAGCATCACCACTCTTGGTGTGGCCAGTCTTTTTAATTTTAGCCACTCTAGTAGGTGCTTAGTGATATCTCATTGTGGTTTTGGCATACATTTTCTTAATGACTGTTAATGTTAAGCTTCTTTTTATGCTCTTATTTGCCATCTGTATTACCTTTAGTGAAGTGTCTGTTCATATCTTTTGACCGCTTTTTATGGAGTTCTTTGTTTTCACATTATGTGTATATGTATTATTTATATTCTGGATACAAGTTAGGTGTGTGATTTGCAAATATTTTCTGCCAGTCTGTGGCTCGTCATTTCAGTCTCTTAACAGTGCCTTTCAAACAGCAGTTTTCAGTTTTAATGAAGTCCAAATTTATCAGTTTGTCCTTTTAATATAGTGCTTTTGGTTTGGTATATAAGAAATCTTTGACTAACCTAAGGTTACGAAGGTTTATGTTTTCTTCTTGAAGTTTAGAGTTTTTACTACGTATACTTAAGCATAATTTATATCTACAGTTTATAGGTTTGTCAGAAATTTGGGCAATAGTATAGTCATTTCATGAAGCAATGAAAAACAGATATTTATGAACTCATTGAGTTATGCACAGTCTTCAATTTAAACATGTGTTATATTGGCAAAAATCACATATTACTAACCAAACCATAATATCCCCAAATGAGTAGACATTCGAGTTGCTGTACCTAACCAAAACACCAGACTTTATGGTAATTTTCAACAGAACATAGCGATTGATGATGTAGTCATTACTAGTTGCATTTTGGGGAGATTTTTAAAACTTTAATTTGGTATTTAGAAAAAAATGCAGTTTCAGCAATTTAGTTTTAAAAAAAGTTTGAATGTGCAGCTAACTCAGGCTTCATTCACCTTTCTCTTTATTTACTCAGAGTGGAAAAAGAAAGCCTGTCTTTTCAGAATCTGAACAATGTCTCATTTAGAATGATGAGTTCATCCAAGGAACAAAAATTGGCTTCTGTACCTTTAGAAAAAGGAACTGCTGTTAAATGTTGGGCTGTCATTTCAGTAGTTTGATGAATCCAGTTGTTTTAAGTGACCTCTACCGGTTCACTTACATGAATTCCAAAAACTTAATAGCAGATACACGCTGTGAATGATTTGCCCTTATTTCAGAACTTTGTTAAGATTGCGTTTTGGGGATGACTAGTATTAATTAACCAGTTTTTTTAAATCAGAAGTAAAGAGTAGAACTTGATACCAGTGTTGAAATTATTTGCAGGAAAATAAGACACAGGTATTTTGACCTGATATGAACTTAGTTATGAAGCAAATTTTTTTCCCCATATGATGCCATGAAAAGTTATAGTATTTAATTTATGATAATAATTTTAAGCTTTAGTATATCTGAGAACTACATGTGACTACTCCTTAAAAATCAATTTAAAATGTGATACAAGTGATTAGAAAATATTCCCTCCAGGTCTTTACTAGATAGTCATAAAAAGATTTGACTTATATATTACAAAGGAGAATTTTCATTTGTTCTTTGTGAATTTCTTCTCCTTTTCCTTTGAATCGTGAAGAAATGTTTGGAGACTCACAGGAAGAAAGTGGCAGTAGAGCTGCTTTACAACTGATACATTTTTTGAAGTAGAGATGGTTGTTTTACTGGCTTCTCATTTTTCACTGTCTCTCTCATTTTTTATTTAGAATTTTCTCCCAAACTGGTTGGCTTGACTGGCACGAGAGAAGAGGTCGATCAAGTGGCCAGAGCATACAGAGTGTATTACAGCCCTGGCCCCAAGGACGAAGATGAAGACTACATAGTGAGTAAATGTTCCAGTTTTAACCCATGGACCAGCTCCCAGATCCCAAATAGTCATAAGGCTTTCAATGACTGACTAGCTTCTGAGAAGAGAGAATACCTAAGATTATTGCAAAGTCCTTAGGAATTTTTTTTTTTTTTTTTTTGAGATGGAGTCTCATTCTGTCATCCAGGCTGGAGTGCAGTGGCACAATCTTCGCTCACTGCAACCTCCGCCTCCCAGATTCAAGCAATTCTCCTATGTCAGCCTCCCGAGTAGCTGGGATTACAGGTGCGCGCCACCACACCTGGCTACTTTTTTATATTTTTTGGTAGAGACGGGGTTTCACCACGTTGGCCAGGCTGGTCTCGAACTCCTGACCTTACCCGCCTCAGCCTCCCAAAGTACTGGGATTACAGACGTGAGCCACCGCATCCAGCCTCCTTAGGAATTTTGAATATTTGAAAGGATAATAGAAGCATGTTTTTTACTTTTTATTTATTTTCGAGACGGAGTCTCACTCCGTCAGCCAGGCTGGAGTGCAGTGGTGCGATCTTGGCTCACTTCGACCTCCGCCTCCCGGATTCAAGCAATTCTCCTCCCTCAGCCTCTCGCGTAGCTGGGATTACAGGCATGTGCTCCCACGCCTGGCTAGTTTTTGTATTTTTAGTAGAGAAGGAGTTTTGCCATGTTGGCCAGGCGAGGCCAGGGGGTCTCGAATTCCTGACCTCAGGTGGTCTGCCCTGCCCACCTCAGCCTCCCAAAGTGCTGGGATTACAGGCCTGAGCCACTGCGCCCAGCCAGAAGCAGTTTTTTAAAAGATGATTGTTTGATTTATATTCACTGTTCTCATAATTCAATTGCCTGTTTTTCTCTTATAGTGGCATATAGGATTTTAGGGCAGTTTAAAACCAGATACTTGGGTGCCATGTTGGAAATAAAGAGAAGCCATCATTTGGAACAACACTTATTTTAAAAAGATTGTGTTGGTTCTCACTGTGTCCCCAGTAGAGGTATCAGAAATTGCTCTTCTGGAGAACCAGTTTTAGGCCATGGAGAACTGCATTTTTAGGTTGAATGAGAATTCTGAAAAGCAAAAGATGAAAGGTTTATTTGCCCATTGACTATATGCCTTGGACAGTTAGGCGTTAAATATGTGCTTTTTAATGATAAGGAACAGAAATTCTGTTGTACTTGTGTAGCTCTTAAATTAACTATCTTCATATTCATCAGCACTGCCCCAGAAGCCTTAAGGTCATGCCCAAGTTACTGTGTTTCTTTTCTTGTCAGTGGTTTCACAGTGAAGCACCAAAAGGCATTAGCACCACCACTATCCACCAATTTTCCTCTCAATTTGGACATTTTTCTCCTATCATATGAAGAGTCGGCGTTGTATTTTAGCATTATTTCAGTATTTTTCTTAGTTGTCATACTCTGTTTTTTCTATAATATTGTTTGGGCAGAGTAATCCTAAGAGCCTTTCTAGCTGTGAAGCTGTCTTTGTAGAAAGAAAGATGGCCAAGACCCTGAGTCACTGATCCAGCAGCTCCCCATGGCCCATCCCAAGAGTTGAGATGCAGAGGGGATGGGATGTCTCACTGCAGTGCTTTGTCTCAACAGCCAACTATGATTTCTTTGTCCCTTTGAACCTGGAACGTGTGTGCCCCTGGAGCCTACAGCCTGAATTAAAAGCAAGGTTCTGGCCTGTTTGCCTTAATTAAGCCTACACAGTAATCCTGTCTTCCAGATGTGGTGCCTCGTAGAATTAGGGAAACTTGGATTCCTTGGAGTAAAAGATGAGAAAAATGAGCACTTTTCTTTAAGCCTTAATTGTAAGGAAAGTAGAGGGACCCTCCTCTGTTTTCCTCTTGCTGCTTCTCTAGCAGAATGAGAGAAGAGCAGAGAGCCACAGTGGCCAAAAGAGGAAACCATAGGAAAAGGACTTTCCGGACTTCTGTCTTTATAGAGAGTTGTATTAACTGGTTTTGAGTTTATCCGATGATGACAGCAGGAATAGATGAGCTCATCAGTCTGATTTCCAGCATTAAATGAGTTATATTAAATTGTTTAAATGTATACAGTCCTAAACTAGGTAACACTCCATAGTCTTGATGCTTAGAACTCATAACTCAGAGTCAGAAAGTCAAATCAGAAAGCAGTTGTACAAATAAACCCAAACAGCCTGCAAAACTTAAATTGAAAACATTCAGTTACATTGACAAGAGATTTTGCTGAAACCAAAGTGCTGCTCAGGGCAAGAAGGGAGGGGGTTTTGGTCAGACTGCTATCACATACCCAACTCTACTCAACTGCCCCTCTGCATTTTCTATTTAAAATACTTTGAAACCTTTAATCGTGTAGCCTGCCTTGCCTGGTTAGTGTTGATTTGGCAAGAATGTATCATATTCATGTCTGCCTGTAACAGCAGTGGGCAGCTAGGTGCCAGTGAGATCATGGAGCAAACACAAGCCTGGGCACTGAAATTTATACTCACAACACAGATAATCCAGAATATGGATATTAATGTTTTTAATTACAAATGAAAACAAAAATATGTAAGTCTTATGGAAACTTCTTGGACCTTGTAGAATGTATCTTTGGCCCCATTTTGAGAAATACTGGCCTACTGCCATAAGAATTTGACTTTTGATGAGATTCGATGAGGAATTCATGCTGTACATTTGCTAAATCATCCAATAGGGGGAGACATTCTTCAGCTTCTTAGGTTTTTCATTAGTATGACTTCAGTCCCTTGAGGTCACAGATTTTCATCCATAGGATGGTTTGGGAAACTTCTGTTATCATTTAAGGACCTGCAGGAAGTAAGGGGGTACCTTTAAGGTTAATGTTGAGATGTAATGGAATGAAGTTTTCTTAATCCCAAACGACAGCAACAACAGGCAAGCTTCTGGCTTTTGAGTGGACTCTTCAGAGTGATCGAACTGGGTATACCAAATATTTGGAATTCCATAGAAAGCTGGATCTGCACATTATTGTATTATATATATATAATACTATATTATTATATAGATATTAGTTAGAAAATACTTTTGAAAAAAGAATACAAATAGCTTTCAAACCTAAATGTGCAGTTTCATAATAAAAGAAATGTGAATTGTATAATGAGGTAACATTTTTCTCTTGGCTCAGCAGTGGTCAGAAAATCTGAAAATATATTGTCGAAATTGGAAAAGCAGGAAATAAACTGCAGGAGTGAATTTGGAACAGCAGGCACACTCATGCATTGTTGATAGGAATTAAACTCATACACCCTCTTCAGAGGGCAGTTTAACAGTATTTCTCACATTTAAAGTTATATACTTTTTATGCAAGAGATTCTACTTTTTGGACTTTATCCTATAAATATACCCTATGGCATTGTTTTTAAAGAGAAAAAACTGAAAATCCAGTAACCATTTTTTAACTACTGTGTATAATCTAACGTAGAACAATGTCCAATATATTGTTAAATGAGAAAGCAAGTACTGTAGAATATATTGTTACTTGTGTATAAAAAAAATAAGTGGTAGTGGATATATACACATAGTAGATGCAGAGAATTTCTTCGGAAGGATACAGAAGGAACTGATGGCATTGGTTCACTCTAAGGGGAACTGAGGCACTCTGGGTGTGAAGAGGGGGAGGGACATTTTCATTGTATACATTAACTGGATATTCGTTTTCTATGTGCATATATTACCTTTTCAAAAAATAATTCACACTAAAACGTAACTTGCACACTAGAAAAACTGAGTTGCTGCTCTCCATTAGAATTGGAGCTAGAGGCAACGTGGTGATAAAAGTTTGTGGACTTTGAAACTGGACAGATTCTAGGTTTTAAAGTTAGGCCTGGCACTTACCAATTATATAATTTACTCTCTCCAGCCTGTGATATCATTTGAAGAGGAGGAGAATACCTGTTTCATGGCTTAAGATGACATGTGAAAGAATTTGTCAGTTAATGCTAGTGTCCTTTTTCTATACAAGGAAGTACTAGAACTTGGAAGACCTCTGTAGACCTCTGTATTAGAATAAATGTCAATGTGCTCTGTCACAACCCAAAGGAATATTGAGGAGTGACCTCTGACAAGTTCGACAGATACAGATAAAATAATATTTTTGTTGTGTACTACAAGGTAATTTATATTAAGAACACTCAGAAAATAAGTCCCACATACTGTAGTTTGTTTTTTTTAACAGAGAATAGAGAAAAGGAAGAAATAGGGAGAAAGAGTGATGTAAGCTACAGAGTAAGGCTTGAAGAGAGAACTGGAGACTTAATTCTGATTTCTGTATCAAATATGTGGAGAAACGTAGCCCCCCGTCTTGCTCCTGCGGTGAACTATCCCACAGCACTTGGAATCCAGTTGTTGGCGCTCTTTTGGTGTACATTCTTTCCTTATGTGGGTAGGCAAGTGCTCTTTCCATTTGCTATCTTAAGAATGTGTGTATAAAAAATAATACCCTCACAGACATATAGTGCGTGCTGGGGTATGTTTGGGAGGTGTCTCCAGTTTGGTATTTGTAGTCACATTCCTGTCTTTCTTTGTCTTGCCAAATAGCAGTCAAGCCTGCAATAAATTCCAAGGACTCTAAGTGCCAAATCTCACTTAAAATTGGATTTTATGGAAGTGTCTAACTAAAAAATCTGATGACTAATCTAAGTTAAAGTTAGAGCTGGGACCATTTTAGGACTTTGCTGGGAAAATGGATGCTGAGTTTACGATGACTCTCTGGTTAGGGGGGCAGCATTTATGCTCCCGAGGATTTGCTTTCCAGGTGATGGATTGATTTCAGATAGGATTATTCAGTGGAGGAGACAAAAATTTCCTTGGGGAGAAAAATGTTTCTTTTCCTGTTTCTGTTTGAATTACTAATATTAAAACTAAATATTGTTCAAATTTATAGATTATTTAAACTAATGATTAGTTTTCTGATTTCTTCTCATAAAGCGTGGTAAGCAGAATTTTGGCAGTAATGAATGACAACCAGTTCTTTCTAAAACATGAATAAACCCAAGAACTTACTAAAGAAAGCAGTTTTTCACCAACACTTAATTCCATGTGATGTCTGTTTGTAACATGTTTAGGGTCTGAGGAGATATCTTACTCAAAAATGAAGGTATTTTTCAACAAGCATTGCTATTCCACAAACATTGACTGCTTTATGAAAGCCTGCAGCAGCTATTTCTTAGAAGGTGAATTCTTTTCTCAGAGTGTGTGGGTAAATATGTTAAGGATTAAACCAAAAGAATTTCAGGTTCTAGCTGATGTGACAAGCAATAACCAGTGCAGATGTTTAGGACACAAAAGATTTTAGACAATTTTTGTTAGGAATTTGCTATGATAGACTTAAGCCTATTCCATAAATAATAGATGCTGTAAAGGTTATTTAAGCATTAATGTAAAGTTCTCTTATCTTGCAGCATACATTCAGTAAAATAAGCAGCTTATTTTGGTAATCTTTGTCACACTCTCCCCCCTTTTCTCTGCAGGTGGATCACACAATAATAATGTACTTGATTGGACCAGATGGTGAGTTTCTAGATTATTTTGGCCAGAACAAGAGGAAGGGAGAAATAGCTGCTTCAATTGCCACACACATGAGGCCATACAGAAAAAAGAGCTAGCCAAAGCAGTGTTGCTGGATGCAGTATTCTCTTGCTAAGAGGAAGGAAACTGTCTCGCATAGGAGCCTATATAAATATAAACATATATACGTGCACTCTACAGAATGGCCTTCATACCATGAGAACATTTCTGTTTTGGATGGGGATGTTACCCTTGCGTTCAACCAAAATTGATTCTTGGAACTGTAAAGATTACAACCCAAAGTCTCCCAGGAAGCTGTGGGGAGACCAGAGGATCAAGCTGAAGTGAAGCCAGTGAAGAGCCCACCTGTGGAAGGACATGGCGGGGCGAGGCACAGCCAGTGCATTCCTGCCTGCGAACAGGCCCTCCCAGCAGCTTTGCCGCCTCTCCATCGTCTTGGGCCCTTGCTCAAATAGCTGTGGGACTGAATTTCACAGAAAAGAATATAATTTCCATAGTGCTCTTGCTTGCCTCTTCTTGAGTTCTTTGCTCTTCTGAGTTCTTGGTGGCTAATAACAGTCAGATTAGGGTCTCTGCCATTCAGAGTTGATGCTTGAAAACTTTAGTTTTCCTTATTAATGAATATCACTATCAGATTTGACTAATGAAGAGGAAATCTATTGTTTGGGGGAAAAAAAACATCAGTTTGATTTCTCTAGGGGTTCTTTTATGTGATTTTTAGCTAAGTGGTGTGCCAGGTTTTCAGTGACATACCAAATGGAAATAAGAGGATATTGATCACGAGTGTGATGCTGAGTACCTTTCTGCATATACTGGATTGTACTTTGTGTAAAGTAAACATACTCAGTTTTGCTGTTCAGACAAGCGTGATCTTTTTCATGGGTGATGAGTGGGTACATAGATGGCTGCACACAGTTCTCAGGAAAGAGACCCACAGGCTCCAGCGGGCAGGTGGGTGGGACGCTTGCTGAAGTGCAGTTCCCCAGACCCAGAGCTGAATTCACTGAATCTGCAGTATGATGCAGAGACCTGCTTCCATGACAGATACCCCAGGTGACTCGGATGCTGGCGGACTGGGACCATCCCTTAAGAAAGTGTTTTTTGGGGAAATAACTTGCCTGGCACAATGGCTAATGCCTATAATCCCAAAACTTTGGGAGGCCAGGGCCTGAGGATTGCTAGAGGTTAGGTATTCAAGACAAGCCTGGGCAACATAGTGAGACCCCCCCCCCCCGCCCCCATCTCTACAGAAGATTTTTTTGGCATGGTGGCACATGCCTGTAGTCCTGGCTACTCAGGAGACTGAAATGGAGTATCACTTGAGCCCAGGAATTCAAGGCTTCAGTGAGCTATAATCACACCACTGCATTCCAGCCTGGGCAACAGAGTGAGACCCTCTAGATATATCTATGTAGAGATACAGAAATTAAAATGAATTTAAAAATAAATAAATTTGACCCTTCTTTTGGTGTGTCAGCCATTGAAGAAAATGATTATTGAGTGATAGAATGAATCTTGGCTTTTGTTTCTAAATTTAACTGCCCTAGAATCCTGGGTTTGGCCTTTTTCTGCCAGAAGCTGCTGCCCTAGGGGCAAAGTTCTCCAAAAGTTTTTCAGTAAATCCTAAGATGCAACAAATATAATGCCTAGATAGACAACAGATTCTTTTTACATGATATGTTTCTACACGCACATGATAGAGGTCTTTTGGTTTTTAAATTCTCAATACTTAAACCTAAATATATCAAAGTAAAAGTATGTGAAAAAAAACTATGCTAGTTATAGGTTGAATAATGTCCCCCAAAATTTATACATTGAAGCCCTAATCTCAGTACTTCAGAATGTGACTGTAATTGGAGATAGGGTCTTTAGAGAGATAGTTAAATTAAAATGAGGCTGCTAGGTTGGCCCTAATTCTATATGACTGGTGTTCTTAAAATAATAGATTAGCTGGGCACAGTGGCTTATGCCTGTAATCCCAGCACTTTGGGAGGCCGAGGCGTGCAGATCACCTAAGGTCAGGAGTTCGAGACCAGCCTGGCCAACATGGTGAAACGTCGTCTCTCTCCTAAAAATACAAAAATTAGCCGGGCATGGTAGCGGGTGCCTGTAATCTCAGTTACTCCGGAGGCTGAGGCAGGAGAATCGCTTGAACCCAGGAGGCAGAGGTGGCAGTGAGGCAAGATTGCGCCATCGTACTCCAGCCTGGGCGACAGAGCAAGACTCCGTCTCAAAAAGAATAGGAGACACAGTGAGACGACCATGAGAAGCCAGAGAGAAAACAGCCATCTTACAAGCCAAGAGAGAAGTTGTGAGAAAAAAAAAAAAAAACAAACCCTGCTGACTCCTTGATTTTTGCCTTCCAAGCTCCAGAACTGTGAGGAAATAAATGTCTGTTGTTTTAGCCACCAAACCTGGTAAGGCAGTCCTAGCAAGCTAATACAATAGCCTGTTCCTTAATAAACAACTGCAAGATTTAGTTTATAGAAACCAGCTCGGAAGCAGTTGGTTTAGAATGACTTTCCTAGGAATCTGGTCAAGAAAGGAACTTACTAAAAGACTATTCTCATTTAACAAAAGAGATATTAAGTATCTCAAAGGCCAAATCTTTAAAAAGATTATCTGTTTTAAGCCACAAAACATTTGTGTGGATCCCTTTGCAGCAAGTTTGCTCTTAGATAAGATTCAGTCTTCGTTCTCAGCTGTTGCAGGTTAAGGCTTGTGAAATGATCCAAAAAGGGAACAGCAGCTTTTGGAGAAAACTTTTATTTGTTCTTCATTCTAGTGTCAAGTTTAAAGGCTTGAAGTCAGAATGTTAGAAGTGGGGAAGGGGACCTTAGAGGTGACGTCTTCCAGATGTTCCTGTTTATGCACAAGGGGACAGTCTCGGAGAATTAAGGCGCAAAACTCGGGTCCCAATTTCTAGGTAGGTTCCTGTTTGTTCTGCTGCTATCGTGCGCTTATGGTGACTGTGTGAATCCAACCAAAACGGAGGTTCCGTATGCCAGTGGGGCAACGTTTTTCAGCTGCAAATCTTGGGAAATCAAAAGCAAGGCTGTTTTTTTTTTCTTTTCTTTTTTGAGACAGAGTTTCACTCTTGTTGCCCAGGCTGGAGTGCAATGGCGCAATCTCAGCTCACTGCAACCTCCACCTCCCAGGTTCAAGCAATTCTCCTGCCTCAGCCTCCCAAGTAGCTGGGATTACAAGCATGTGCCACCACACCCGGCTAATTTTGTATTTTTAGTAGAGACTGGGTTTCTCTATGTTGGTCAGACTGGTCTCAAACTCCCGACCTCAGGTGATCCGCCGCCTCGGCCTCCCAAAGTGCTGGGATTACAGGTGTGAGCCACCACGCCCGGCCTCAAGGCTGTGTTTCAGTGAAATATCCCTTGCAAATCTTTACCTGGGTGGGTTACAGTGTTTTCACTAGACTCTTCAATAGAATTAATATTTTAAGAAATGCCACTTGTTTATTTGAAAAGTATAAGAATCCTATCAATGCAGTAGGCATGAATGTATTCATGTGTCTGGCTGTTCATGAAGCAGCTGATATCTTAAGTGTAAGAGGTGAGATTTACTGACTACCAGTAAAATATGCGAGTTGGGAGGCTAATGATTTTAAATTGTAAATGCGTCTGCATAAGATCCTTTAAAATAGCTTTTATTGTTCTTAAATTTATGTTTAAAAGAAATTGACATTAATATTTTCAAATCATCCATAATCTCCCAAACCTTTTTTGGTTTTCTGTTTAGTACCATTTAAATCTTTGTGTATGTGTATATGAGCTACCTTTAAAAGAGCAGTCACCCATGCGAGCATTTGTTACCCAATTAGTTTGTACTTTTTTTTGGTTTTTATTTTGTTGTTGTTATTTGTTTCTTTTTGAGATGGAGTCTCGCTCTTCTCACGCAGGCTGGAATGCAATAATGGCATAATCTTGGCTCACTGCAACCTCCGCCTCCCAGGTTCAAGCGATTCTCCAGCCTGAGTCTCCCGAGTAGCTGGGATTACAGGCGCCCACCAGCACACCCAGCTAAATTTTTGTATTTTTAGTAGAGACGGGTTTCTCCATGTTGGTCAGGCTGGTCTCGAACTCTCAACCTCAGGTGATCCGCCCGCCTTGGCCTCCCAAAGTGCTGGGATTACACGCGTGAGCCACTGCGCCCGGCCTAGTTTGTGCTTTTTACTTACCAGTTAGGGGTTATATTACTGTGTAACAAAATGGACGGTTATTTCTATTCATTAACAAGATTCAAGTAATAGCCTCTTTAGCCACATATTCCTTAATAACACCTTTAGACCTTATAGGGGTAATTATTTTCTATATACTTTTCCAATGTATTTGAAAGTTTGTTGGCTCTTCTTCCGTAATTATACTATATCCTCAGTAAAGAAAGTTTGGCATACAGAAAAGTTGAAGGAAGAAAATTTTCAATCACTGTTGTTCCACTACCAAGAAATAATACTTGGAGGTATTTCCTTTCAATCTTCAACATGAGGATGCTAATGTCCCCCTCATAAGGGGCCTTAAAGTCACTGACTCTGTGCACTATTTCATGAGAACATTGATGTGGGTATTTAACCGAAAGAAAACTTGAGTTTTCTTTTTTTCCTTTTTATTGTGAAAATTTGGAAACTTATTCAAAAAGTAGAATAGTTAACTAATTGATGTACCCATCAGCAAGCTTCAGTGATTACCACCATTTAATTTTGTCTGCACCCCCCCACCCACTGCCACCCCAGCCCATTCCCAGCATGTGCCTCTGAAAGAGACCAACTTTGTCCTTTAAAAACAACCACAGTTGGCTGGGCACGGTGGCTCATGCCTGTAATCCCAGTACTTTGGGAAGCAAAGGCGGGTGGATCACCTGAGGTTGAGAGTTCGAGACTGGCCTGACCAACATGGAGAAACCCGTCTCTACTAAAAATACCAAAGTTAGCCGGGCGTGGTGGCGGGTGCCTGTAATCCCAGCTACTCGGGAGGCTGAGGTAGGAGAATCGTGTGAATCTGGGAGGCGGAGGTTGCAGTGAGCCGAGATCACGCCACTGCACTCCAGCCTGGGCAACAAGAGTTGTCTCAAAAAACAAAAAAGAAAGAAAGAAAAAAACAACCACAGTTTCATCAGCACAGCAAAAAGGTTTTTGTTTTTGCTCTTGGATTTTGTCGTTTGGTTTTTGCTTAATATCAAATATCCAGTCAGTGTAAACTCGTTTATAATTTGGTCCTTTGATTTCAAGGAGCTATGATGCAGTTCGTTGTGGGGATGTGTTGTCTCCATGTCATACATGTGACTTTGTCCATGTTTGCACCCAGTTCAAGGAAGACACAACCCTAGGGAAAGACAACCCTCCCCGCCAAGCCTCTCTTCCCATTCTTAAACATAGGGTGGCGTTATTCAGGTTGGACCAGTTTAAAAAGACTAACGCATTTGTCCTCGTTGTTGGGTGTTTTTTTTCTTTAAATTTGTAAAACAGGAATAATTGTGTTAGGATGAAGTATGATACTAGGAGAACAGGGAAAACTAACCCATCGTGTTAAAAGTCAGAATAGTGCTTAACTCTGGCAGGAGGTGAGATGGTTAGTAATTCAGAAGGGGGTGCCAGGAGAGCTTCCAGAGCCATTGAAATGTTCAGTAGCTTGATCTGGGTGATGATTTACATACATAAAAACATATTAAACTTTGAACTTAAGATTTATGCCTTTTACTGTTTGCACCCTATAACTCCAAAAGAAAAGTAGAGGGGAAAAAGAGTCCCTGCAAAAGGCAGTCTTGAAAGAAAGCAAGTCTGTGATGTGGAGAATGCATTGGACAGCTCTCAGCAATTTGCTGTAGCTTGGGCAGAGAGATAAAAGCTAATGCCAGCATCAGGTTGCCCAGGCGAGAGAAGGCCTGAAAGAAGACAGCGTGGAGAAAGTGTCAGCAAGCTTCAGCAACAGCAGGAGGCAGATGGTAGGAGAGTGGGCCTCAGGTGTGGTGTGGCAGAGCAGAGTAGCCACACTTAGGCCCCAGAGACAGTGTCTTCTCACCCTCAGTTGAAGGGGCAGGAAATCAATCGCTCTAGTCACCCCTAAGCTGGAGGACGGACCTAAAGTTGCCACAGCTTTGAGAGGCAAAGAAGTTTGCTCAGTGGCTTTTAGAGACTTCTAGGGCCCTGGGACCCTGACACTGAGGAGGAGCAAACTGAAGGGGAGAGTGGGCACATTCCTTGTTGGCTGCTGTGGTGAGCAGCAGCTGGTCGTTGTCAGTCAAGCTCCGGACCACTCTGATGATGCTCACTGCATTTTGATGGAGTAAGCCAGGGACATTACCACTGTGTTTGAGCCATCTGAAGTATTCCTGGGTGGGTCTGCAGTTGGCAGCCCGTGATCCTTTTTCCATTCAAGGATGATGCAAAGGTAAGGGGCCAAGGCTGAGCTCTGTAGATGCCTGTGAGAGCCTCCTGGTCTCAAGAGGTCATACCAAGGGCCTTGGCCACCAAGGTTTCGTGAGGACCTTGAGGTGGTTTCGCCATCACAATGTCAGACGTGTCACACACCATCTGGTATGTCCTCACTGTATAGAGGAAGAAGGGCCCAAGTGGTGAATTATCTACAAGTTTGTAGCAAAGCTAATACTCAGACTCCCTCTACAGCCTTGCTACTCAGTGTAGTCTGTGGTCCGGCAGTGTCACACCACTGGGGTACTTAGCAGAAATGCAGCTTCTCAGGCTCCACTCCAGCTCTCCTCAATCACAGTCTGTTTTTTTGTTTGTTTGTTTGTTTGTTTTGAGATGGAGTTTCGCTCTTGTTGCCTAGGCTGGAGAGCAGTGGTGCGATCTTGGCTCACTGCAACCTCCACCTCCCTGGTTCAAGTGATTCTGCTGCCTCAGCCTCCCAAGTAGCTGGGATTACAGGCGCCCGCCACCATGCCCGGTGGCGTGCATGGTAATTTTTGTATTTTTAGTAGAAACAGGATCTCGCCATGTTGGCCAGGCTGGTCTTGAACTCCTGACCTCAGGTGATCCACCCGCCTTGGCCTCCCAAAGTACTGGGGATTACAGATGTGAGCCACCACGCCTGGCCCACAGTCTGTATTTTAACAAGATCCCCACCTCAGTCTTAGGCACATGGATTCTCCTCAACCCCCAATACCACAGAGTCTATTAATTTTTACCCAATAGGGAAGGGGAAAAAGTCAAGAAAGAATAATGAATTAAGTAATCTTTCCCCCTCCAGGAAGCTCTTTATTTAATTTCGCTCCCATGAAACACAATTTGAAGAGTCTCTCAAATAAACAAATTCCATTTTCTGATAATTATTTAATTGCCCCACTTTTGAAATTTTTGTCAAAGACGACTGTCACTCCCTGTCAGAACTTCTATTCAGCACAGTATACCAAGCGTTTCTCCATCGAGTTGTTATAATATGATCAAAAAGCAGGGAGAGATGCTGCTTGGTTACCCTGTGGGGCCTTATCGGGGCTCAGTGCAGTCTTTCCATGTAGGCATTCTCAAATACTCAATTGAAACCTGATTGAGGATCATTTGATCTCTGTTGGCCCTAGTGCAGTAGGCTGCTGAGAACCACTGATGCAATAGACTGAGAGACTAACTGCCTGCTTCCCTGTCAGCCCAGGCTCTGCTAAGGCCGTCTTAGTTACAGAAGAAAGTGGGGCAGAGAGCCCTGCAAGGATTACATTCCATTCCTAACGGAGACAGGCAAGCGTTCAGTGCCCGAAGCAGGGCAGGCCTTTGTATGGCTCACTTTTCCCTGTACCAGCCTCAGCCCCGTACATTCAGAAAGCCCTGTCGGGAACGTGCGGGATCACAGCACAAGACAGTCATTCACTGATTGATTGACGACGTCAACATTGCGGAATACCTATGTTAAGCTGAGTACGAGGGATATAAAAAGTAGGCCCTGGAGAGTGCCTCTGGGATGCACATAACCAGACAAGATAAAGAAAAGGCAGATCACGAGATCAAGAGATCGAGATCATCCTGGCCAACATGGTGAAACCCCATCTCTACTAAAATTACAAAAATCAGCTAGACGTGGTGGCGGGCGCCTGTAGTCCCAGCTACTCAGGAGGCTGAGGCAGGAGAATCGCTTGAACCCGGGAGGCAGAGATTGCACTGAGCTGAGGTCATGCCACTGCACTCCAGCCTGGCAACAGGGCAAGACTCCATCTCAAAAAAAAAAAAAAAGAAAAAAAAGAAAAATTAGGGCAGCTTTTAGACATGAGGCCCCAAAGTGCCAACTAGTGCACCTAAACTTCAACTCTCTTTTGAGTGTTTTATGTATCTACTCAGCATCCAGTTGTAAATATGCAAAAATCAATGCCTACTGTATTTAAAAATTACTAAATTCACAATAACCACACAGAATCTATAATAAATAGAATCAATGTAATAATGACTCAGATCCAGGGGAAGAAAATTATAAAATTTTGGAAAAAATGATGAGCTATTAATTAAGAAAATAGTTTGTTCCTTGGTGAGAAGACTCAATGTAAATATGTCAGTTTTCTCCTGACTTAAGTCTTCAACACAGGCCTAATAATATTGCAGTGGCAAATGATTGCCAGGGGCAGGAGGGGATTTGGGGAAGTGGTAAAAATGATCTGTGTCTTGGTAGTGGTCGCTGCACAACTGCATACATCTGTGAAAACTCACTGAACTGCGCACTTTAAAAGGGTGAATTGTAATATACATACCTCAATAAACCTTACTTAAAAATTACAGTGTCTTTTTTTTTTGTAGCTCAACAGAAAGATTCTGAGATTTGGAAAAATAAATGTGAAAAATAAGACCAAGGAGGAAAGACCTGCCTTATCAATAGTAATCTATATTGCTGAGCCATAATACTTTTTTTAAAGTGTAGTACTTATGTAGCATTTAACAGAAAGATCCAGTTGGAAATAAAAGTATGGAATAGATCCATATTATGTAAAACGTTACTATGTAACAAAGATAGTATGATGATCAAGATTATTAAAAATATTGGAACAGTGATTAATGAAATGAAACAAGTTAGGTTCTTAGTCTGTGTCCTCCTTTAAAATGAACATGAGTTTTACAATACCCACTGCCTCCTCCCTTTCTTTCTCTGGAGGTTCAGAATGAGCCTGTTTTTGTAACCACCAAAGTCAGACTAAAATAGTAGGGATGGTTTTTGTAAGCATGACAGCAAAGGCAGAAAGCATAAAGTAAACCATTACTAGGCTTGATCAAAAATATATAACAAAGAGTTACTATCACCGATATATAAGCAGTGTTTACAAATTCATAAGGAAATAAAAGATGAACACCCTGGCTGGGCGCGGGTGTTCCCACCCTGGGATTACAGGTGCTCACGCCTGTAATCCCAGCACATTGGGAGGCTGAGGCGGGCGGATCACAAGGTCAGGAGATCGAGACCATCCTGGCTAACACAGTGAAACCCTGTCTCTACTAAAAATACAAAAAATTAGCCGGGCGTGGTGGCCGGTGCCTATAGTCCCAGCTACTCAGGAGGCTGAGGCAGGAGAATGGCATGAACCCGGGAGGCGGAGCTTGCAGTGAGCCGAGATCACACCACTGCACTCCAGCCTGGGCGACAAGAGCTAGACTCTGTCTCAAAAAAAAAAAAAAAAAAAAAAAATGACCCTGAGAAAAAGCAGGGCAAAGGACACAAACAGCTTCAGAAAAGAGGAATACAAATAGTTAATAATTTAATTCAAACAGTGGAATTTTTGTCTCAGTTTGACAAAACACTAAAAGAATGATGTTACCCATTGAGGATGGGGGTAAAATGGACTCTCACATGGAAAGCGATGGAATGTGAAGTGTGGCAGTCTTTCTGGGTAGCAATTTGTTGATATACAGCAAGCCAGCTATTCCATCTTTATGCATTTATTAACAGAATCATAGATATGCACAAGAATTTGTTCACTGCAGTATTTTTGTAATAATCATGGAAATAGTAAATAATGGAAAACAACCTAGATGCCCAACTCTAGGGCATCCATAAGATACAGCAGAGGCCGGGCATGGTGGCTCACGCCTGTAATCCCAGCACTTTAGGAGCCAAGGCGGGCGGATCACCTGAGGTCAGGAGTTCGAGACCAGTTTGGCCAACATGGTGAAACTCCGTCTCTACTAAAAGTACAAAAAAAATTAGCTGGGCGTGGTGGTGCGTGCCTGTAGTCCCAGCTACTCAGGGAGGCTGAGGCAGGAGAATCACTTGAATCCAGGGGCTGGAGGTTGCAGTGAGCCAAGATCGCGCCACTGCACTCCAGCCTGGGTGACAGAGGAAGACTCCATCTCAAAAAACAAGCAGACAAAAACAATTACAGCAGATAAAACAGTGGTACATTCATAAGTGGGGTACCGTAGAACCATTAAAATAGAGCTATTGATTAATATTTAATGATCTGAAAAGATATCCAATATGTACTTTGAGCAAGTAAGCCGTAGAAGTTTGATCCCATTGTTTGCATAAGCACAAAAAATACCCAAACCTTAACAGGCATTAATAATAGTGGTGTGTTTGTGGATGGCTTTTTATTTTCCACATCTTCCTAAATGAACATATATTAACTTTGCAGTAAGAAAGAGTCATTATTAATTGGGCACTGTGGCATGTGCTTGCAATCCCAGCTACTAGGGAGGCTGAACTAGGAGGACTGCTTGAGCCCCAGAGTTCAAAACAAGCCTGGGCAACACAGTGAGACCCCCATCTCAAACAAGCAAACAAACAAAACACTGTAAATTTCACTTGGAGAAACTGACAGTGAAAAAAAAGATCATTAGGAAAAATAGTCTAGTGTCAGTAAGATAGTTTATCTCTGGGTCAATTTCAGTCAAGTCATTTGCTTCCTACAATACAGCACTAAGTATGATTATGAAGCCGTGGCCAGGCTCAAATGTTGGGTGCTGTGATCCACTGATGATGCCTGCAGGGGTTGTGGGTAAAAGTAGTATCTCCCTTGACCTACTACTCTTTGGCCATGGAACAGAAATGCTGGAGTTTATTGTTGCAGTGTGTGCTTGATTGCTTTTGGTTGGAGAGAGGCATTTCGGAACTCAAGCCTATGAAGGAAATGTTGTTGGTAATGTACTGTCATGGACATTCCCCCTGGAGAATGTCACACGTGGGACTGATAACCCAGCTGCCTCTGCCTCCCCACCTTCAACATACATACACGCTTTGAGATAAAGCCAGTGCTTTGGTCCAAGTAAATCTCTCTTGTGCCTTAAATCACAGAATCAGAAGATAGCAGAGCTGAAGATGATTTTTTATTTTATTTTCTTTATTCCTTTTGAGACAGGGTCTCAGTCTGTCACCCAGGCTGGAGTGCAGTGGTGCAGTCGTGGCTCACTGCAGCCTCAAATTCCCAGGCTCAAGCAATCCTCTCACCTCAGCGTCTGGAGTAGCTAGGACTACAGGCACATACCACCACGCCCAGCTGATTTTTTTGTTTTTTATTTTTTGTAGAGATGGGGTCTGGCTATGTTGCCAGGGCTGGTCTTAAATTCCTGGGCTCAAGAGACCCTCCCATCTCGGCCTCCGAAAGTGTTGGGATTACAGGCGCAAGCCACCGTGCCCAACCTGAAGATGACTTAAGAGGTCATTTAGTTCAACTCCTCTTTTTTTTTTTTTTTTTTGAGATGGACTCTCACTCTGTCACCCAGACTGGAGGGCAATGGCGTGGTCTCAGCTCAGTACAACCTCCATCTCCCAGGTTCAAGCGATTCTCCTGCCTCAGCCTTCCTGCCTCAGCCTCCTGAGTAGCTGGGATTACAGGCGCCAGCCACCATGCCTGGCTAATTTTTGTATTTTTAGTAGAGATGGGGTTTCACCATGTTGGCCAGGCTGGTCTCGAACTCCTGACCTCAAGTGATCTGCCTGCCTGGGCCTCCCAAAGTTCTGGGATTACAGGTGTGAGCCACCGCACCCGGCCTCAACTCCACTTTTTTGGTAAGAGAGGAGGAAATTGAGGCCCAAATATTTAAGAAATTTTAATTTGTATAGGGAAAATTATTTGTCCTGTAATCCTAAAAGATGCTATTAGGGCTCACATCCCTGCGGGGCAGCAGGACATCCTGGGACATGAGGTCTTCCCACAGCCCTGTTGCCCTGGGCAAACATTCCCCACTGAGTCATAGTTTCCCCATCAATCAAGTGGGGATAATTCCACCTGCTCTGCCTAACCCCTGGGATTGTAGAGAGGTTCAGAGGAGATAAGAAACAAATGGGGAAAATATTTGTAATATACACAGTGATTACTAAAATCTTTGCTATGTGAAAGTTCTTAAAATAGAAAAACATTAACATCTTAAGAGAAAAAGGGCAAAGGATATGAAGACTATTCACAGAACTACAAATGACAAGCAAGTGTGTAAGCTGAGGTTCAACCTCACTTGTGGTAAAAGAAAAGCAAACTAAAGCATCAGAAAACTACTGATGTAAACTCCTTTATTTTCTTCTTGTTTGCAGTGTGTTGTATTAGTTACCTTTCTCCAAATATTTCAGTCTAAAACTCCTATAAGTAAGCAACAGTGTCCTGCGTAACTGTAACGCTATTTACACACCTAAGAAAATTAACAAATTCCGTGAGTATCATTTCATATCCAGTTTATGTTCAAATTTCTTCAATTTGTCCCCCAAATGTCTCATCAGATTGTTCTTTTTTTCCTTTCCTTTTTTCCTTCTTTCTCTTCAACCTAGGACCTCACCAAGGTTCATGTAGTATTGCATTTTGTTCTATCTCTTTGATCTCTTTCAACCTAAAATAGGCTGTAGATTTGAATAGATAGAAAGATAGGTAGGTAGATAGATAGAAGAGTCTCCCTCTGTCCCCCAGGCTGGAGTACAGTGGTGTGATCTCGGCCCACTACAACTTCTGCCTCCGGTGTTCAAGCGATTCTCCTGCCTCAGCCTCCTCAGTAGTTGGGACTACAGGCACGCGCCACCACGCCCAGCTAATTTTTGTATTTTTAGTAGAGATGGGATTTCGCCATATTTGTCAGGCTGGTCTCAAACTCCTGACCTCAGGTGATCCACATGCCTTGGCCTCCCAAAGTGCTAGGATTATAGGCGTGAGCCGCCGCACCCAGCCACTGCAGTTCTTTTTATGCTTTGAATATATCTCACTAAGAATGTACAGAGTACTTTTCAAAATTGACAGGAATTAAGTCTTTTGTAAGTGTAGTTATGTTATCAGTTTGATATGTTAGATTTATTAATGTTCTGTTCATATTCAATTTCAGGATTTGCTTTTTCCTTTATATTTACATTTATTTTCAAATCTGTAAACCATTTATATGGTTCAAAAGTCAAAATCATATAAGAAGGCACTCCTCTCCTGGGTCCCATTCACCCTCTATAAGTAATCATTTTCAATAGTGTCTGATTTATCCTTCCTATGTTAGATGTTCTTGTCTCAAAATATTACATTCCAGAACACTGTTTTTTTTTTAACGCTATATCCTGGAAATTAACCTATTTCAGCTCATAGAGACCTTTCTAATTCTTTTTTTTTTTTTTTTTTAGACAGAGTCTTGCTCTGTCACCCAGGCTGGAGTGTGGTGGCACAATCTTGGCTCACTGCAAACCTCTGCCTCCTGGATTCAAGCGATTCCCCTGCCTCAGCATCCCAAGTAGCTGGGACTACAGGCGCCTGTCACAACACCCGGCTAATTTTTGTATTTTAGTATAGATGAGGTTTTACCACGTTGGCCAGGCTGGTCTCAAACTCCTATCCTCAAGTGATCCATCTGCCTTGGCCTCCCAAAGTGCTGGGATTACAGGTTTGAGCCACTGCACCCGGCCTCTGATTCTTTTTTAAGGGTGCATAACATTGTCTCATGTGGATATAACATAATTTATTCAATTAGCCTCCTGTCAATAAACATAGGCTGTTTCCAATCTTTTACTATTATGAACAGTGCCACAATAAATATCGTTATGCTCACAGTATTTTAGTATTTGTGAAAATATCTCTTACCGTAGGTTCCTAGAAGTGGTTTTCCCAATGGAAGGGAAATTGCACGTATCATTTTGCTAGTTTGTTTTTCTAAATTATCCTCCGTAGCAGTTGCACAATTTTCCACCCACCAGAAAAGTGTGAGTGTGTGTGTTATGACAGCTTTGCCAACAGAATGTCTTGCCCAGCATTTGGATTTTCTCCAATGTGATTGGTTAGAAAGTGTGTTTTCAATATGCATTTTTCTTAAATAGGGAAAGGTAAGCATTTTTCATATGTTTAAAGCCCTTCTGTGTATCATTTTCTATAAACCGTCTGCTTGTTTATTTGCCATTTGTTGCTATCTGCAGGGTTTTGTTGTTTTCCTTGTCTTTTTCTTCGTAACTTCTAAGAATTATTTATGCATTAAGGAAGTTGGCCCTTTGTGATGTAAATTACAAATATTTTCTTCCATTTTATCACGTCTTTTAGTTTTGTTTTGTTTTTGTTTTTGTCTTGCTCTGTTGCCAGAGCTAGACTGCAGTGGCGTGATTGTAGCTCACTGTAGCCTTGGCCTCATGGGCTCAAGCAGTCCTCCCCCCTCAGCCTCCCAAGTAGCTGAGACTGAGACTGCAGGCATGCACCACCATGCCTGGCTAGTTTTTTAAGTTTTTTTTTTTTTTTTTTTGTAGAGACAAGGTCTCACTCTGTTGCCCACGCTGGTCCAGAACTCCTGGGCTCAAGCAATTCTCCCACCTCAGCTGGCCAAAGTGTTGGGATTACAGGCATGAGCCACTCCCAAGTAGCTGGGACTGTAGGCATGCACCACCATGCCTGCTGGTTTTTTTTTGTAGAGACAAGGTCTCACTCTGTTGCCCACGCTGGTCCGGAACTCCTGAGCTCAAGCAATTCTCCCACCTCAGCTGGCCAACGTGTTGTGATTACAAGCATAAGCCACTGTGCCTAGCCTGTCATGTCTTTTGGCTCTATTTTAATTTTCCTATAAAGATTTTTAATTGTTATGATGTTGGATTTATCTATTGTTTTTTATTTTACTGCTTTTGAGTCATGGTGGGCCTTCCCCATTTCCAGATTATAAAAGAATCTACCATGATCTAGTTTAGTGCCTGTTTCCTGGCTTTGCATTTTGATTTGATCTATTTGTTATTTAATCTGGTGTATGTGTGAGGTATGGATCCGGATTCATTTTTTTTCCAAATAGCCATCTGGTTGTCTCATCACCACTTATTAAAGAGTCCATCTTTGGTCCACTGACTTGAGATGCCATTTCAGGTATCACATTTCCATAAGTATCCGGGCCTCCTTCTGGACTCTCTATGCTGTTCCGCTGGTCAGTCTGTCTCTTCATGCATAGCACTGCCCTCTTCATTATGTAGACTTTAGAGTGTATGTTTTAGTATCTGGCAGAATGTCCTCCTGTGGCTTTTCTTTTTTCAGTATTTTCTTTACCATACATCCACAAAATTTAAAATCAAGTTTCTAGCTCCAGAAAAAGGAAGTGTTGGTATTTTTATTGGGACTGCATTACATTTATATATTAGCTTGAGGATAATTAACATCTTTATGATGGTGAATCACCCTATCCAAAGCAAGGAATATCTACTTTTGTGTCCTTCAGCAGTTTAAAGTTTTGCATATCTCCTGTTAAGTTTATTCTTAAGTATTTTATCCTCTCTATTGCTATAGAGTCTTTTCTTCCAGAACCAATTGATTATACAAACAGCTCTTCGGGTGATTCTAAGGGATAGCCAGGTTTGAAATCGCTGCTTTAAACAAAAATTCAGTGTTAAATTAAAGGTTATAGTCTGGGTTCGGTGGCTCACACCTGTAATCCCAGCACTTTGAGAGGCCAAGGCGGGCGGACTACTGGAGGTTAGGAGTTCAAGACCAGCCTGACCAACATGGTGAAACCTCATCTCTACTAAAAATACAAAAACTAGCTGGGCATGGTGGTGGGTGCCTGTAATTCCAGCTACTCGGGAGGCTGAGGCAGGAGAATCGCTTGAACCCAGGAGGCGGAGGTTCCAGTGAGCCAAGATCGTGCCACTGCACTCCAGCCTGGACGACAGAGCAAGACTCTATCTCAAAAATAAAAAAATAAAAAATAAAAATAAATGAATAAATAAAGGTTATGGCTTACATTTTAACCAACCCCTACCTCCCAAATTGGCCACCTTTCTTCTATATTTTCTATTATCATGATGCCGTTTGCTCCCAATTTCATCCCTTTGGTAACCTCACAGTGATCTTTGATCTTTCCCTTCCATGCCTGATATATAGCTGGCAGACTAATTTATCTGCTTCCTTGTCTATGTCATTGTTCAGGCCCATCCATTACTTTTAATTCCTTTCTCCAAATCCCCTGGCAAGGTCCTGGGCCATGCCTGCCTCCTTTTTTTGTCCTTGGAATCTGTCTTCACCTGTTTTGCTCAAATCATTCTTCTCGGCTTCAATCATGTTGCTCTGAGCTCCCTACCACAAGGGTCCCGTCAATCATCTGAGTTCAATGCAGCCTGCGACGGTAGCCGCCACCTGCCCCACCATAGATACGGGGTCGTCTCCTTTTTGCCAGCTGAGTGTCTTGGACCTGACTCTCATCTTGAGTCCTCTCCTTAGGTTTCCCCGTGGCTTAGGTTTCCCCGTCAACTCATTACTTGTTCATCTTTCAGCACCAGCTCTCCCTTTCACTCACAGATCGAAGTTTGACATTTTCAGGAAATTTACTCTGATTAACTTTGCAAACTTTCCAGCTTATGTCATAACTCCTGAACCGTCCATCCCCTAATCTTTTCTCATGTATTAATAGTTAGGGAGGTGGTTCTCTGCAAGGCTCTGACATCAAACCGGACTCCATTATAATCCTGGCCGGTCACTCACTAGCTACCTACCCCAAGCAAGTTTCTCTACCTGTCTCGTGCCTTGGTTTCCTCTTCTGGGATTCGTAGCTAATCATAGTGCCTCCCTCGCAGAGTTTACATGAGCATTAGATGAACCAATGCTCACAATATCTTTAGCAGAGCAGAGACGAAAATGTGCTAGCAATTTTTACTCCTGCATTAACAGTGAGTTTTTATAAGACTCTACATAACCTTCTTGAAAGCAGGCATAATATTCATTTTTATTGTATTTGCAAGGTGGGAAGCATTTTTCATACTAGACCTTTTTTTTTTTTTTTTTTTTTTTAAGACGGAGTCTCACTCTGTCACCCAGGCTGGAGTGCAATGGCACGATCTTGGCTCACTGCAACATCTGCCCCCCAGGTTCAAGCAATTCTCCTGCCTCAGCCTCCTGAGTAGCTGGGATTACAGGTGCACGCCACCACATCCAGCTAATTTTTGTATTTTTAGTAAAGACGGCATTTCACCATGTTGGTCACGCTGGTCTCGAACTCCTGATCTAAGGTGATCCACCTGTCTCGGCCTCCCAAAGTGCTGGGATTACAGGTGTGAGCCACCGCATCTGGCCATGTTAGACCTTTTTTTAAGTGTTAGTTAGTTTTTGGAATAGGTGACACATATACCAAGCACATAATTCAAAAGTTACAGAAAGGTAAATAGCAAAAAGCCAAAAGAAAGTCCCCCTCCTGTCCTGTGTCCCCCCAGCCACCCATTTCCCCTCCCAGAGGAAAGGACCCTTCGAGAAATCCATCAATGTCTGATGTCTGTCGACTTGGCTTTCCCTGTACCACAGCTTTCCAGAAGCCTTCATTTCCTGGGCCCCTGTGAGCTTTCCCACTTCTGCCTTTGGCCCTCCTGTCCCCTTGCTGAGGATGCCTTCTTGCACCCTTGACTTCTCGAGCACTCTTCCTGCTCCACAGGGCCCCACATGAATGCCTCTTCACAGAGTGCCCTAGCATTCCCTCCCTGGGGCCACCTTGTTCCGCGAGACATTCTTTCTCCCTCATTCGAACACCATCAGCATGTGTGACTTTTTGATCCCCTCAACACTTTTGATCTTGTACCATACAGTTCATTTGGAGGAATATGTCTGCCTCTTCTCACTCTTAGAGGTGAACGCCTTCTCGAAGACAGAGACCAGGCTGTCTCCATCTGTATCTCCCTGGAAGGGCTGGGTTCTGTGTCTGGCACGTAAAATGTCCAATAAGATTTATTTTATTTTATTTTATTTCAGTTTACTTTTTTTTACTTTATTTTATTTTGAGATGGAGTCTCACTCTCTCACCCAGGCTGGAGTGCAGTGGTGTAATCTCGGCTCACTGCAACCTCTGCCTCCCAGGTTCAAGTGATTCTCCTGCCTCAGCCTCCTGAGTAGCTGGGATTACAGGAACCCACCACCACACCCGGCTAATTTTTGTGTTTTTAGCAGATACAGGGTTTCAACATGTTATCCAGGCTGGTCTTGAATTCCTTACCTCAGGTGATCCACCCACCTCAGCCTCCCAAAGTGCTGAGGTTACAGGCGTCAGCCACTGCACTCAGCCCCGATAATGTTTATATTACCGAAAAATAACTAAATAAGGTAGGAGGAATGATCAAGACTAAAAGAAACTAAAGAGACATACTCATCAAGTGTAATGCCTAAAAAAAGATTCCATCTTTACTTGGGGGTTGGGGAGAACCCAGCTATACCATTGTTGGAAGAACTGGAAAAATTTACATGCGAACTGCCTAAGACATGATATAGAATTATTACTAATTTTATTGGGTAAAACAATGGCATTTTGGAGATTGTCCTTTTTCTTAGGAGATATATACTGAATATTTAAGGGTGAATTTGCATATTGTCTACTACTTTCAAATGGCATAGCAAAATAAGACTTAGCTACAGAGAAAGAAAGAGAAGGGAGAGAGGGAGAAAGCAAACTGGCAAAGTGTTAACAGTGGTCGCATTTAGATATGGGTGTTCATTTATTACGCTTTGTACTTACCTAAATGCTTGACATTTTTCATGATAGAAAGTTGGGGACCAGACGCAGTGGCTCCTGCCTGTAATCCCAGCACTTTGGGAGGCCAAGGCGGGTGGATCATTTGAGGACAGGAATTTGAGACCAGCCTGAACAACATAGGAAAACCCGGTCTCTACTCAAAATACAAAAATTAGCCTGGCATGGGGGCACCTCCCTCTAATCCCAGCTACTTGGGAGGCTGAGGCACAAGAATCACTTGAACCTGGGAGGCCGAGGTTGTAGTGAGCCAAGATCATGGCACTGCACTCCAGCCTGGGTGACAGAGTGAGACCCTGTCTAAAAAAAAAAAAGAAAGAAAGAAAGAAAGAAAGCTGGGGAAGGTGCATAATATAGTTGAATTGAACTAAAAGGAGAGTTATGGCCTCTCTCTTCTTGAATTTCTTCTTGAGACTCTGGGCATTTTGGCTTAGGACCCCCACCCTTCACCTCAGTGCCAGGGAATGGTCTTGGCTCAGGATAACCGAGTTCCTCATTTCTAGTGACACCTAATCCCCATCACAGTGGGGCATGGAGAACGCTCTTGATCCAGGAGCCATGTGCTCTCCAAGGCTGACTTCATGCTCTGGCAGACAGCGGTCCTGGGCATGATGCTGCGAGGCTGGGAGCCCCAGCATCCGTTCTCAGGACTGAACATCAAACGGCGGCGGTGGAGAAAATAGCTGGGCAGGAAGTGACCGAGCATCGTGAAGAAGGGGGCAGCCACCTGATTCATTGCCTGCTGAGCCGGCCTGCATTCTTGAGACACAATACATATATTTTCCAGCCCATCAAGGGATAAATGCAGCTCTGCCCTGGCTGTGGGGATTATCCCTGGCTGTGTGATGGCTGAAAGAATAAGGGCTCCTTCTGTTCCCAAAAGCCAGCTAATAATATGCCACTAAGTCATCTGTCCCCTGTTCATCAGAGGATGAATTCCAAGAGAGGATCCAGTTCACTCCTGAAGCTATCTCTTGAAGCAGCAAGAGACTCTCTTCTTTAAGATTTTTCTCTTTGGATGGAATTTTTTTTTTTTTTTTTTTTTTTTTTTTTAGATGGAGTCTCAGGCTGGGTGCGGTGGCTCACACCTGTAATCCTTGCACTTTGGGAGGCTGAGGCAGGTAGATCACCTGAGGTCAGGAGTTCAAGACCAGCCTGACTAACATGGTAAAAACCCATCTTTACTAAAAATACAAAAATTAGCCAGGCATGGTGGCATATGCCTGTAGTCCCAGCTACTCGGGAGGCTAAGGCAGGAGAATTGCTTGAACCTGGGAGGTGGAGGTTGCGGTGAGCTAAGATAGCGCCATCGCACTCCAGCCTGGGCAACAAGAGTGAAACTCTGTCTCAAAAAAAAAAATAAGGAGTCTCACTCTGTTGCCCAGGCTGGAGTGCAGTGGCACAATATCGGCTTACTGCAATGTCTGCCTCCTGGGTTCAAGCAATTCTCCTGCCTCAGCCTCTCGAATAGCTGGGATTACAGGCACCCACCACCACACTCAGGTAATTTTTGTATTTTTTTTTAGTAGAGACAGGGTTTTACCATGTTAGCTAGGCTGGTCTCAAACTCCTGACCTCAAGTGATCCACCCGCCTTGGCCTCCCAAAGTGCTGGGATTATAGGCATGAGCCACCATGCCCGGCTGGATAGAATTTTTTTTTTTTCCGAGTCAGAGTCTCACTCTGTCGCCCAGCCTGGAGTGCAGTGGCATGATCTCGGCTCACTGCAAGCGCCGCCTCCCAGGTTCACACCATTCTCTTGCCTCAGCCTCCCAAGTAGCTGGGAATACAGGGACCTGCCACCATGCCAGGCTAATTTTTTTTGTATTTTTAGTAGAGACGGGGTTTCACTGTGTTAGCCAGGATGGTATCGATCTCCTGACCTCATGATCCGCCCGCCTCGGCCTCCCAAAGTGCTGGGATTACAGGCGTGAGCCACCGCGCCCGGCCAGAAACTATTTTTTAATATTACATATGTCTCTTTCTCCCTCCCCATCTCAATAAGACATATATTCAGTGTAATTTACTCAGGGTTCTCATTAAGAAAACCAGTCACACTGTGCCATAATCTGCAGGTAGAGAAGAAAACTTACACCTGGCAAACACCTGCAATGTACCAAACACAGCACGAGGCATGGTGTGTGCGATGTTGGGATATCCCGCTGAATGCACATAACTAGTCTGGGAGGCAGGTATGTCACCCCCGTTTTACAGAGGAGAAGACGAAGGCTCAAAGAAGCACACTGCCTGCCATCACGTGGTGTGCAAGCGGGCAAGCCGGGATCCACATCCAGGCCTGTAGGACTCTCAGCTCCATGCTCCTCCTGCTCCGACCTGCTGCTGTGGAAGTACATGCAGTTCTCACCTCTCCTAAAGATACGTTTCCAAATGACCAGACTTTGTGATTCCTGATATCCAGCTTTTCAACTGCTCTCCAGACTGCCGTGGGTGCTGTCCCTTCCAGCCACTGCGGGATTTCTCCTGGAGAGCTGACCTCTATCCCTGACGCTGGCCCTCTTCTCACCGCTTCCAGCAAGCTTCCTGTGGCTCCTGCCTTCGGTTTCCTCATCTGAAAAGGAGACAGTTCAGCCAAAGAGATGGTTCAGCAGGGTGTTCTTTCTCCCTCATTTGAACGCGATCAGCATGGGTGCCTTTCTGGTCCACTCAACACCTTTGATCTTGTACCACACAGTTCATCTGGGGGAACGTGTCTTCCTCTTCTCAGCCCTACAGACGAATGCCTCTTTGAAGGCAGGGACCAGGCCATCTCCATGTGGAGCACTCTGGAAGTTCTGGGTTCTGTGCCTGACACATAAAAAGTGTCCAGTGATGTCTATATTACTGAAAAATAAATACGTAAGATAGGAGGAATGATCCAGACTAAAAGAAACTGCCAAGATCTCACAGCTGAACACTCTAGGAGTCTGTGACGTTTTCTCCTAGATTCACTTATATTTGTTTGCTGAAGATGAAGAATTCTGATGAAGAGAAGGAAGGAAACAAGGACAGTGTGGAAAGCCAGGCGAGAAGCCATCAGCATTTTAGAGCTTGTATTAGGTCCTAACGTGATATGGGTGCTCTCTTAAGGGAACTAAAAGAAATGTTGAAGGGAATATTTCTTTTCTGTCTCCTGGAGGTGAGTATGGATGTAGTTATATAGATAGATGAGTACATTGGTCACTGCAAAAGGGAAAAAGCAAAATTGCCCCCTATTTCATTTCCACACAGTTCCTCCTGTCAACAGGTCTGGGTGTTGACGTAGGAACTGCAAGTTCCCACGTCCACCCCCGCCACACCCACAGCCTGCCCTGCATACACCACTGCTGGAGATGTAGCCAGGACAGCTTGCCCTGTCCCCTGACCCCACGGACCTTGTTAACACCGCTGCTCCCCTCGGTGATATTTACCTGTCCGTGGCTGTCCTGACCAATACTCCCAAGGAGACAGTGCATCACTGGGCCAACAGGGCAGAGCCCCAGGGGACCACTCCCTTTACGACATGGACGGACACTTTAGGAGTGACGGTTACCCTCTCCTTGGATGAGGAGGGGCTCCAAGGATGGACATGTCAGTCTCACCTGGAGGGAGAGGGGCAGTGGGTGGGGGCAACGCTCAGTGGCTGGTGGACAGGCAAGGGGTGAGTGAGCCCTGCCCAACTGACTCCATTGGCGGCCACTGGCCTTGCCTGGCATTCACGGAACAGGCGCTTCATAAACTTGTTGCTTCAATGTGAAATCACCTCAATTTTGTAAATGCGTCTGTAGCATCCACAGGACTCATCATCTAGAATTCAAACCCTTAAGGGTAAAGGCTGCGTCTTCTGTTTCCTCTGCGTCTTCTCGAAGCACTGTGTGTAAGGGCCAGAGCACAGAGGATGTTTCATACACGTGCCTTTGCCCTGAGACCGCAGCCCTGCCTCCCCGGTCCCACGCAGACCTCATGGAGTGGCCTCCACTTCGGGGCTTGGTACTGCTGTGTACGGAAGGGGCGGTTTCTATGGGAAACATGGACAAACAGTTCTATTTGGAATAAGCAACCACAGGGTGCCCACCCAGCCATCCTCCCAAAGATTTGTCAAGAAAAAAAAAGTAGAACGAGAATGGGCAAAAGCGTCCGACATACTTTACTCTTCTCTTGAGGCTTTATTTTTCCACTCCTGATTTAGAGATGACCACATTTGTTAGACAGCCCCCCCTTGTCCGCCCTTTCTCTGCAGGCCACCACCGTTCCCCCTACCCCATCCCAGCCAGCAGCTGGTCTTTCCTAATTGGTAATCTGTCTTAATAGCCACAGGTCCTCAGGCAGCTGTCGCCGGGAATACGAGCTGGCAGCATAGATCCACGTCACTAACTTAACTGGCTGGTCCTATTAGAGCTTAAGAAAGAATTAAGTTAATAATGATACTAATGAGACAGAACGTTGCATAGGAGAAAATAAGAGAAAGAAGGAGAGGAGTAGAAGGAGGAGAAGGGAGAAGAGGGCAAGGGGGGAGGGGAATTATTGCTATTAATTATTATTATTATTAATTATTCCTGGCACAGGTTTTGCAATCACAACCCAAGGTTGTGATAAAATCTTGCTCAAAATTCAAAAAGGATTTCAACTTTTCACTCTCAGTCTTATTCACTTTTCCATATGATGAGATTTCTAAGTAAGCCACCCGACTTCAGTCCTTGGTGCCCAATAGCTAGGGGCTCACGCCGCGTTCAGGGTGTGATGAGCGCCTGAGAACGGAGGTGGCTGCCCCCGCAACTCCTCCTGGAGTGAGGCCATCCCATCCCATCAGGGGAGGGAGCACCGGCCCCAAGTTCAGAGAAAGGCATCCCAAGCTCCTGACATTCTGCGGTCGGAAAATGGTGATGGATCCTGCTCATTTCTAATTATACCTTTCCCTTGGCAACGACAAAGATACGTGTGGAAGAAGCTGGTTCTCGGCTTGGGGGGGCCACTCATCCTCTTGCCAAATATAGAGAAGGAATGAGCCGCGGGGGTTACCAATGGCCTATAAAAGCCCCGGGGAGCAGCCAGCCCTCTGTGGCTCGCTTGTGGGCGGAGGTAAGTCACAGGCTCCTCTTCTAGGTCTCAGCTGCTTGGAGCACACCCACCCGGTGAGCACATCCACACCCCGTGCGTGGTTCCCTGGCCCTGCCTGGCTCTGCTGAGGTGGCGCCTCATGCCTTTCTGAGTTTTCTTAGGATAAGCAAGGTGTAGAGAGCGAGGTTCCCTGGGCCCAAACACCCAGCACCCTCTGGCTCCAGCACCTCCCCCAAGCAGGAGCCCTGCAGGTTCTCTCTCCTCCACACACTCTCCCCTGTCCTCCTCTCCAAGTGTCCTCTTGGGCAGGATCCTTTTGGATGCCCCGTGAGCCCAGCTGCCATGGCTTGACCTTCTCCCATTGCCTCTGTGACCCATGAAGGGTCAACAGGACTGGGGACCTCACTCTGCCCTCACCTTCCCCACCTGGGCTGTACATCTGCCAGGTGTCTTGTCCTCTCAAGACCACACTGGCTGTGGGCATTGCGTGTAAATTAATCTCAGAGATATTGCCTGTTCACAGACAAGGAGACCTGCCCCTGCCCTCGAACTGTTGACTTTAAGCAGGGATGCGGTCCCTGCTGTCCGATTCTAAATGGGAGTGAGGAAGACTGAAGAAGGTGCCAGTGCAGGCTGAGAGAAACCAGATTTCTGCACAGCTGAGGGTTTTTCCTCCCTGCCTGGCTTCCTGTGGGTCACGTCCCATCTGCTCTTCCATCTTCCAGCCTGCCTCTTTAAAGTATTAGTCTTTTTTTTTTTTTTTTTTTTTTTTGAGACAGAATTTTGCTCTTGTCGCCCAGGCTGGAGTGCAATGGCACAATCTCGGCTCACTGCAACCTCTGTCTCCCAGGTTCAAATGATTCTCCTGCCTAAGCCTCCAGAGTAGCTGGGATCACAGGCATCTGCCGCCACGCCCAGCAATTTTTTAAATTTATTTTTTATTTTTAGTAGAGAAGGGGTTTCACTATGTTGGCCAGACTGGTCTCAAACTCCTGACCTCAGGCCATCTTTCCGCCTCGGCTTCCCAAAGTGCTGGGATTACAGGCGTGAGCCATGGCGCCTGGCCCCTTTATCCTTTTTAGTTAACTCGTCAGAAGCCGATTCTACATGGACGCAGCCACCCCAAGTGCCGCTAAGTTGTGTATGTGCATATTCTTCCAGGTCTGGGATCTCCTGGCTGTTGCTGTCTTCTGCTCTCATCCTGCAGGTGGGACTCTCAGGTGAGAAGTTGGGCCCTGTCCCTCGGCTGTTGGAGATCTCCAGGCAATCCAAGCTTGCCAGTTCCTTTCTCCCTCCTCCCACCGGCCATAAGGGCACAGAGGGACAGGGGAACTAGCACATTTAGACAAGGACAGGTCGTGGCCGGGTGCAATGGCTCACACCTGTAATCCCAGCACTTTGAGAGGCCGAGGTGGGCAGATCATGAGGTCAGGAGTTCAAGACCAGCCTGACCAACATGGTGAAACCCCGTCTCTACTAAAAATAGAAAAATTAGCAGGACGTGGTGGCAAGTGCCTGTAATCCCAGCTACTCAAGAGACTGAGGCAGGAGTATCGCTTGAACCTGGGAGGCAGAAGTTGCAGTTAGTGGAGATCGTGCCACTGCACTCCAGTCTGTGACAGAGTGAGACTCCATCTCAAAAAAAAAAGGCAAGGACAGGTCAGGCGGGAGAGGAGGTGGCATTTGGGGGACTGTCAAACAGATGCTGATGTCAGATGCTTGATTTTGTTCTTAGCAACCCAAGGAAGCAAAAGGCAGGTTCCCGCATACGAGCGTGTAGCCACCTTGATTGAAATGGTTCAAAAATATCTTTGCTGTTTGCCATTAGCACACTCTCTTTGAAGATGGCGTTTATTTTTTAAGGGTGTTTATTTTTAAACGTTCCCTCAGCAACACCTGGTTGTCACAGAAGCGGAAAAGGCGGTCCCAAGAGTGGTGCTCACTTCCAAACCCCTTATCGCCAGTTCAAGCCTCAGATGCTTGAGGAGCTTGGGTTAAATAGGCTGTAAGACTGTCGCACAAGAAGCCCCTCAATAAATATGCACCCGTGTGATTTCCCAGCACTGAAGCCCTTTGGGTGGAGCTTCTCAAGGCATGAGGACAGCCTGGTTCCTGGGGCCCTGACTCTGAGGGCTCCTGCGGCTGAAGGAGGGCAGGGTGGAGGCTGAAACAGGCCTGGAGCTGCTGGGTGCCTGGCAAGGGGGCTGCTGAGCTCACCGGGTGGGTTTGCCTTCCAGCTGACACCATGAGTAGTGACACTGAAATGGAAGTGTTCGGCATAGCTGCTCCTTTCCTCCGGAAGTCAGAAAAGGAGAGGATCGAGGCTCAGAACCAGCCCTTTGATGCCAAGACGTATTGCTTCGTGGTGGACTCAAAGGAAGAATATGCCAAGGGGAAAATCAAGAGTTCTCAGGATGGGAAGGTCACTGTGGAAACTGAGGACAACAGGGTAAGGCTCTGTACCCTCCACAGGCTGCTGGCCCTCCACCTGGTCCTTGTGCTTGCCTGGGGTATGCATCTGCCCAACCCCAGCCACTTCCAGATGTGGTTCCAGCACTGGAATGCCGCATACAATGTAGCCTGGGGCTTCCCAGGTATCCTCAGAGAAAGCAGAGTGAATACTGGCCTCAGGTTCCAGGGTGGGAATAGAGTCTGGCTGTGGCTGATTAAAACAATTAGTTTTCAGGTATTTTTGTCCACGTTCACTGTAGGCCAGAGGGGCCCAGCTCCACGTGTCCCAAGGGTGTGGAGTTGGGAGTTCAACATGAATGAGCGCTGTTTCAGAACACTCTCCTTTGGTAGCCTAGATTTGTCCCAAATTATTCTATCAATGGCCATCTAACCAAGGAAGTAAGGAAAATGTGTTAGGGATCCTAGGGGACCACAAGCTCAGTGAAATAGCAGCCTCCTTGTATCATGAAGGGGATGAGCACTGCAGCCCATTACATTCTGGCCCAAGCCACTGTGGGGGTGCTGCGAGGAATTCTGGAGCTCACTAGTTTCTAAAATCCACATCAGGAGAATCTGGAAAAGTCCCAAGAAAAGTAAAAAGCAAAAAAAGGAAAAAAGAAAGAAAGAGTGAAAGAGAGATGGAGGGAAGGAAGGAAGGAAAGAAAGAAGGAAGAAAGAAAGCAAGGAAGGAAGGAAAGAAAGAAAGAGAAAGAAAGAAAGAAAATAAAAGAGACAAGTAAAGGAAATACTATCATTGGGTTGGGCATGAAGGAAAAAAGGCATTAAAAACCGCCCTGCACGTGAACCCGGGAGGTGGAGCTTGCAGTGAGCCTAGATCACGCCACTGCACTCCAGCCTGGGAGACAGAGCAAGACTCGGTCCCCCCAAAAAATAAGAACCGCCCTGCAGTGCTACCAAGCATTGGAGCTCCGAAAAGGTGGCTCTCTGTGTATTTCCAATAAGGAGCTAAGAATGGGCTGCTAACACGTCAGGGAAGGAGGAAGCTAGATACAGTGAATGATAATCTAAGATGAACCTAAGAGACCATCATAGACAGCCAGGGCCCATTGGCCGGGATGGTTTGAATGAATCCCTGCTTGAAGGCAGGGAAAAGGCAGGTTTCCCATCCACACTGCCCAGAGACAGAACCAGGAAAACTGACCATTTCAGAGGAGGTCACAGAGAAAAAGGAGGTGAGGACAGGGCAGGGAAGAGGAAGACAAGTTCCCCACCCCCTGTGCCTGAGGTCCTCCAGCTTCCCGAGGGTGTGGGGGTTTGTCCTGCTGAGAGAAGTGCAGGTGCTCAGAACCACTGCTCTGCCTCATGGTGCCGTTTGCCTGGCTTATAACACTCTGACCCCAGAAAGGGCAGGAAAGGGGTGGGGAGGGCAACTGAGGGGCCCTTTCCTGAGCATGCTGGGGCTGGGTGGTGAAGGGGGAAGAGGTGGGCCGGGGGCTGGACAGCTGCTTTCAGAGAGCTCAGAATGTTGGCAATCCATGGGCACCAGCCTGGCAATCCAATGCCCCTTCCTCATTCTCTTCGGTCCCTGCCTCACGACTGCAGGGGACATATGCGTCATTTTCTCTCAGTAGACAGGAAAGAGCCAGCTGCTGGAGCTGGATTTTGGTCCAGGCAGTGTTACTGACTGAGCTGAAAGGTTCCTGCTGGCCCCGTTCCCAGCCACCATCACCCATATCCACCCACACAGATCCTCTTTTCTCATTTCCGACATCCGTCTCTCACCTCAGGCCCAATGGGGAGGAAGAAGACACCCTGAATAACAGAAACAAACCCCATTTCATCAGCACCACCACAAGCCGCCCCATAGCCTTTCCTCCTCTCGCTGTGAGCTGGGCTTGTTCTAGGGTTTGGCCCTTCCATCTCGGCTCAAGAGTCTCTTGGTCTTTTGGTGGGGGCAGCAGACAAGACGTGCAGACAGGCCAGGCACGGTGCCTCACACCTGTAATCCCAGCACTTTGGGAGGCTGAGGCGGGTGGATCACGAGGTCAGGAGATCGAGACCATCCTGGCTAACACGGTGAAACCCCGTCTCTACTAAAAATAAAAAAAATTAGCCGGGTGTGGTGGCGGGCGCCTGTAATCCCAGCTACTTGGGAGGCTGAGGCAGAAGAATGGTGTGAACCCGGGAGGTGGAGCTTGCAGTGAGCCGAGATCGCATCACTGCACTCCAGCCTGGGCGACAAAGCAAGACTCCGTCTCAAAAAAAAAAAAAAAAAAAAAAAAAAAAAAGACGTGCAGACCATCTTAGTGAAGCACTGTGCCTCTTCCTTTTTAGACCCTGGTGGTCAAACCAGAGGATGTGTACGCCATGAACCCCCCCAAGTTCGACAGGATCGAAGACATGGCCATGCTGACGCACCTGAATGAGCCAGCCGTGCTGTACAACCTGAAGGACCGTTACACATCTTGGATGATCTATGTCAGCGAGGGCTTTCGACGTGGTTTCCCTGGGGCATTAGATATGCGGGCAGGGGAGGGAGGCAGAGGTATGTGTGTGGGCCGTGGGATTCTGGAAGATGAGTGCTTGCCTAGCTGATGAACAAAACACAAAGACGGAGGAGAAAGAAGGCAAGAAAGCAAGAGGTGGATGGGGCAGGAAGAAGGAAGGTGGGAAGGAGGACCAGGAGCCGGAGAGCGGGGAAGCTGGGGCCAGGCTTGGTCACGGGGTGCTGTGACTTACCAACTGTGGGAGGGTCGCCACTCCCCTTTTTGAGTCTCAGTGCCTCACTATAAATAGGAATGGTAGCCTCCCCCCTTTATAAGTTTATCCCAAAGAAACATGAGATAATAATAAAGGCAGCTGGGTGTGGTGGCTCACGCCCGTAATCCCAGCACTTTGGGAGGGTAAGGCGGGTGGATCATGAGGTCAAGAGATCGAGACCATTCTGGCCAACATGGTGAAGCCCCATCTCTACTAAAATACAAAAATTAGCCGGGCGTGATGGCATGTACCTGTAGTCCCAGCTACTCGGGAGGCTGAGGCAGGAGAATTGCTTGAACCCGGGAGGTGGAGGTTGCAGTGAGCCAAGATCGTGCCACTGCACTCCAGCCTGGTGACAGAGTGAGACTCCGTCTCAAAAAAAAAAAAAAACAATAATAATAATAAAGGCAAGGGGTTTTCCATATGCACATACATACATATACGCACGTATATGTTTTTCCTCCCACAGACCTACTCAGGCCTCTTCTGTGTCACTGTCAACCCCTACAAGTGGCTGCCGGTGTACAACCCCGAGGTGGTGGAAGGCTACCGAGGCAAAAAGCGCCAGGAGGCCCCACCCCACATCTTCTCCATCTCTGACAACGCCTATCAGTTCATGCTGACTGGTGAGTTTCCCAGGAGGAAGCATGGGATGCTGGAGCAGGCACTGCATGAGGCGAGCGGCAGTTGCCCCTTACTCCCAGGCTGGACCCCATCTGGTGTTTAGCACAGGGAAAGGAGGAAGAAGGAGCCAAAAGAGGCAGAAAGGGGCTGCATCATGTAGGGCCCCGCATGCCAAGGTGACGAGTTTTGGATTTAATGCAAGTTAGAATATGCAAAACGGATATGGATGTTTTCATGGATCAAAACCAAAAACTGATCATTTTATATAGTTCAGCCTAATACAGCAAGAACGATGAGAAGCCACTGGCTGGTTTTTTTTTTTTTTTTTTGAGATGGAGTCTTGCTATGTTGCCCAGGCTGGAGTGCAGTGGTGTGATCTCGGCTCACCACAACCTCTGCCTCCCGGGTTCAAGCGATTCTCCTGCCTCAGCCTCCCGAGTAGCTGCGACTACAGGTATGCACCACCATGTCCGGCTATTTTTATATTTTTAATAGAGACAGGGGTCACTTTGTTGGCCAGGCTGGTCTCAAACTCCTGACCTCGTGATCTGCCTGCCACAGCCTCCCAAAGTGCTGGGATTACAGGCATGAGCCACTGCACCCGGCTGCCACTGGCTGATTCTGAGTGGAGACTTGCCCTCTCTGAGTCTCAGTCTCAAGAAGGAGGCTTTCGATATTGACCAAAGGATACAGCTGGAAAGGAGAAATCGGTGCTGGTGATCTGTCCCATAGAATGGTGACTCCGATAAGTAATAATGCATTGTATATTTCAAAATCCCTAAAATAGTATATTTTAAATGTTTTCTCCACAAAAAAATAAGTATGTGAGGTGACGGATTTGTTAATTAGCTTGATTTAATCATTCTGCCATATAAACATATATCAAATCATCATGTTGTACCCTACAAATATATACAAATATTGTTTGTCAATTAAAAATAAAATAAAATAAAAAGCAGATGGAGGCTCTTCAGATTCCCACCTAAAGGCTAAACAAAAAATGTAAAGGAAGAGGAATTGTGCAATTTAACTCTGGCTACTTGAGAGTTGGGTAGAATCGGGAAGCTCTTTTTCTATTGCCATCAACTCTATTTTATTTTTTCCTCTGGCAGATCGTGAAAACCAGTCCATTCTGATCACGTAAGTATCCATGGCATAGAGTGGTTTCATAGCTGTGCCACTGGCTCTATTCTGTTCATTAGAAAGTGTTTGGAGCAGAGTCTATAATAAAAAGATCAGGCTGGGCGCGGTGGCTGACACCTGTAATCCCAGCACTTTGGTAGGCTGAGATGGGCGGATCACGAGGTCCAGGAGATCGAGACCATCCTGGCTAACACGGTGAAACCCTGCCTCTACTAAAAAAAATACAAAAAAATTAGCTGGGTGTGGTGGCGGGCACCTGTAGTCACAGCTACTCAGGAGGCTGAGGCAGGAGAATGGCGTGAACCCAGGAGCCGGAGCTTGCAGTGAGCCGAGATCGCGCCACTGCACTCCAGCCTGGGCAGCAGAGTGAGATTCTGTCTCAAAAAATAAAAAATAAAAGAGAAAAATAAATAAATAAAAAATAAAAAGATCGATTTGGGGATGGGGAGGAAGGTCTGCATAAGGCCTCAGAAAAATGGAATTACCCATCCTTGGGTCAGCTGAGCAAGTGCCTGTGGCACCTGTGCCCTGGGCGTCTGCCTTCTCAAGTGGTCTGTCACATTAGTGTGGTGAGTGTGTGTCAGAGATGGCTCAGACCATGCCCAGGCCTCAGTATGACATCCTGAAAAGCCTGTTTATACTAACAGACTTGTTTCTTTCTCTCTCTTTTGATCACTCTGTACAGCGGAGAATCCGGGGCAGGAAAGACTGTGAACACCAAACGGGTCATCCAGTACTTTGCAACAATTGCAGCTACTGGGGACCTGGCCAAGAAGAAGGACTCCAAAATGAAGGTATAGATGGGAGAGGAAGGCTTGCTTTGCTTCCACTTTTAACTGTGGTCTTAACCTCAGAATGAGGGGGCCAAATGTCCTCACATTCCCCCCTCTTCAGAGAATGGAGAACAGGCTAGGATTTACTATCTTGAAGGACAGCCAGTCACCTTAGACAACGCAGTGTCAAGTTGGTCTTGTAGGACTAGATCCCGGGATTTCTTAGAAGACAAGGCTCTAGGGCTAAACTTCAGAGGTCAATCTGCAGACGGCTCAGAGAGCTTGTTCTTTTGTGGAAGAATCACATATACCAATGTGAGTGACTCACAGCATATCCTGGGCTTTTGAAACAAATGTATTACAGCAGCATGAAATGAATACGGACAACTGACTGGAGAATCAAGGGATTGAAGTGTTAAAGGAATGCTCAGTCAAGAGATCCCCAACTGTAGTGCCAAATATAACAAAATGGCAAAAGTGTTTTGAGTAAGACATGCTGCTGATTTGGTTGGTCCTAGGATTGGAAAGTCAAGGAGGGTGGGGCTTTATCAGGGCAAGCCAGAGTCACAGAGTGGGTGAGCATTTTTTACTGTCATTCTGTGGCTTAAAAACATGTTTCCTCAGGCTGGGCTCGGTGGCTCACGCCTGTAATCCCAGCACTTTGGGAGGCCGAGGCGGGTGGATCACCTGAGGTTAGGAGTTCGAGACCAACCTGACCAATATGGAGAAACCCCATCTCTACTAAAAATACAAAATTAGCCGGGCATGGTAGTGCATGCCTGTAGTCCCAGGTACTCGGGAGGCTGAGGCAGGAGAATCACATGAACCCGGGAGGTGGAGGTTGCAGTAAGCCAAGATCGTGCCATTGCACTGCAGCCTGGGCAACAAGAGTGTAACTCCATCTCAAAAAAAAATGTTTCCTCTTCTTCCCTCAATTTCTTGCATTAGGGGACTCTGGAAGATCAAATCATCAGTGCCAATCCCCTGCTGGAGGCCTTTGGGAACGCCAAGACTGTGAGGAATGACAACTCCTCCCGTTTTGTGAGTCTGAGTTTGGTTAAGATGGAATTTGCTTTGTGCCTCACAAAATAGGCAAGAGCCCTGTCCTCAAAGAGTGTAGAGACCAGAGGCAACAGATGATGAAAAACAAAACAACCCAACAAGACCATTTCAGATAAAGATAAATTCAGACCAAGTTCAATGAACAGCGTGTGTAAGAGAGGAACTGGGGGCCAGGCTTGCTTTAGGCAGGGTGGGCAGGGAAGACCTCTCTGTGGGGCTGGCACGGGAGCTGAGAGCCGCAGTATGAGAAAGAGCCCAACTTGAAATGACAGGAAGGAGGGGGAACGAAGGAAGGGCCAGGGCAGTCCCTGACATGGGGGAGGGCCTGGTGCAGTCAGGGCACCTACAGAGGGTCTGTGTGGTTGTAGGGAGGAGGGCAGGGGGGCCAGTTCCATGAGATGAGGTGGAAGAGAGAGAGACCTGGTCATGTGGGAGCCACAGGCCATGAGAAGGAGTTTGGATTCCTTTTGAAGTGTAACAGGAAGCTACTGAGGGATTCTATAAGCCAGGGAGTGATATGGTTTGATTTACACCTTGAAACAATCACTGTAGTTGCTTTGTTGACTAGATACGTTGAAGTGGGGGATGAGCATAGAATAAAAGGGATAAATAAAAGGAAATAAGGAAAACCCCAAACTGGAAGAAGAAGAAGGGAGAAGAGGAAGGACATATCTAATTTCAAACTGTAGGGGGTGCTGGGCACGGTGGCTCACGCCTGTAATCCCAGCACTTTGGGAGGCCGAGGCGGGCGGATCACGAGGTCAAGAGATCGAGACCATCCTGGCCAACATGGTGAAACCCCGTCTCTATTAAAAATACAGAAATTAGCCAGGTGTGGTGGCACGTGATTGTAGTCCCAGCTACTCAGGAGGCTGAGGCAGGAGAATCACTTGAACCCGGGAGGCAGAGGTTGCAGTGAGCCGAGATCACGCCACTGCACTCCAGCCTGGTGACAGAGCGAGACTCCGTCTCAAAAACATAACAAAACAAAACAAAACAAAACAAAAATTTTAGGGGGACTAGGCTCCTACTCAAATTACCCATAAGATGAATAGGAACTATTGGGCCATGGTAGAATCTGGTCTCCCCCTGAATCCCGCCCCATACAGGGCAAGTTCATCCGAATCCATTTTGGAACCACTGGGAAGCTGGCCTCTGCAGATATTGAAACTTGTAAGTAGATCCATGGGGATTCGATGGCGTCTCAGAGTTAACTGGGAACAGTTTGAAAGAGAGTCCTGTGTTTGTGTTCCAGATCTTCTGGAAAAATCAAGAGTCACTTTCCAGCTGAAGGCTGAAAGAAGCTACCACATCTTCTACCAGATTCTTTCTAACAAGAAGCCTGAGCTCATAGGTGAGGAAGTCACCAGTGGGGCTGGTCTTTTAGGTAGTTTGACTCTGATCACTAGACCAAGGAGAGTTGTATCTACGTAGAGTGACTCTACAGTCAACAGGGAAAGTTTATTTTATTTTATTTATTTATTTTGAGATAGGGTCTCACTCTGATGCCCAGGCTGGGGTGCAGTGGCACAAGCACAGCTCACTTGTAGTCTTGACCTTTCTGGGTTCAAGTAATCCTCCAGCCCCAGCCTCCCGAGTGGCTGCGACTACAGGTGCATGCCCCCACACCAGGCTACCTTTTGTGTTTTTTGTAGAGATGAGGTTTCACCATGTTGCCCAGGTTGGTCTTGAACTCCTGGGCTCAAGCAATTTGCCCGACTCGGCCTCCCACAGTGCTGGGATTATAGGTGTGAGCCACTGCACTTTGCCAGGAAAAGCTTATTTTAGAAATGGGATGTGGCTATCTGGGCAGTGACATGCCAATTTGAAAACCTAATCAAATGGAGGGCAACAAGATTAGACCACTCCTGACCAGCTCTGGTTTATAAAAACCTTCTGAGCAACTGAACACCTAACTGTCCTTTGGCGCCCCCTTGTGTTCTGGCACAGAAACAACCTATGGCCAAATGCGACGCCAAAGCAAACAGAATAATCAAGCCCACGGAGGCACTGCACACTGCCCCTTGTCTGCCCCTCACAGAGGTCTCCATGCACACTGCTTCTTTGCTCTTTGGCTGTATTTGCTCAGCCTTCTGGTCTCCAGCTTGGAAACAGGCTGCTGCTTTTCAACAGATTTTAGAAAAGGCTATGATTATACCAAACCACCTGGGTTGGCTCTCGTCCTGACCCGCACTCAGCCAGTTTTCCCTATTAACTTCTCCCAGCCGACACTGATATGCACCATTAGCGTGCAAGGCAAGGGAATTTAAAGGTTCTCTCTAGGGTCCTTCATCTCCATTGTGTGGGAGACTGAAAAGTCTTCCCTGGACTATATTTTCCATGACAGCCTGAGTATTGTGGAACTGTCTAAAAGATTTTTAATTCTAAGTTCAATTTAGGATCCAGCGGTAAAAGTTCCAGCCCAGGGTGCAGGAGCTCAAGTCCACTGGGTGGGTTTTTTCTTTGCATCTGCATAACCTCCTGGAACTATTTGTCATTTCAGAGCTGCTGCTTATTACGACCAACCCTTACGACTACCCGTTCATTAGCCAGGGGGAGATCCTGGTGGCCAGCATAGATGATGCAGAGGAGCTGCTGGCTACAGACGTAAGTGGAACCAACAGAAGGGGTGGGTGTTCCTCCTCCATCACTGGGGCCAACTGACTGACGTGCTGCCCTTTCCATGCCAGAGCGCCATTGACATCCTGGGCTTCACCCCAGAAGAGAAATCTGGGCTCTACAAGCTGACGGGAGCCGTGATGCACTACGGGAACATGAAGTTCAAGCAGAAGCAGCGAGAGGAGCAGGCCGAGCCGGATGGCACAGAAGGTACAAAATCAGTGTGACAGCAAACCAGAGCGGGTGGCTGATCTGCTGAGGTCACTTGGTACTGCTTTTGAAAGCAATTAATCCAGCCAGGCACAGTGGCTCACACCTGTAATCCCAGCACTTTGGGAGGCTGAGGGGGCCAGATCACCTGAGGTCAGGAGTTCGAGACCAGCATGGCCAACATGGTGAAACCCCATCTCTACTAAAAAAAATTAGCTGGGCATGGTGGAGCATGCCTATAATCCCAGCTACTCAGGAGGCTGAGGCACGAGAGTCAGACAGAGTTTTGCTCTGTCATCCAGGCTAGAGTGCAGTGGCATGATCTCAGCTCACTGCAACCTCTGCTGCCTGGGTTCAAGTGATTCTCCTGCCTCAGCCTCCCGAGTAGCTGGGATTACAGGCACACACCACCGCGCCTGGCTAACTTTTTTGTATTTTTAGTAGAAACGGGGTTTCACCATGTTGGCCAGGCTCAAACTCCTGACCTCAAATGATTCGCCTGCCTTGGCATCCCAAAGTGCTGTGATTACGGGTGTGAGCCACTGTGCCCTGCCGGCATGAGAGTTTCTTGAACCCAGGAGGCAGAGGTTGCAGTGCACTGAGATCGTGCCACTGCACTCCAGCCTGGGCAACACAGTAAGACTGTCTCAAAAAAAAAAAAATGGATGGAAGCGATTAATCCTTCCATCTGGAGAAGTGAATGACCCTTTCTGGGCCTCCGATGCCCATAGCTATTGTTACCACTCGCTTTTCCTGAATCACTCGAATAGTCTTGTTTCAGATGCAGTGAGGGATGACCAGGGCTTTCTGAGACCCAGCCCTGGCTTTTCATAAAGTCCATTATATTCTCTGAGTGACTTAGCTTCCATTGGCCATGTATATGCAGTTTAGCCACAGGGAATGCACAATGTACCAAGATGAACTTAACCAACCTTTGAAACTTCTGGATGATTTTCAAAGCAGCTCTTCTACTTTTCTAAGCACTGTCCTTGTTTTCTTGCCAGTGGCTGACAAAACAGCCTATCTGATGGGCCTGAACTCTTCGGACCTCCTAAAAGCTTTGTGCTTTCCTAGAGTGAAAGTTGGGAATGAGTACGTTACCAAAGGTCAAACTGTGGATCAGGTAACAGCTTCAAGGCCGGGAAAGGGTGCAGGACCCTGCTGGCCACTTCCTTCATATCCAGTAGCTGATCTTTCCCCTGATAGGTTCACCATGCTGTGAATGCTCTTTCAAAATCAGTTTATGAAAAGTTGTTCTTGTGGATGGTCACTCGCATTAACCAGCAACTGGATACGAAGCTTCCAAGACAACACTTCATTGGTGTTTTGGACATTGCAGGCTTTGAAATCTTTGAGGTTTGTGTTACTTATATTCATATTTTCATATGGCTTCATATGAGGGAAATTGGTTTCATGATCCTAAAGGGAAGATAGCAAGATGGCGGCTGTCTTAGTTTCCTGTAAGAAACTAGATGGAGAGTGGATGGAATAGAGGAGCGGTACTTATTGGAAGGGTTTGTATTAGGGTTTTTTGTTTGTTTTTTTTTTTTGAGACTGAGTTTCACCCTGTCACTCAGGCCAGAATGCAGTGGCGCCATCTCGGCTCACTGCAACCTCTTCCTGAGTTCAAGTGAACCTCCTGCCTCAGCCTCCTGAATAGCTGGGATTACAGGCGTGTGCCACCATGCCTGGCTAATTTTTGTATTTTTAGTAGAGATGGGGTTTCACCATGTTGGCTAGGCTGGTCTCGAACTCCTGACCTCAAGTGATCCATCCGCCTCGGCCTCCGAAAGTGTTGGGATTACAGGCATGAGCCACCGCACCTGGCTGGGTTTGTATTATTTTAAAAGAGGAGAAGATGTCTATCAAGTGGAATTTTAAAGGACATTTTCAAATGGATAAAAGAAAAAAAATTAAATGCAATCACTGATTTAGGGACTGCCATCAAATAGATACAGAGAATTTGATAAGTTAATCACGCACTATTTTCTATAAATATCCCACTGGTTCTGTGTTAGACCGTGCATAGCCGCGGCTGGGCATGGTGCCTCATGCCTGTAATCCCAGCACTTTGGGAGGCTGAGGCAGGCAGATCGCAAGGTCAAGAGATCAAGACCATCCTGGCCAACATGGTGAAACCCCGTCTCTACTAAAAATACAAAAATTAGATGGGTGTGGTGGCGTGCGCCTGTAGTTCCAGCCACTCTGGAGGCTGAGGCAGGAGAATCATTTGAACCTGGGAGGCGGAGGTTGCAGTGAGCCGAGATGGTGCCATTGCACTCCAGCCTGGTGACAGAGCAAGACTCCGTCTCAAAAAAAAAAGAAAAAAAAAAGTGCATAGCCACTCATCAAAGTGTATATTTAGGTTTCCCAGGTACAAGACATACAGGTGAAAAAAACAGATGAGCTTGTAGTCTAGTAGAGAAGAAATAGAAGTCTATATGGCACATTGAAGAGTAACTACAAAATAAAGTACACAAGAGATGCCCAGACCTTGGGAACTCAGGAAAGGGAGAAACACCTTCTAATTGGAAGTTTACAGAAGACGCCAAGGAGGAGATGCGGTCTGAGGCAGGCCTTGAAGATTGTGATTGTATTTGAAAGCATTAATGTGTTTGACAGGAACCTGGGGCAATGAGGAGGAATGTTGACAGTCTTTGATTCTGAAAGAAGTCTAACTTTTCACATGAATGTTGTATTTTTTTATTAGTATAACAGCCTGGAGCAGCTGTGCATCAACTTCACCAATGAGAAACTGCAACAGTTTTTCAACCACCACATGTTCGTGCTGGAGCAGGAGGAGTACAAGAAGGAAGGCATCGAGTGGACGTTCATTGACTTCGGGATGGACCTGGCTGCCTGCATCGAGCTCATCGAGAAGGTATCCAGTTCCATCCCCACCGTAAGCTCTTCTCATAGACTCTTCTGCTCATTACTGCAGCTCATATTTACCTCTCTGCACTTTGCCTTGCCTTCAATCCAGCCTATGGGCATCTTCTCCATCCTGGAAGAGGAGTGCATGTTCCCCAAGGCAACAGACACCTCCTTCAAGAACAAGCTGTATGACCAGCATCTTGGAAAGTCCAACAACTTCCAGAAGCCCAAGGTGGTCAAAGGCAGGGCCGAGGCTCACTTCTCACTGATCCACTATGCGGGCACCGTGGACTACAGTGTCTCAGGTTGGCTGGAGAAGAACAAGGACCCTCTGAACGAGACTGTGGTTGGGCTGTACCAGAAGTCTTCCAACAGGCTCCTGGCACACCTCTATGCCACGTTTGCCACGGCGGATGGTAAGAGGAGTGCTTTGTGTCCATGTGATTTCCCTCCATTTGTTCCACAGTAACAAAAAACCTTTTAGATTCACCTACAGCACGTGCCCTCCCTTATTGCTTTCAGCTGACAGTGGAAAGAAGAAAGTTGCCAAGAAGAAGGGTTCTTCCTTCCAAACTGTCTCTGCCCTTTTCAGGGTAAGAAAAATACAAGTTTATTTGCTTATAATTGATTTAAGTGACATCTAAATGAGCAATGCTGAGATTCTAAGCTTGATTTATTTGAGAGTAGTAGTGTTGTCTTAATCTGATTACTGTCACTGAGGTGAAGTGACAGATGATAAAATATAATAAATACGGTCTAACCAATGTGCGATGAGAGTATCACTATTATCTTATACCAAAGATAGCTGAGTTGGCTTGTCCGAGTTTCCAGCATAAACTCTCCAATTTTCCTAAAGGACACCAGCAATAGACCTCACGCTCCCAGTGGATCCATCACCTGAGTTGATTTTAGAAAGCATTTTGTACTTGGCGAGCCTCTGGCTCACTGGGAGACAAAAGACAATTGTATCAGTTACTAGCCTACACCTCCAGCCATAGGACCATTGAAAGCCTGAGTTAGGCCGGGCACAGTGGCTCACTCCTGTAATCCCAGCACTTTGGGAGGCCGAGGTGGGCAGATCACAAGGTCAGAAGATCGAGACCATCCTGGCTAACACAGTAAAACCCCGTCTCCATTAAACATATGAAAAATTAGCCAGGTGTGGTGGCATATGCCTGTAGTCCCAGCTACTCAGGAGGCTGAGGCAGGAGAATTGCTTGAACCTAGGAGGAGGAGGTTGCAGTGAGCCAAGATTGAGCCACTGCATTCCAGCATGGGTGACAGAGCGAGACTCCGTCTCAAAAAAAAAAAAAAAAAAAAAAAAGACAGAGTTAAATCATTTCACTATACTTTAGAACTTATGATAAATTTTAAACATAGATCTTATTTCATTACAATGGATCTCTGTCTTCATAAAAACCTACAGTAGGATGGCAAATGTCATTTTTTTTTTCTCTTAGGAAAACCTGAACAAGCTGATGTCAAATTTAAGAACTACTCACCCTCATTTTGTGCGTTGTATAATTCCCAATGAAACCAAAACTCCAGGTGAGACACCTGCTGGCTCGCTAGGTGGTGCTCAGTTTTTAAGAAATTCTGTGTAAGGCTGATATCTCGCTTCTGTTCCCAGGGGCTATGGAACACAGCCTTGTTCTGCACCAGCTGCGGTGTAACGGTGTCCTGGAGGGCATCCGCATCTGCAGGAAAGGGTTCCCAAACAGGATTCTCTATGGCGATTTTAAACAAAGGTGTGTAATAAACATGTTCTATATGCTTGGGGATGAGATGTACGAACACTGGAATTTGAGAGGGAGAAAGATTCGTATGAAAAGACCTATTTCGAAAGAACAGATATGGACCTCCATGTAAACTGAACAATCTACCATTTGGCCAAGTTATATATATTTGTTTCTTCCATGTTTTTCTCTGGAATTTATCTGATATACAAAATGGCAGGAAAAGCTCTGACTGAAGAGTCAAGAGATCTAGATTCTAGACTGCTCTCTAGCAATGTGACTCCGAGCTAGTTCCCTCATCTCCTGGGACCTTGGCCTTCTGCCTATAGGAAGAGAGGCCTGAACTACATGTTCTCCAAGGTTTGTGTCTTTGCCAACAGTCTGTGATGATTTCCATGTCTACAATGCAGATACCGAGTGCTGAATGCCAGTGCAATCCCTGAGGGACAATTCATTGACAGCAAGAAAGCCTGTGAAAAGCTTCTGGCATCCATTGATATTGACCACACTCAGTACAAATTTGGACATACCAAGGTAATGCATCAGTTCTGACAGATGCTGGCCTTTTCGTCCTCTTGACACAGCTTCTCTAGGAAACTGACTCATGTCACCCTTCTGCCCCATAAGGTGTTCTTCAAGGCTGGCTTGCTGGGAACCCTGGAAGAGATGCGGGATGACCGCCTGGCCAAACTAATCACCCGGACACAAGCTGTGTGCAGAGGGTTCCTCATGCGTGTGGAATTCCAGAAGATGGTGCAGAGGAGGTCCAGCAGGGTCTTTGTTCAGACATGAGCTCTTTGGGGAAGGGGAGTCTCTCTCAGAAATAAGCAATGTCTTGTTTTTAGGGAGTCCATCTTCTGCATCCAGTACAACATTCGCTCATTCATGAACGTCAAGCACTGGCCCTGGATGAAACTCTTCTTCAAGATCAAGCCCCTCCTCAAGAGTGCAGAGACTGAGAAAGAGATGGCCACCATGAAGGAAGAATTCCAGAAAACCAAAGATGAACTCGCCAAGTCGGAGGCAAAAAGGAAGGAGCTAGAGGAAAAACTGGTGACTCTGGTCCAAGAGAAGAATGACCTGCAGCTCCAAGTACAAGCTGTACGTGTTTAGCAATCTTTTTTTTTTTTTTAACTCTTCTAGATTTGATTATTTATTTAGAAAAATTGAGTTATTGGTGGGGATTTTTGCTTTTTAGTTGAAATGCTTCATAAAGAACTTCATATATAGTGAAATACTGGAATGTCGCAAACCTTATATCATTCAACGAAGTTATTATTCTTTTTTTTTTAAGGAAAGCGAAAATTTGTTGGATGCTGAGGAAAGATGCGATCAGCTGATCAAAGCCAAATTCCAGCTCGAGGCCAAGATCAAGGAGGTGACAGAGAGAGCTGAAGATGAGGAGGAGATCAATGCTGAGCTGACGGCCAAGAAGAGGAAACTGGAGGATGAATGCTCAGAGCTCAAGAAAGACATTGATGACCTTGAGTTGACCCTGGCCAAGGTTGAGAAGGAGAAGCATGCCACAGAGAACAAGGTATTCTTATTGTAGGTGTGTCTAGCTTGATATAGTCATTGCAAACTAAACTTTAAGCTTATAATTGCTTGCGAATTCTTCTTAGGTTAAAAACCTTACTGAGGAACTCTCTGGGTTAGATGAAACAATTGCAAAGTTAACCAGAGAGAAGAAGGCCCTCCAAGAGGCGCACCAGCAGGCCTTGGATGACCTCCAAGCTGAAGAAGACAAAGTCAATTCTTTGAACAAAACCAAGAGCAAACTGGAACAGCAAGTGGAAGACGTAAGTAAATAATGCTCATCGGGAGTCCCAGAACTCCAGGGTTGGAAGAGCCCTCAAGGGTCCTCTTGCAAAGCATTTGTTCCCAAAAGGAAATGGTGCCTTTTTCAGCTGGAAAGCTCCCTAGAACAAGAAAAGAAGCTCCGAGTAGACCTGGAAAGGAACAAAAGGAAATTGGAAGGAGACTTGAAGCTTGCTCAAGAGTCCATATTAGATCTGGAGAATGACAAGCAACAGCTGGACGAAAGGCTCAAGAAGTATGCCCTTCAACCACTGGCTTCCATTTTGCAAGTTACTGTGTATTTTGTCTTCATGCATTCTACATTTCTCTTCACAGGAAAGATTTTGAATATTGTCAACTTCAAAGCAAAGTGGAAGATGAGCAGACACTGGGCCTCCAGTTTCAGAAGAAAATCAAAGAGTTGCAGGTAGGAGCCCTCTGCATTTCTCTCTTCCATGTGAGGCCACTTACAGTGAGCTGGGTGCTGTCTGCTATAAGCCATTTAGAGAAAGTGGGCAAGACTGTGGGGCCACCTGCCTCATGGTTCCCTTTCTGCTAGGCTGGCCTGGCCATGATGAACCATTTCCCCAAAACATCTGATTAAATACTTTAATCCATAATTAAAGTATTTAAGTTAACAACTAAAAGTTAACATTTAGTTGGTGGAAAATGTTCAGGTTTGGTCACTGCAGGAGTAATTACCATGTTGGGGCAGAAAAAATTCCTGTGAAAGGAAATTTGCAGTATTCATTGGAGGGGAGTCTAAGACTCAGTTTGTCTAATGGGAAGGGAAACCAGCCTGTTCTTGGCAATCAGAGTCCCCGCGGTGAACCCACTGCCCACGGGGTGAACGGCTGCCCTCCACAGGCTCGAATTGAGGAGCTGGAAGAGGAGATAGAGGCGGAGAGGGCCACCCGCGCGAAGACAGAGAAACAGCGCAGCGACTATGCCCGGGAGCTGGAGGAGCTGAGCGAGCGGCTGGAGGAGGCGGGAGGCGTCACCTCCACGCAGATAGAGCTCAACAAGAAGCGGGAGGCGGAGTTCCTGAAGCTGCGCAGGGACCTGGAGGAGGCCACACTGCAGCACGAAGCCATGGTGGCCGCGCTGAGGAAGAAGCATGCGGATAGTGTGGCCGAGCTTGGGGAGCAGATTGACAACCTGCAGCGGGTCAAGCAGAAGCTGGAGAAGGAGAAGAGCGAGTTCAAGCTGGAGATCGATGACCTCTCCAGCAGCATGGAGAGTGTGTCGAAATCTAAGGTGCTGCGCGGGGTGGGGGTGGCTCAAGGCTTTCCATCAGACACACTCCGTGGTCATTGAAACCTGACTTTGCTGACTGACTTTGCTCCCCTTTCTGAATCCTTCAGGCAAATCTGGAAAAAATCTGCCGAACCCTGGAGGATCAGTTAAGTGAGGCCAGGGGCAAGAATGAGGAAATTCAGAGGAGCCTGAGCGAGCTGACCACACAGAAGTCTCGTTTGCAGACCGAGGCTGGTAAGCCACGTGCAGAAAACCCGTGGGGCCAAAACCTCCTGGCACCCAATGGGCGTAGCTGGCCAAAACCAAGGGCAGGGTGTGTTTGAGGGAGAATCTCTAGGGAAGCATCTTTTCAGGAGAGAAGAAATTGAAATAACTCATAGAAAGAGCCATTTGAAATAGCCTGAAGGGAGAGAACATTGAGAGTTCAGTAAGAATAAGAGAGAAAGAGGAGTAGACCAGAATGAGAAGGGGCTCAAAATATCATCTCATTCAAACTCTTTCAAAATTAATATAAACTTGCATCAGACAGACTCTGATGGGCAGAAATGAGACTAGAAACTAAGAGCCAGGGCCTTGATACTTCTTAACTCAGATATTCATTGTCTGCGTCCAAGTTTTTGAGACTAAAGAGAGAAACATGGCCAGTGTTTAAAGGTCCTGGTGTATAATAAAAACATAAGGGAGGCCGGGTGTGGTAGCTCATGCCTGTCAACCCAGCACTTTGGGAGGCCGAGGCGGGCGGATCACCTGAGGTCAGGAGTTCAAGACCAGCCTGGCCGACATGGTGAAACCCCGTCTCTATTAAAAATACAAAAATTAGCGAGGCATGGTGGTGGGTGCCTGTAATCCCAGCTACTTGGGAGGCTGAGGCAGGAGAATCGCTTGAACCCAGGAGGCGGAGGTTGCAGTGAGCCGAGATTATGCCATTGCACTCCAGCCTGGGCAACAAGAATGAAACTCTGTCTCAAAAAAAAAAAAAGTTTAAGGGAATGTTATTTGGAGTTTTCGCCTAGAAAATGTGGCTTCACCCAGCCCTGGTGCATCCTCACAGGTGAATCCATCCTCGGCTGGCAGTCACAGCCAAGACAATGAAGAAAAGAAGTTTGGTAGCCACATTTTTTTTTTTTTAGACAGAGTCTCACTCTCTGTCACCCAGGCTGGAGTGCAATTGTGTGATCTCGGCTCACTGCAAACTCCGCCTCCCGGGTTCAAGCGATTCTCTTGCCTCAGCCTCCTGAGTAGCTGGGACTACAGACGCATGCCAACACACACGGCTAATTTTTGTATTTTTAGTAGAGACAGGGTTTCACTGTGTTGGCCAGGCTGGTCTTGAACTCCTGACCTCGTGATCCGCCTGCGTCGGCCTCCCAAAGTGCTGGGATTACAGGCGTGAGCCACCGCACCCGGCCTATGGTGGCCACTTTTACCATGTTGGGGGATTCACGTCTGGAGCCATAAAGCCCCATTCTATGTTTTTCTCTTACCTCTATGTAAGCATATAAACTTGAACTTACCCTATTCCCCCAAGAGTCTAACTAGAGATATAAAGCTCTAAGTATTTCCCTATGTATTTGTCGATAACAAATCAATAAACAGCTGGAAACACCTGCCACTGGGGAGGTCTGATGGGAGTTATTAGGTGCTCCTGGTAACGTTTACATTTACAGTTCTTCTCAATGGATTTTTTTTTTGACAGACATCAGTCCCACCTTCCAGTAGTTTACAACAATATCTTTTTTTTTTTTTTTTTTTTTGAGATTGAGGCATGATCTTGGCTCACTGCAACCTCCACCTCCTGGGTTCCAGTGATTCTCCTGCCTCAGCCTCCCAAGTAGCTGGGACTACAGGTGCCCATGACCACGCCCGGCTAATTTTTGTTTTTAGTAGAGATGGGGTTTCACCATATTGGCCAGGCTGGTCTCAAACTCCTGACCTTGTGATCTGCCTGCCTCAGCCTCCCAAAGTGCTGGGATTACAGGCGTGAGCCACTGCACCTGGCCTACAACAATACCTTATCAGTTCTGCTTTCAGTTTCCTTTTCATGAACCATATACCTTCTCCCTGAAGAAGAAACCATATCTTATCATTTTCTGTCTCCCCAGATCTTAGCACAGTGCCCTACACATAATAGAAAGTTGGTGAGTGAATGAGTGAATAAATGAAATGAAACTATTTCCTTCTGGACACAGGTGAGCTGAGTCGTCAGCTGGAAGAAAAAGAAAGCATAGTATCCCAACTTTCCAGGAGCAAGCAAGCCTTTACCCAGCAAACAGAAGAGCTCAAGAGGCAGCTGGAGGAAGAGAACAAGGTACACCATTGAAGGAAGACTTCTTTGCCCTTATTTTTAAATATCACCTGTAGGAGGAAAAAATAAAAGGCAACTTCATTCAGAAGGTGGTGATAGAAGGGACACACTTGGATTGTATCATGCACCTGGCACTAAATATATCAGGTGCTCTTCTCTTTTTAACTTCTGCAGGCCAAGAACGCCCTGGCGCACGCCCTGCAGTCCTCCCGCCACGACTGTGACCTGCTGCGGGAACAGTATGAGGAGGAGCAGGAAGGCAAAGCTGAGCTGCAGAGGGCGCTGTCCAAGGCCAATAGTGAGGTTGCCCAGTGGAGAACCAAATACGAGACGGACGCCATCCAGCGCACAGAAGAGCTGGAGGAGGCCAAGTGCGCAGCTCTGTTTGCTTTTAGAAGAACTACTTAGGAATGAATTCGATGAATTTATTTTTATTACTAGGCGTTTCCCCATCTCATGTGTCTTTAAATGCGGTGCTGGGCCATTAGAGGGACCTGGCGTTAGCACATTTTATTAAAACAAACAGCTTTGATCTTGGTCAGACACAAGGCAAGTTATTGATCCCAGATTTTGAGTAGACAGGAAATTCTCCTGGGCGTATAAAAACACATGGGTGTCTGAATCACATAGATTAGTGATTCCAACTTGATGAATAGTGATGTTCAAGTGGATGGAAACTGAAATAACAGCTGCTTCTCTTTCATATTCTTTAAGGAAAAAACTTGCTCAGCGCCTTCAAGATTCCGAGGAACAGGTTGAGGCAGTGAATGCTAAATGTGCTTCACTGGAGAAGACCAAGCAGAGGCTGCAAGGAGAGGTGGAGGATCTGATGGTTGATGTTGAAAGAGCCAATTCCTTGGCCGCCGCTCTGGACAAGAAGCAGAGGAACTTTGACAAGGTGTGGGGTCCGCTGTGTGCTGGGTGAATGCCATGATGTAAGGGATTCCTAGCAGCCGTGGAAGGAGGAGAATGCATCCCGGACCTGACTCTGCCCTCACCAGCAGTGTGGCCTTGGGCAAGTCCCTGAACTTCACCGGGCTGTAGTTTCCTCATCTGCAAAACAGAATGGGAATGGGCTGGGGGTAGAGGTCCCTTTCAAATGTTGTCCGTGGAAACAAACCAATTTCTACAATGTCCGTGCAGTCCTAAGCATTTTTCCTTTCCGTACTACTGGTCTGTCTAAGCTGAGATCCTATTGGGAGGCTTTCTGGAAGCCCTTCTTTCAAGATGGCAGATAAAGTTGATTGGAACCAATGCTTTAATGAAATATTTAGAAGTACAGGGCCCTTTTTATATTAGGAAAAGGACAATTATGCCCAGCTAATTCCTTCTCAAAGGATCTATTTGCTTTTTCAAGATGGCAATTGTTCCTGACTCATTACCTTGAGTACATTTATGGAACAGAATCTTGATTAGCCCAATAATCGACAACAAGGAGCCAGGCAAGTGATGCCAAGTGTAGCCCTAACTCTGCATTTAATTTAGTTATTTAGTATTTTGTTAGAAACCTAGAGGAGAGCTCAGAAACGGAGAGAACTTCCGTCCGGTGTTTCAGGTGTTGGCAGAGTGGAAGACAAAGTGTGAGGAGAGCCAAGCAGAGCTGGAGGCATCCCTGAAGGAGTCCCGCTCCTTGAGCACTGAGCTCTTCAAACTGAAAAATGCCTACGAGGAAGCCTTAGATCAACTTGAAACTGTGAAACGGGAAAATAAGAACTTAGAGCGTAAGCTATTCGAAACCCTCTGAAACCTCCTCCTTTCATGCTCTATTGCTCGAGAGCATGCTGGCGTGGGTGTGGCTTCATCACTCAGTTTCCTGCACACATGTGTGTTAATGCACATGCAGAAAGTGTTCACCATCTGACGGGTTACGTTTTAGCCTCTCTCTGTACAATATCTTATCTCTAGGAAGCAGGAAACCTTAGGATTATAATAAACCAGGTAAAAAGCATTGAGTCAATGCTTTGCATGTCTGGAAACCCACGCAGAGGCGCTCATATGCAACTGAAACTTACTTCTTTACAGAGGAGATAGCAGATCTCACAGAACAAATTGCTGAAAATGGCAAAACCATCCATGAACTGGAGAAATCAAGAAAGCAGATTGAGCTGGAAAAGGCTGATATCCAGCTGGCTCTCGAGGAAGCAGAGGTGAGTGCTGGGAGGCAGGCTCAGGCGCAGATGCAGCCATGGTGAGCCACGGCCAGGGAGGCTGGCTGCTCCATGCTGTGTCTCCATTTTTGCCTTTGTCAAATCACAGTCCTAATGCCTGCTGCTTTCCCGTCACACAGCAAAACTGTGAGGCTGAATAATACCTGTGAATTATCTTAAATTTATTGGAGAAGACTGTCATATTAAATAGGCCTAAAGATGAGATTTTACAAAATATTACATGAATTAAAAATATCTAGAAAGTGCTTTATGCTCCTAAGAAATATGATTTAAACATTATTATTGGTTGATAGTATAATCAAAACCAAAAAGCAATGAAACGTGCTTTTATTTCTGCACTGAAGATAAATTTGGGACTTTTTTTTTCTTGAGACAGAGTTTTGCTCTTGTTGCCCATGCTGGCAATCTAGGCCCACTGCAACCTCTGTCTCCTGGGTTCAAATGATTCTCCTGCCTCAGCCTCCCGAGTAGCTGGGATTACAGGCGGGCACCACCATGCCTGGCTAATTTTTGTATTTTTAGTAGAGACAGGGTTTCACTACATTGGTCAGGCTGGTCTCAAACTCGTGACCTCAGGTGATCTGCCCCCCTCGGCCTCCCAAAGTGCTGGGATTACAGGTGTGAACCACTGCACCCGGCCAATTTGGGGACATTTAAAAAGTGAATTGTGACTATTGTAGGATTAGATTTAGGACTATTCCATTGAAGTTTTGTTATCCTGCAGGGTAGTGGAGCTGGCTCCATACCATCACAGACACTATTTGATTTGCTTTTGTTTCTTAAAGGCTGCTCTTGAGCATGAAGAAGCCAAGATCCTCCGAATCCAGCTTGAATTGACACAAGTGAAATCAGAAATTGATAGAAAGATCGCCGAGAAGGATGAAGAGATCGAGCAGCTGAAGAGGAACTACCAGAGAACAGTGGAAACCATGCAGAGCGCCCTGGACGCCGAGGTGCGGAGCAGGAATGAAGCCATCCGGCTCAAGAAGAAGATGGAGGGGGACCTGAATGAAATCGAGATCCAGCTGAGCCACGCCAACCGCCAGGCGGCGGAGACCCTCAAACACCTCAGGAGTGTCCAGGGACAGCTGAAGGTTTGAGAGAACCCATCGGGGAAAAACCTCTCTCCTCCTCACATACTCAGAAATGTAGGCTGGGCACAGTGGTGCACGCCTGTAGTCCCAGCGCTCTGGGAGACTGAGGCAAGAGGCTCACTTGAGCCCAGGAGTTTGATACCAGCCTGGGCAATATAGCAAAACCTTATCTCTACAAAAAAAATAAAAATTAGCTAGGCATGGTGGCACAAGCCTGTGGTCTCAGCTACTTGGGAGGCTGAGATGGGAGGATTGCTTTCCAGGAGGCAGAGGTTACAGTGAGCTGAGATCACGCAACTGCACACCAGCTTGGGTGACAGAACAAGACCCTGTCTCAAAACAAACAAAACAAAACAAAACAAAAACAAACAAACAAACAAACAAAACTCAGAGATGCAGATGAGGCTCGTGGTCCTAACGCCTCAACTTCAAATAGAATGTTCGTTTTTCTCTGGCTAGGATACGCAGCTCCACCTGGATGATGCCCTCCGGGGCCAGGAGGACCTGAAGGAGCAGCTGGCGATTGTGGAGCGCAGAGCCAACCTGCTGCAGGCCGAGGTGGAGGAGCTGCGGGCTACTCTGGAGCAGACGGAGAGGGCCCGGAAACTGGCGGAACAGGAGCTCCTGGACTCCAACGAGAGGGTGCAGCTGCTGCATACCCAGGTGAGGGGAGGGAGAGGAAGAGAGGCGAGGTTCCAGCCTCATACGCACCTGGTTAACAGCCCTCCTCTTGCCCTAGAACACCAGCCTCATCCACACCAAGAAGAAGCTGGAGACAGACCTCATGCAGCTCCAGAGTGAGGTAGAAGATGCCAGCAGGGATGCAAGGAACGCTGAGGAGAAGGCCAAGAAGGCCATCACGGACGTAAGGCGTCTCCTTCCTGCTGCCCTCGGGCTGCCGGGATTGCATTGCATTAAAGCCCTCACATAGTTAGACAGGTGCGGTCTCCCCCAGCCACACCTGGTGCACATTCTGCTCCCCGAGGGCTCCCATCTCCGCTCAAACTCCCCTGTTCCCTCCTGCACTTTAGAAGAAGGGCATAAGAAAAAAAGGCAGGAAGGGATTATATCCTAGTAGTTCTGCCTGTGGAGAGGTGTGCATGTCTTTCCTTCAACATCTGACTTATTCCAAATATGAAAACAAGAACCTGAGGTGTTAATATCCCACACATTTTTCCCTTCCTGGGTCTCCGAGGCTTTCTCCCGGCGGCCCACCGCGCTAATGGCGCCACCTGCTGCCTGGCGGGAGAACTTTACCTCGAAGCGATTTTGTTGTTCCTGTACAGCCTTAATTCTCCAGAGGCCTTCCCTTAATCTCACTATCCCCAAATCTATGAGGCTGAGTATCAAGTCAGACTACTCTAAGTCTCAAGCTCCTTTGAAAATATATATTGGTGGTAATGAAAAAAGAATTTCCCTGGGGCAGGGGAGAGTTTCAAAGGAGGCCAGCTTAAGAAAGGGAAGAAACTGTTTCCCAGCCTGTCGCTAAAGTTCTCATTGCCTCATTGATTAGGTTATTTTATCTACTGGGTGTAGCTCTGGCCCTCTTCCAGGGTGGCAGAGTGTGCTTCATCACAGTCTCACCCGTTGTCCTTTTTCTTTCTTTCTTTCTTCCCCCACCCCCGAGATGGAGTTTCACTCTTATTGACCAGGCTGGAGTGCAATGGCGAGATCTCGGCTCACTGCAACCTCCTCCTCCTGGGTTCAAGCAACTCTCCTGCCTCAGCCTCCGGAGTAGCTGGGAATACGGGCATCTGCCACCACGCCCAGCTAATTTTTTGTATTTTTAGTAGAGATGGGCTTTCACCATGTTGAGCAGGCTGGTCTTGAACTCCTGACCTCAGGTGATCCACCCGCCTTGGCCTCCCAAAGTGCTGGGATTACAGACGTGAGCCACCGCGCCTGGCCTGTCCTTTTTCTTTAGCATGGTCTCTGGTCCTCCGAGGTCCCCAGGTTTTGACAGTTCCAAGGCACTGGAGCTTCCTCTGCATCCTAGCAAGTCCCATGTGCTTTTCAGGCTGCCATGATGGCGGAGGAGCTGAAGAAGGAGCAGGACACCAGCGCCCACCTTGAGCGGATGAAGAAGAACCTGGAACAGACGGTGAAGGACCTGCAGCATCGTCTAGATGAGGCCGAGCAGCTGGCGCTGAAGGGCGGGAAGAAGCAGATCCAGAAACTGGAGACCAGGGTGTGTGCAGGAGGAACCCCGCCTGCGCTGAGCTTTCCAGCCTCCCAATCACGCTGCAGCCCCAGACTAATTTCCCCACCCTCTCCCCCAGATCCGAGAGCTGGAGTTTGAACTTGAGGGAGAGCAGAAGAAGAACACAGAGTCTGTTAAGGGCCTGAGGAAGTATGAGCGGAGGGTCAAGGAGCTGACGTACCAGGTAAGTGGAACGCAAACGCCATGATCGTGTCCTCTGTGACGTGCAGATTCTCCATCAAACCACAGGAAGAAACACTTTGGCCCAGAAAGCTGCCCATGCCGTGTGCAAATCTGCCCCCTCCTCTCCAGTGACATTCCCACTTTCTCATTCTTAGAGTGAAGAGGACAGGAAGAATGTGCTGAGATTGCAGGATCTGGTGGATAAACTGCAAGTGAAAGTCAAGTCCTACAAGAGGCAGGCGGAGGAGGCTGTAAGTGAGATAGGTGCTGACTGCGGCAGGCAGACCGTGCTGTTTCCCGTGGTGAGTTCTGAGAGAGGCGCGTGCTGATATAACCTGCCTGGGCTCTTTGGTTTTAGGATGAACAAGCCAATGCTCATCTCACCAAATTCCGAAAGGCTCAGCATGAGCTGGAGGAGGCCGAGGAACGTGCGGATATCGCAGAATCTCAAGTCAACAAGCTCCGCGCTAAGACTCGAGACTTCACCTCCAGCAGGGTGAGTCGCTGAGCTGGGAGGAGCCCCCCCCCAGGGACTGTAGAAACTTCTTAGCTGGAAGGAACCTCAGAGAACCCTTTACTTTAGAGCTGGGGAGTCTCAGGCTCAGGAAGAGAAAGTGCTTAAAGTCACTTAGCTGACTGGACCCTCGCTAGAATCCTGGTCTGTGAGTCACAATAAAAACCGCCATCCTGCACATGTACACCATGGAATACTATGCAGCCATAAAAAAGAATGATATCATGTCCTTTGCAGGGACATGGATGAAGCTGGAAGCCATCATTCTCAGCAAACTAACACAGAAACAGAAAACCAAACACCACATGTTCTCACTCATTAGTGGGAGTTGAACAGTGAGAACACGTGGACACAGGGAGGGGAACATCACACACCGGGGCCTTTCCGGGGGTGGGGGCGGCAAGGGGAGGGAGAGCATTAGGACAAACAGCTAATGCACGTGGGGCCTAAAACCTAGATGACAGGTTGATAGGTGCAGCAAACCACCATGGCACATGTATACCTATGTAACAAACCTGCACGTTCTGCACATGTATCCCAACAAAACAAAACAAACCGCCATCCTGAAAAGGAGCGAGCGGGTCCCACTGAGCTCTTTCATGCGCCCCCTGCTGGTAACAAAAGGCTGCTGCAGGAGCCCCCTCCAGAGCCCGCTGAACACACAGCATCCGACAGTAGGTCGCTGGGTCTCCAGCGTTTGGGGCTTGCTCTTTCGGAGGGCCAGTTTCTCAGGCTATGGGGTGACTTCATGTGTGCAATCGTGCGTTTTCCCAAGGTCCAAAAAATATCCTGTGTCCCACTGAAGTAGGCAAGCAACTCTGATGCCAGCCGGCAGAAGTGGTGGGTGGGAATGTGTCTCTGCCACCCGACTTGACTCCAGGTGCCTACTTTCTTCCTAGATGGTGGTCCACGAGAGTGAAGAGTGAGCCAGCCCTTCTGGAGCAGGACAGAAGATATGCAAAATGTATATTTTCTTGATTCCTGACCATTGATACTTAATGTCCATGTGACTCTTTTTCACATGCAATAAACTTTGCTTTGTTTCAATCTGGGGCCGCTTTGCTGTATTTGTTTTCCTCTTCCCCATGCAGAAATGGTTCCTAGTTTGATGGTTTGTATGCTCGGAGGTGAAAGCTTTGTAAGCAGATGGCTCGGTAAATTCAATTGGTGTGTGCATGTGCGGAGGGAGAGATGGCTTTTGGCTTAAATCAAAAAGGAAAAAAAAAAACTTCCGGGTTAACCTTTGCTTTGGTGGGGAATGGGAGGGAGAGCTTTTCAAAAGAGTCATCTCTTAATATGACATGAAGGAAACACAAAGGTAGGCTCATGAAAAGCCCTTGTCTTGAGTTGAATAAGGTTATAAAGCAAAGGCCCACATTCTCCTTCTTTACATTCTAGTGGGGAAATACATCTGAAATCTAGTAAATATTTGTTGGGCAGCTGTTCATGTAAGCACTGTGCTATCAAAAATACATAAATGAATAAAAAAGAGGCTGGCCCCTTCAAGCGCTCAGTCTAAATCTACTACTGTTATCTTAGATCAGTGTGCACTATTTCAAAGCTGCACAACAGAAAATCCCACCCCTGACCCAAGATAACCTTGTCTTTACCTTAAGAGGGAAGGAAGGCAGGAAGTCAAATAACTATCTGGTTGACTTGCTACTAGAAAGAGCATCTTCTAGCCTGGGATCCTTTGTTTATTGTCATCAGTAAATTTATTAGCAATAGCTGCCAAGTTCCCTTCTTTGTCTGATTCCAGAAGATTAGGGGACCTAGTTTGACTCAGGTGAGAATGAAAGGCCAAGGGGTGTTCTCTCCAGATGTGGGGGAACTCAACAAATCATTTAGCTTTTTCAATAAATAAATTGCAAAGAAAAAATATAAAACAAATACAAGGGAGACCTGTAGATTAAAAGATACTTAGTGGACCTATCCGCCAATTGCACTGTGTGGACCTTGTTAGGATACTGCTTTGTACAAACACGCTGTTAAAAAATAGACACACACACACACACACACACACACACACACGGTCCAATTGGTAAATTTGACTATTGACTGGATATTGATGGTGACATGAGATTATTGTTCATTTCACGGTATAATGTGATTTTGTGATTATGCTTTCTAAGATAGTCCTTATCTTTTAAAAATACATGGTAAAGGCTGGACGCAGTGACTCACGCCTGTAATCCCGGCACTTTGGGAGGCCGAGGCGGGCAGATCACGAGGTCAAGAGATCAAGACCATCCTGGCCAACATGGTGAAACCCCGTCTCTACTAAAAATACAAAAATTAGCTGGGTGTGGTGGTGCCCTCCTGTAGTTCCAGCTACTCGGGAGGCTGAGGCAGGAGAATCGCTTGAACCCAGGAGGCGGAGGTTGCAGTGAGCCAAGATCACACCACTGCACTCCGGCCTGGAGACAGAGCAAGACTCTGTCTCAAAAAGAAAAAAAAAAGGTGGTAAAATATGTACATACCAGAAAGGAAGAGTAAGCGAGAGATCGTTGAAGTAAACTTATTTTACAGAACTTATGACTTAAAGAATTAATAAAAGAGGCCCCTGATGCATTTTATGCAGAACTGGAGTGCCTCTGCACTTGAAAATACCTGGGGCCGTGGAACCCCCTGTGTCCACTTATTGGCAAAGTGTGACATTTCCCACAAAGGAGAAGGTGCGGAGTTTGGTGCTGGAAGTGACCTGTGACTATTTCTATTAGGCTCTGATTTTGTGAAGGATATAAATGAAAAGATTCATTTTCTAAGAGTGAATATTATGACCAAAGTCACCCATGTTCATTTATTCCATAAAAAAAGGATGCCCACGACTATAGAAAATGTAAGCTGTGTTATTAAGAAGCAAAAAATGAAAGCACCAATTCCATTCCAAATCAGGAGCTGCCGTGCCACACGAGCCAGAGAGGGGGTCTCCTCCGACCATGGAGAGGAGGAGGATGAGATCAGCCACTATTTACTGAACTCCACCCATGTGCACTTGGCATGCACTCTCTCGTGCCCTCAGCATACAGACTTGGCGATGAGGAGATGGACCTTATCACCCACTTTACAGATGAAAAGACGAAACTCAGTGATTTGTTCAAGGTCAAAATGGCAGAGCTGGATTCTCTCTAGATCCTAAGACTCCTTTACCCTACAAAGTACTAACCTTCTACCGGGGCAGCCGGCCACATAGACAGGCGAAATCCCTCAAAAGAGCTGGCGCACAGGGTAAAGCTGTGTTGAAACTGGGCTGATAGAACCCAAAGCGTGCTTCGTGTTTTCTTTTTGATGATCGACTGTTTCTGTTAGCGTCCTCCAGGTGTTTCTCTATAACCCTCCTCTTGTCCACCACCTCAGCCCACCCCATCCTCAGAGAGCCTCTCTTAAGATAGGACCTTTGACCATTCAGTAGGAACTTGGGTGACTTTAGCTCATTTGCAATATCCACTGGCTCTTTCGTACATGGGCTCCAGAACAGGGTGGCAAAAGAATGAAGGGCGCCTTCTCTTCAGGCTCACTTTTTTGGGTGAGCCTCTCCAAATTAAGGACCATTTCTTATTATATTTTTTATTTTTATTGAGAAGGAGTCTCACTCTGTCACCCAGGCTGGAGCGCAGTGGTGCGATCTTGGCTCAGTGCAACTTTTGCCACCCGGTTTCAAGCAATTCTCATGCCTCAGCCTCCCAGGTAGCTGGGACTACAGGCACACGCCACCATGCCTGGCTAATTTTTTTGTATTTTTAGTAGAGACGGGGTTTTACCATGTTGGCCAGAATGATCTCGAACTTCTGACCTTAGGTGATCCACCCGCCTCGGCCTCCCAAGGTGCTGGGATTACAGGTATGAGCCACCACACTCAGCCATTAAGGGCCATTTCTAATTACTTTTCCTTTTCATAAATAGCCTTGTTTTTTCTCTTTTATTCTTTTTTTCTGGTGTTGGGACATGGAATTTATTAACCTTCTCCTTGTAATCCTCATACTATCCAGAAACCTCTGGCTTTCTGAAATTTTTATTGAGTCTTAAATCTCTTAGCAGTGGATTTGTATTTTTTATTACCTTTTATAATTTTTTAATTACACAAGAAATACATGGCCAAGCACAAGATTAAAAAAAAAAATCTGTCAACTATAAAAGGACTGCCAGCAAGGAGGGTAGACTCTTTCTTTATTTGGAACGGCTGAGATCTCGATTTATGATTGGCAGATGGCCCGCTTCTTAAGGACATGTGAGGGACACAGTTTCTAATAGGAGTAACATGTCCTTATGGGGGAAAACTGGTTGCAGTTTGCAGTCCACCACCAGCTGGTGAGGGCGGCCTTTCATTTCTCCACGCCTGGATCACCCGACAGCTGAGAGCTTTAATAAAACAAGTGTGCCTAGGAATGTGGGGTGAGCGAGCCACCCAGAACACAGATGTCTATTTACACCCCTACCAATAATCCCGGTGCTAAAAACAACAGCAGCTGGGAGGTTCTGAGGCTGCCTGCTGGATCTGAGCGGCGATCCGGTTACCCTCAGCAATGCTGAGACATTCTGGAGGCGCTCATGCCCCAACTGCTGTCCATCCGGAGCCAGGGGATGGCACAGATTATTTTTATCTCAGATGTTTCATGCTTTCCATGGCAGTGAGGAGCAAGAACTCCCAACTCCTGGGCTTTGATGAGTCTTCTTTGTGTGACATTAAACTGGACATGGCCCTTGTTCAAAAGTCCTGGGGAGATTTAGGAGGGGGACGATAGACACCCTTAGGTGGCCTTCATGGGGAAGCCTGGCGCGAACTTGCTGAGAGAAGGGGCAGCTTAGGTAAAGCATATGGAGAGGTGTCATTGACATAGGACTCCTTAGTGACTCAGGGATATGGAGACAAGATGAGGTGAAGCCTCACACCTCAAGGACAGTAAAGGAAATATAACTTTCCAAATAATAATGATGAAAGAACAAAACCAAACCAAGCCCATAGGGGTCCTGTGTGATAGAAGATGGTGACAAGGTGACACCCTTTTATAGTCAGAGAACAAAAGAAAGCCCATCTCTTGGATTGAGTTCCTAGCAGGAAAAGTCAAGTGTTGGAGCAATCTGTGTGGCCTTGGGGAAAACAATTCTTTCTCTGTTGACTTTCTGTCTCCGCATTTCGGTAATAAAGAGAGAATGATAAGGCAGAAGTGGTTCTTTTTTTTTTTTTTTTTTTGTGAGCAATCCTGGCCATGAACTTGGTTTTCTTGGCCTGGGGAGTGGGCATGGCTGTTTGCAATTCACACTGCTCAGAAGCCCGAAGAGAGGATCGAGCGTCCTGGCAAAGGCCCGGTGGGGAGGGGTGCTGCCACGCGAAGCCAGAACACCCTTAGCAAAAAGCCCAGGGCCAGCCAGAGCTTCCTGCTCCAAACTTTGCTGCTAGAAATTTCAGATCTGTGTTTCCTTGTACATGTATTCATTCATCTGTCATTTACCAACTGCCTATGCCATGCCCAGGAACAGGTGATGGGAGGAGCAGAGATACCCAAGAAAGACTGGGGAGAGGGAGCGAGGAAAGAGCTCACGTCTTAAAGCCCTAAGGCTCCAAATGAGGATGGGAGGAGGGGATGGAGGGAGACATATTTCCAAACATGGCCCAGTCTCAGCTCCAGGAGGGCAAGACGAGCATCCATAGCAGCTGTGCCTATTTTGGGCCTGGGATCTCTGTCCCAAGAGCAACAGGTGTTGAGACCTGAAGGACAGGTGGGCGTTTATTTTGAGGGCCTCCTGGCATCATTTCCAGAAACAGAGACCAGCTTTTCAATTCATTATCTCCAGCTACAATCATAAAATGTCTTCCTTTACTGCTTCCTAGTGGCCCACCAGCCTGTGGCTCTCGGAGCCTGCCTCATCACACAGGCGCACCCAGGGGGACTTGCAGGTTTCTGGGAAGGGGAGAGGTTTGGGCTATGTGCCCCTCTCTGGACTGGTGAGGGGTAAAGTGCACATTCTCCTCACAACCACATCCCACTCCTGAGAAGGCCACAGAGGAGAGAGTCAAGTCAGGAAGGAAGGACGACAACGAGGCGGATACAAGCTGGCCCTCTCTTGCCACCTCACCCCAAGGTGGGTACTCCCAGCATCTGCCTGTGCTGACGATGGAAGGACAACAGCAGCCACTTGCAGAGAATGCTATCTAAATATGAGTATAATTTCCAGCACCATCCCACGGGGCAGGCAGAGGCCGCGAGCATTCAGACGTGATGTTCCTTGCTGAAAAGTAGATTAAAAGGACATGAATTTTTACCTTTTTAAGTGACTTGCTTTCAGCCCCACAGTAAATCCCGGCTGTGTCCCGGTCTTGCATGTAGTGAGTGATCCATAAATACACACTGATTACACTCTATGTGACCACAGTTGATCTCCCATGGCCAAGAGCATGCAGCCCCGCAGGGCTCACTCTCATCCTTTGAGAATGAGGGGTTGTTTTCTCTGGGAAGACCAGCACTTCAGCTGCAACCTCAGCAGGTCCTGTTGCAAGCAGAGGGAGCCCTCAACAGGGTGTCTCCTGGCCGCCTGTCTCTTCTCCCCGCTCCTTCTCCTGTGTCCACTTTAGGGAGGGGTCAGAAGGGCAGCGCCAGCCCCAAACCTGGAACGAGTGCAGCAACGAGGGACCCCAAACTTCTAACCCCCAGAACAGCTCTACAAGCTGGGATTTGAATTCGTGGCTCACAGCCCAGGGGCATTCCACTGCTTGCTCAGGGCTGAGCACAGAGTCAGTGTTCATTCAACATTGGTTTCCTCCCAGCCTTCTTCCTTCAAGTTCTGTCTTGCCTTGTAATGCTGAGAATCCATTGCCTTCATGTCACTGTCTGAAATATGGGGGTGGAGATGAACATGAGCTTTTTTGTTTGTTTGTTTTGGTGGCTGTTGCCACCTCTGTAAGGAAATATTAATACTAGGTCTATAGTTTAAATCATCCTGTGTTGCTGAGTTAAAAAGACAGTTTGAATATTAAGTGTTACAGAAAAAGGAAGAAGCAATTTTGGGCAGTCTCTTCCTGCATGTCATGGCTCAATTGAAACGAATTTTTGGCTTGCATGGTGATATGAAGAGCTGGTGATCTGGGGTACACATGGTTCACCAACCATTTGGCCCCAAAGTGTGTAGTGTTCAAGACAGACAATGTTACAGCTGAGTCCATTCAAGTTAGTTAATACAACTTAGTCCTACTTAGGCCTATTTGAAACACAACTCTGACCTGTCACTGCTCTGCCCAGCAACTGTGAATGCCCCCTCCCGGCCCATCAGTTTAGTACACTTGCCTCAGATGGATACTTATTATTATTATTATTATTTTTGTGATAGAGTCTTGCTTTGTCACCCAGGCTGGAGTGCAGTGGTGCTATCTCCGCTCAGTGTAACCTCCACCTCCCAGGTTCAAGCAATTCTCCTGCCTCAGCCTCCCTAGTAGCCGGGACTATAGGTGCCCACCACCACACCCAGCTAATTTTTGTAATTTTGGTAGAGACGGAGTTTCACCATATTGGCCAGGCTGGTCTCGAACTCCTGACCTTGTGATCCACCCGCCTCAGCCTCCCAAAGTGCTGGGATTACAGGTGTGAGCCACCACGCCAGGCCGCCTCAGATGGATACTCAACCTGTCCTTCCACGTGTGCCCGCAGATGTGGCTCCCCTTCACTACTCCCGCCCAGCCATCTCCCCTTGAAATCTTAACACACCTCAGGCTGTCTTGGTCCTCCCCACCCACCAGTGGCTACGCCCCTATCCTTTGTGCACCTTTTTAGGGGCATTTTTAAATACTCCCTCTACTCTCCCTGAGTAGCAGTCATGACTTACACTGTCCTACTTACCTTTGTTTGTATCACAGTTCCTATTCCCAATACTTTGTATTTTCAAAGCTACACACACACAGTCATTGGAAGAACACTCAAGCAGGAATGAGAAAATCTCTGTTCCAGTCTTCACTTTCCTTCCAGTTTCTTTCATAATCTTTGGCATCTCACTCTCCAGGTTTCCGGTTCCTTACTTGAAAAACGAGAGGTCTGAACTATTCCAAGGGTTTCTAAACCTAGCTGGGCATCAGCATTGCCTGGTTTACTTTTTTTTTTTTTTTTTGAGATAGAGTCTCACCCTGTCACCCAGGCTGGAGTGCAGTGGCGTAATCTTGGCTCACTGCAACCTCCGCCTCCCGGATTCAAGCGATTCTCCTGCCTCAGCCTCCTAAGTAGCTGGGACTACAGGCACCCACCACCATACCCAGCTAAGTTTTGTATTTTTAGCAGAGACAGGGTTTCACCATATTGGCCAGACTGGTCTCAAACTCCTGACCTTGTTATCCACTCGCTTAGGCCTCCCAAAGTGCTAGGATTATAGACGTGAGCCACCATGCCTGGCTGCCTGGTTTACTTTCTTTAAAAAAAAATTCAGAATTTAGGGCTGCACCGTCAGAGATTCTGAGTCAGTAGGTTGGGTTGGAGCTGGGGAATCTGCATTGAAACGTTCCCTGGTGATTCTAATCATCTGCCTAAAGGTAAACTCTTAGAGCAGTTGTTTTAAAAAGCGGATTCCTGGGCCCAAAGCCAGATCCACAAAACGGGAATTTCCAGGGGAGAGACCTGGTAACTTGTATAGTTAATAAGCACCCAGGTGACTTTCATCATAAAGCTTGTCTGGGAAATGCAGGCCTAGATCTCTGCTACACAAAGTTTTCCAAAGACCAGCAGTATTGTGTCACCTGGGAGCTTGTCAGAACTGCAAAGTCTTAGAACCCTCCCTAGGCGACTGGATCAGAATCTGCTTTCTAATGAGATCCCTGGGTGACTGGCAGGCACAGCGGGGTTTGAGAAGCATGGCTCTAAATCAGTGATTCTCAAACTTGAACATGCCTCGGAATGCTCTGCAGGGCTTGTTGGCTGAAACCCACCTCACCAGACCCCACCTTCCAGGTTCTGATTCTCAGGTCTGGAATGGGGCTCAAGGTTTTACGGTTCTAGCAAGTTCCCTGATGATACTGATGCTGGTGGTCCAGGGACCACCCTCTGAGAACCAGGCCCTGGAGGATTTCTCAAAACTCCATGTCCAAGAGTGAAACCTCTCCATTCTGTTTTTTTTTTGTTTGTTTTTTTTTTTTTCTCTTGCTAATCTTCTCTGGCACTCAGGCACTCATAAAATCCTATTTGCCACCCTAGTGTCTAAGATTCTGGGAATTAATTAACAGTATAACCAAGTGCTAAGCTGTTGGCACAGGCAGCATTTGTTACTAAAGTTTCCAGAAAGTCACAATCTCGAGGCTGGGTGAGGACATCCCCATGGAGAAGTCCTTTCCTCCTTCCTCTCCCTCGGATTGGATATGTGGTGGTCGGTGATGCTGCTCCTGGGACTGTCATGTCAAAAGTGGCCTGGAGGCCAGGCGCAGCGGCTCACGCCTGTAATCCCAGCACTTTGGGAGGCCGAGGTGGGTGGCTCACCTGAGATCAGGAGCTCGAGACCAGCCTGGCCAACATGGTGAAACCCCATCTCTACTAAAAATACAATAATTAGCTGGGCATGGTGGTGGACGCCTGTAATCCCAGCTACTTGGGAGGCTGAGGCGGGAGAGTCACTTGAACCCGGGAGGAGGAAGTTGTAATGAGCCAAGATCATGCCATTGCACTCCAGCCTGGGTGGCAGAGTAAGACTCTGTCTGAGAAAGGAAAGAAAGAAGAAAGAAAAGAAGGGAGGGAGGGAGGGAAGTAAGGAGAGAGAGAGACAATGAAAGAAGGAAGGTGAGCCACAGCACCCTGCCATAGCTTTAAGACTTTAAAACCCAATCTTGGCAGGGGTCGGTGGCTCATGCCTGTAATCCCAGCACTTTGAGAGGCCAAGGTGGGCGGATCAGGAAGTCAAGACATCGAGACCATCTTGACCAACATGGTGAAACCCCCTCTCTACTAAAAATACAAAAATTAGCTGGGTGTGGTGGTACGAGCCTGTAGTTCCAGCTACTCAGGAGGCGGAGGCAAGAGAATCGCTTGAACCCAGGAGGCCGAGGTTGCAGTGAGCCACTGCACTCCTGCCTGGCGACAGAGCAAGATTCCGCCTCAAAAAAAACAAAAAAAACAAAAACAAAAACAAAAACAATCTCCCCACCACTTTCCATCTCCAAAAAACAAAACAAAACAAAAACAAAAACAAAAACAAAAAAAGTGGCCTGGGCCGGGCGCGGTAGCTCACGCCTGTAATCCCAGCACTTTGGGAGGCCGAGGCGGGCAGATCACGAGGTCAAGAGATCAAGACCATCCTGGCTAACATGGTGAAACCCCGCCTTTACTAAAAATACAAAAAATTAGCCGGGCACGGTGGCGGGTGCCCATAGTCCCAGCTACTTGGGAGGCTGAGGCAGGAGAATCATGTGAACCCGGAAGGCGGAGCTTGCAGTGAGCCGAGATCGCGCCACTGCACTCCAGCCTGGGCGACAGAGCGAGACTCCGCCTCAAAAAAAAAAAAAAAAAAAAAAAAAGTGACCTGGGCCGGGCGCGGTGGCTCACGCCTGTAATCCCAGCACTTTGGGAGGCCGAGGAGGGCAGATCACGAGGTCAGGAGATCGAGACCATCCTGGCTAACACAGTGAAACCCCGTCTCTACTAAAAATACAAAAAGCTGGGCGCGGTGGCGCGTGCCTGTAGTCCCAGCTACCGGGAGGCTGAGGCAGGAGAATGGCGTGAACCCTGGAGGCGGAGCTTGCAGTGAGCCGAGATCACGCCACTGCACTCCAGCCTGGGCGACAGAGCGAGACTCCGTCTCAAAAAAAAAAAAAAAAAAACAAAGGGGGGGGGCGGCCTGGAGCTGCCAACAGGAGACTGTTTTGTCGCTCGGAAGCTGATTTCTCACACCCGTCCCTGGAAATGGAAACTTGGGCACAAGTTCTGAAGAATATGCAAGCCACAGAGACAGACGGTCTGTGCTGACCCTCCTGTTTCATAGATGAGGACAAGGAGGGGCGACTGCTTCCAGGTCACCCCATCTGCCTGTGGCGGTGCTAAGACTGTGCATGGGAATTTTCTGCCTGCAGGAAAAATCAGTCTCAGCAACACTGACTCTTCCCTGCTCCTGCCTCATCTGTTCATTCAGCCTCCCTGCTGCCCCACCTCAGCTCCGCCCGTGCAGCTGCCCATGCAGAGGCTCCCGTGCTCCTGTGCTCTGGAAAACCCTCTCTTCCGGACAGCTTCTGGCCCTCTCTGTTGCTCTGTCTGGCATCACCCTTCATGCCTTGGCACTAGAGCCTCCCAAAGTGCTGGGATTATAGGCGTGAGCCACTAGGTGGCACTGCTGCTCTGCCAGGCATCAGGGTCTCTAGCCTGGCCTCACCCTGAGTGCTAAAGTTCTTGAGGTGCCAAAGCTGACTGGTGGCTCCTGCAAGGTGTGGGTGAAAAATAGAAGACTCCCTTACAGAAGTCCAGAGCCGTGCTGTGCCACAGAGGAGTAAAGGCAAGAGAAGCCATTTAGGCTCATAAAGGCAGGAACACCCATCCCATCTTCATTTAAAATTTTGTTAATCATGGGTGTTTTTTGCACTAACCTTGATTTTAAAAAGTATTGCAATACAATATGATTAATTTTGATTATTGAGCTTTTTCTGGTTTTTTTTTTTTTGGTTTTTTTTTTTTTTTTTTTTGAGTTGGAGTCTCACTTTGTCGCCCAGGCTGGAGTGCAGTGGCACGATCTCGGCTCACTGCAAGCTCCGCCTCCTGGGTTCAAGCAATTTTCCTGCCTCAGCCTCCCTAGTAGCTGGGATTACAGGTGCGCGGCACCATGCCCAGCTAATTTTTGTATTTTTACTAGAGACTGGGTTTCACCATGTTGGCCAGGCTGGTCTTGAACTCCTGACCTCAGCTGATCCACCCGCCTCGGCCTCACAAAGTGCTGGGATTACAGGCATGGGCCACCGCACCTGGCCTTGATTAATGAGGGTTTTTTGCAGTCCCCTTAGATTTTGTGCCAAAGAGGGTGCCTCACTTGCCTCCCTCTAGTCCGGGCTTGGGCCGCAGCAATGTGGTTTGTGGCCCAGCATCTTGAAGAGTTATGGCAATAGCTATTTTCTGCCTTTACGGAAGGCCCTTTTTCTCTGTGAGATCCCAGTGCTGGGCTGGGGCAGATATGAGGGCAGCCACCATGCCTAGGGACAGAGGTGTTGGGCTGGGTCAGTTCACTGTCACTGGCTGGAACCAACTCCCCGCAAGCCCCTTATTCTCCCTGTGAAGCCCCTTCTGCCAGCCCATACCCGCAGGTCCCCAGAGAGTCCTGAATTCCGGAACTGCCACTGCCTGGCCGCATGCTAAAGCTACCAGAAAGAGAGAGGTCTCTGGCCCCCGGCCAGCGTGTCACCCTGCCTTCTGGAACATTCCCCTGCCCTCTACATGGCTGGAGTAAATTCACTTCCTGGGGGAGTTAAAGGCCTGTAACTCCTTCATGGGCACTGTTTAAGCTCCTGTTTCTTCTCTCTCTCCTATTTTTAGAGGGACCTATTTTGTTGTCTCTATCTTAATGAGCTGGTATGTTTTGTAGCTTCTGGTGACATCTCTTTTAATGCTCCTACTTTCTCTCCATGGGTCCAGTCTCCCCCTGCAGAGTACAGTGAAAGAAAATAAAATGAAACAATCTGCTCACCGAACCCACAGAAATGGCAGGGTCTAAGCACTCAGTCACTCCAAACCTTGGCTTAGAGCCACCTGAGGAGCTTTCAAAATTCCCAATTCCCAGGTCCCACCCGAGACCAATTAAATCAGAATATCCGGAGGTGCAGCCCCAGGCATCAGTAGATTGCAATACCCTAAATCTCCAGATGAAAACAATACCCAGCCAAGGGTGGGAACCAGGGCACCAAAAACAGACCTGGGTTTTACAGAGCCAAGGCTGCCACCTAGAGGCAGGAGTGGGTACTGCAGCCCACTGGTAGGATCACAGACTGGGAGACCGGAATATCAAAGGCTTTGCTGGAGTGTAGGGCGCAATCATGACCCGCAGCAGCCTCAACCTCCCAGGCTCAAGCGATCCTCCTGCCTCAGCCTCTGGGACTACAGGCGCACGCCACCATGTTTTTGTTTGTATGTTTGTTTGTTTGTTTGTTCTGCTTTGTTGTTTTTTTTTTGAGACGGAGTCTCTGTCGCCCAGGCTGGAGTGCAGTGGTGCCATCTTGGCTCACTGCAAGCTCCGCCTCCCGGGTTCACGCCATTCTTCTGCCTCAGCCTCCCAAGTAGCTGGGACTACAGGCGCCCGCCACCATGCCCGGCTAATTTTTTTTATTATTATTTTTAGTAGAGATGGGGTTTCACTGTGTTAGCCAGGATGGTCTCGATCTCCTGACCTCGTGATCCGCCCGCCTTGGCCTCCCAAAGTGCTGGGATTACAGGCGTGAGCCACCGCGCTCGGCCGCACACCACCATGCTTTTTAAAATTTTTTTGTGGAGACAGAGTCTCACTACGTTGCCCAGGCTGGTCTTGAACTCCTGGGCCCAAACGTTCCTCCAGCCTCAAGCCTCCCAAAGTGCTGGGATTACAGGCGTGAGCCACAGCACCCTGCCATAGCTTTAATATTTTAAACCCCAATCTTCTCCCCACCACTGACTCTCCTGTATAAACATCCCAGTAACTTCCAGCTTAAGTTCTTTCAAAGTTATCCCACTTTTTCCAGCAGAAGGCAGCCCCTCCTGGCTAGCAAGATGCTTTGTCACACAGCTGAACTCCCGTTTTGAGAACTCCACCTCCTGACCCTGGGTCTGGGCGCTGGAGACACACACGGAATAAATCTGCTCTCTTGGATCTTCCAGGGTCATTAGACAGCCACCATACTCCTATGAACCCCTGTTCTCTCAAGGTGAAGGAGCTCCAGTTCCTGTATCCTGCCTCCTCCTTCCTAGGCTGGCAAGATCCCTTCATCAGGGATGACACCCAGAATTTAGTCTACAATTTAAAAAAGAATTATAGAGATAATATATGCTCATTATAAAAATACATTTGTAAAACATAAAATAGAAAGTGCCCCTCCCTGTCCATTCTCCTCAATTCCACTGTCTGAAGGATGGACTGGGGTAAGGTGAGGAGGTGCCATTGTTAACAGGTTGGTGGCACCCAAAACTGAATGTCATACCTATCTATCTATCTATCTATCTATCTATCTATCTATCATCTATCTATCTGCCTACCTATCCATCTATCTGAGACAGGGTCTCACTCTCACCCAGGCTGGAGTGCAGTGGTGCAGTGGCGCCATCTCAGCTCACTGCAGCCTAGACCTCCCTGGCTCAAGTGTTCCTCCTGCTTCAGCCTCCCCAGTAGCTGGGACCACAGGCACTCGCCACCACGTCTGGATAATTAAAAAAAAATTTTTGTATAGACAGGGTATCACTATGTTGCCCAGGCTGGTCTCAAACTCCTGGGCTCCAGAAATCCTGCCCCGTCACCTTCCCAAAGTGCTGGAATTACAGGTGTGAGCCATCGCACCCAGCTGAATGTCATAGTCTTGCAGCAAGAATAACAGCGCCTCTCTGAGCCTCAGTTTCCTCCTCGGTAACGTGAATAATTATAGTACCTGCCTTAAAAGATTTCTGCTACGAAGCAAATTCAAGGCCCTGCATGATGCCTGTCACATGTTATAACTATAACTGAATTGTCTCAGACAATGGGTGGAACCAGATGGAGTCTTGAAGTACATTGACTTTTCCTGCTTATTACACTCACATCACAGCAGAACTGGGTTCATGTGAGTTAGTAAAATTAGTCCTAAAGCCCCAGTGCTGAGGAGAGCTGAGGAGAGTGGTGAGGAAAAGGAGCTCCCACACCAGTCCTTTTAAACCCAGGTGCAGTTGATGGAAATGACCACCAGAAGGCAGGGTTGGGTCACTTATGAGGGGAATCACTTTATGGTCTGTCAAATGCAGGCCCACCAGGGTAGCTGCGGTGGAGGCTGCCTCAATTCTAACCACCTTGGGCTGAGCCTGGGGGTGTCCTGTCTGCTAATCTGCCCAGGTCTGAGCTCAGCAGAATCCCTTAGTGTCAGGTTATCCAAAAGTGGATGTGCCCAGACTCTTCTCTGATTCCCGTCTGCAACTGAGGGTCACTGCAACATATTCAGACTCCAGTTCTGACGTCCCACCACAGGTCCTGCACCTGCATCGTGCCCCTTCCACTCACTCACCTGCACCTGTGGCAGAGCAATCGTAAATTACAGCATTTCCCGCCAAGCCTGGCCTGAGAATCTCTCTCAGCCTCTCATGACGGACCGTGGCTACCGACCGCTCAGTGACATCAGCGGCACCGTCATTCAGCAGATATTTCTGGTACCTCTATGTGCCAAGCACTGTTCTACTTGCCATCCCTTCCCCAGCCCAAGTCAGGCCCAACCAAGGATCAGTTTCTCTGACACGGACTGAAATTTCTTGGTCTCTCCAAATTCAGAATGAACCTGGGCTACTCTCTGCAAGGGTGCCCCCACACTTACGGGCTTACCCTGACAACAGGCATAAGATGAGAAGCCCCCCAACCTGAAATTCCCATACTATACTGTAGTTGGACCCTGCCATGCTCCCTTAGCCAAATTCAGAACAGTAACCACTCCCTCCCTGCCAAGTTGACTCATCTAACCTCAAATAACCCTCATAAGAGTCTGACCCAGAGCTGTGACAATACCCTAAATCAGACTCTTCTTCCTTCACCCTATTCCTACCAAGAAGTAAAGAAATACTCACAGAGGCTCCTCTTTCCACGACGGGTTAGATGTCAAACATCCTCTCCCTTCGAACATCCAAATGCTCTTGGAGTTGACAGACACATGCTGTGCCTGCGGGTTTGCATTTAAGAATGTTTTGAGAACGTTTGCTCCTGAAGGAAAAGAAGGGAAAATATTCTTGTAGGATTATGCAATTTTAGAGAAAGGGAAGCTGAGCAGGTCCTTGACATGAGCGCTACAGACTATTTTAAGAAAGGGGAGAGGAAGGATACAAGGAATCAAAAGGTTTAACACTGCTTAGATCAGAGAGATCACAAAATATTTGTGGGGGATTTATCACAAAGATGGAATTTAGCTGACTGAATGATATAAGATGCTGAAGATAGCAATGCAAGAAGAAAAGATTTCAGCCTGTTTCATCACTCCAGGAGAAAGGCAGAAACACACCAGAGAGGCTCGCAGTGGAGTGACCTTATGAGGCTGGGTCAAGCGAAGGCGTGAGGGCTGAGACCTGATCTCATTTATGTACCTATGACCAACTTTGCAGACATGGGGGGACTGGAAAGGAAATAATGGTTAACATGAGAGTTCAGGATCAGAAGACAAAGTGTTCAGCAGTCACCTGGTGGCCCAGCCACAGAGCCCAAAGGGAGCCACAGGCACATTAATGGGCCATGGAATCTATAAGAGGCAAACAGGGGCCCTATCTAAATATTTCTCAAGGTTGCCATGGGCTTGGCACAATGCCAATCATAATAATCCTAAATCGTAAAGAAAAAGTAACATGCTACTAACTGCACTCTGTTTAAGAGGATAGGAAACACAAAAGACCCCGCATTGTATGAGTCCATGTGAAATGCTCAGAATAGGCAAATCCACAGAGAAAGAAATAGATGAGTGGTTTCCAGAAGGTGAGAGAAGGGGAGAATGGGGAGTGAGTGCTTAATGAGTATGGAGTTTCTTTTGGGGGTGTTGAAATGCCCTAAAATTAGCTTGTGGTGATGATTGCACATCTCAGTGAATATACTGTCGTAAAACCACTGAACTTTTAATAGGTGAGTGTTAATGGCATGTGAAACATGTCTCCTCAAGCTGTAAAATAAAGAGGGGGGGGGGGGTATGTAATGCAGCTTCTAAATATCCCATTAGAAATTACTTCAAACCTCAACAACATAAAGGGATTAGATTCATTTACCTGGAGAATTCCCAGTGTGGGAAATTTCATTCTCAGGTAATGCTAGAAAAATGAGGTGTTTCTATATAATCGTCAGAGTTGAATTCAGTAAAGTAAAAAGATTACAGAAAGAAAATATAAAACATACCCCCAATTCCGTGGAAATGCAGATTCTTACAGATGGGACTCAGAAGATCACGTGGCCATTCAGATCTAATCTCTCATTTAATGGAAGAAAGAGCAGTCTAAAACAGCACAAAATATCTGAAAATAAAAATAGTCTCTTTGGTATCCCAGTTCATCCATGCCCCTCCCTAAAGTAAGCACTGTTTACAGTTTCTTGTGTGCCCTTCCATGAATGTTCTATTCACATACAGGTACCTACACACACACACACACACACACACACACACACACACACACACACACACTTCCCCTACAGTCCAGTCAGACTGAAGGTATAGGAGAAGAAATATATAAATTAATTTCAAAGAAGAGCTTCCTGAATATATGAGCAAGTCCTCAGAGTTACTCTAACTTTGTTTTTTTTTTTTTTTTTTTTTTGAGACAGAGTCTCGCTCTGTCGCCCAGACTAGAGTGCAGTGGCACGATCTCGGCTCACTGCAAGCTCCGCCCCCCAGGTTCACGCCATTCTCCTGCCTCAGCCTCCCGGGTAGCTGGGATTACAGGCGCCCGCCACCACGCCCAGCTAATTTTTTAATTTTTAGTAGAGACGGGGTTTCACCGTGTTAGCCAGGATGGTCTCGATCTCCTGACCTCATGATCCGCCTGCCTCGGCCTCCCAATACTCCAACATTTTTACATGGTGGAAGCACTTCCTTTTATTTAAACACACTCAGAAATGGGCAGGGAGTGGTGGAGCCTCACATGTTTAAGCCTGCAATCAGAGGTTGGCAACCTATTTGCACATGAGTGACTCTGAGTGACACACCACTGCTCCAGTCAATGGCCTAAAAAGATGTGCCATGCACACAGCTCCGTTTGAACCTGCAGCGGCACCTTCCACACTTTCCTCCAGACAAATACCAGCTCCTAGGTAACAAAATACATCTCTGTTTCTCCTATCCTAGGTTTATGTGGAAGCCCTCAAGTTATACTATGCGGGCGGTGGAAGACAGAGATGGTACTTGGAGGATTGCGGCCGACACGCACCGATGGAAGCTTCCATTTTCATGGGGGAAAATGCAGCCCTGGCAAGGTGCACAGGGAAGGTGGCCAAATCTGCGTACAGTGGCTAAGCAGTAAAGGTGCTGTCAAGAAAATCACTGTTGGGTACATTCAAGGGGGCAATGGTGACATAATCACAAGGTTCCGCTTCAAGATTGGCTTCCAATCAACTGTAAAGTGAAATATTCGTCTGGCAGGTAATGTGTAGCTCAATGCAAGAACAAGGCTATTGCCTTGAAATATGGTACTGAAATAGAAGGAATACGGTCTCCAACTTGCAAAGTCCCCTTGAAGATTCTTCACCCTCCGAGGTATTTTTAGTCATGGTAATTGTAGATGGTGGGCAAAGTGCTAGAGCCCTCAAAATAAGATGGCTCTTAAAAACGTAAGGTCAGCAAATGCCATCTCCGTAAGTCAAGCCTGCAAGAAGGATGGGATTAGCTGTCTACAGGGCAGCTTTCCAGAAGTAACCCGTCTTGCTTGAGTGATTTGGAGTGACCTTGCAGAGGAGATTGAAGTGTTTCTCTTGAGTATGTCATTAGCAAGCGGCAAAACAATCCAACACTTAGGAAACTGTGTGTTATGGTAACAAGAGTGCAAACGGCAAGGTAGTGGTCGTATGAGTATTTGCAAAGGGGAAGGTGGAAAATGAAAATCTATCAGCGTGTCACCAGGAGGTCCAACACCCACTACGATTCTGGATGACTGATCCTGACACTTTACATAAAAACAGGCTTACAGAGAAGGAGGTCCAGCCATCAGACCTTCAGAGCTTGATGGAAATTGCACATAAGGAGCTCCAACTTTTGGCTGGGCGCGGTGGCTCATGCCTGTAATCCCAGCACTTTGGGAGGCCGAGGCGGGAGGATCATCTGAGGTCAGGAGTTTGAGACCAGCCTAGCCAACATGGTGAAACCCCATCTCTACAAAAATACAAAAATTAGCTGGGCATGATGGCGGGTGCCTGTAATCCCAGCTACTGGGGAGGCTGAGGCAGAAGAATTGCACGAACCCAGGAGGCGGAGGTTGCTGTGAGCCGAGCCACTGCACTCCAGCCTGGGTGACAGAGCAAGACTCCGTCTCAAAAAAAAAAAAAAATCCAACTTTTGTTCTGTGCTCACCAAGCGACCTTCTGATATTGTTTACCACAAAGAGAATGTTCTGGAACAGAGTTTGGTTTCACTTCCTGGACCCAGAAGAGTTCCCTTAATAAACTAATAATCAACTGGAATTCTGGTAGAAAATTCAGTGCCTTGCGAGTTTGGTTAGTATGGACCAATTTCTGACCACTTGATTAATTCCAGATGCCCTAGTAAATCACATTCCTGAGCTCCAACCTATCATTCTTTCATCTAACATTTATTGAGCACCTACTGTCTACCAAGCACTATGGTAGGAACTGGTGAAAGCCAGATAAAGGACACAGCCTCTGCCCTCAGGGAGCTTTCAGACCAGTGTTGACCCAATCCTGGAGTGTGAGAAACATCACGCTTGTTATGGCTGAGCCTGAAAGGGACAATGAGCCTCCTCCACTGCTACTGAATCAGAACTTACTTTGCATTTACAGTCTATCCATGGGATCAGAAAATCAGTCAACCTTAGATTTGAAAGGAACCTCAGACATCACCTTACTTAGTGACTCTCAATGCTACCTACACATGACAATCACTGGGAGAGCTTTTAAAAAATACTGATGCTGGCCGGGCGCGGTGGCTCACGCCTGTAATCCCAGCGCTTTGGGAGGCTGAGGAGGGTGGATCACCTGAGGTCGGGAGTTCAAGACCAGCCTGACGAACATGGAGAAACCCCGTCTCTGCTAAAAATACAAAATTAGCTGGGCATAGTGGCGCAAGCTTGTAATCCCAGCTACTCGAGAGGCTGAGACAGGAGAATCGCTTGAACCCGGGAGGTGGAGGTTGCGGTGAGCCAAGACCATACCATTGCACTTCAGCCTGGGCAACAAGAGCAAAACTCTGTCTCAAAAAAAAAAAAAAAAATACTGATGCCTGGCCTAACCCTGTCCCTACCCTAAGTTGTTGATGAAATTGATTTGAAGAGGGCCCCCAGATGCCAGCATTTTTCATTATTTGTCCGGGTGATTCAAAGGTGAAGGCAGGGCTGAGAATCCCTGATCTAGTCCAATGCCTGCATTTTCCAGGGGCTAAACTGAGACCCAAGGAACTGAAAGAATGTGCCCAGAAAACATTCACTCACATAAATTCAGGGACTTATCTAGGACCCTAAGTCAGAGTGTGCTTTGCTTCAATCAGTGTCTCCCAGATCTAGTCATTTGAATACAGTCTTCCCAATACTGTCACAGCCACATGCATCTCTATGTACTTTTTAACTTATTTATTTATTTACTTGTTTTGAGACAGAGTCTCACTCTGTCACCTAGGCTAGAGTACAGTGGCGTGATCTCGGCTCACTGCAACCTCCGCCTCTGGGGTTCAAGTGATTCTCCTGCCTCAGCCTCCTGAGTAGCTGGTATTACAGGCGTGCGCCACCACGCCCAGCTAATTTTTGTATTTTTAGTGAAGATGGGGTTTCACCATGTTGGCCAGGCTGTTCTTGAATTCCTGACCTCAAGTGATCTACCCACCTTGGCCTCCCAAAGTGCTGGGATTACAAGTGTGAGCCACCACACCCGGCTTCTATGTACTTTTTTTAAAAAATGATTTTTAAAATGTAATGCTGTTTAGCCTTGTCTTCAGCAATAAAATCTGTAAAATACACCTTAAAATTAAGAACAATTAAGATGCGATGGACTTCGCAGTCGACCACCTTAGCTCCTGCTGTACATCACGCCTTGTGCATGTATCACACTTTAAAACACAGAAGACTGAGGTACTGGGAGTGCTGGGAAGACTTGGGGAAATTTAGGGCAGGTGTTGTAGACCTTTGTCCTGAGTTACTCACATGTAGGGCTGAAGAAGCTGCAGGTGACCACATGTACCAGGCAGCAGCTGAACCTCATGGAGTCTGTCAGTCCTCGGCAGCACTCAAATCCTCAAACGGGGATTAATGATGGAATTGGAGCGAGGAAGGAGGGGGTGACAACCGGAGGATTCATTTTACCTCTTCTGGAAAGGCTACAGGTCACCCTGTACCAACAGACTATTAAAATGAAGCTGCCTATCCATCACCTGGAATCTGCTGGTCCAAACACGCTGAAATTGATCTAGCAGGAGGGGAAAAATACCATTACAGAAGGCTCATAAAGTCACAGCACAGTAATGCAGCTTACACTAGAGGCCATCTTTCAGCCTGGGTTTAAAGATTCAGAATTTTAAATTTATTATTCTACTTACCAGGACTTATTTTCTTTTCTGAATAAGCTCATTAATCTTGATAGGTTGTTTAATATATTCTAAAGTGATACTCAATATTCTGAGAGAAAGGAGAGAAAAAAACAACGTATTCACCTGTCTCAGTTGAGCTTCAAGATAAGTTAGTTCTTTGAGTTTGAACAAATTCTCCATAATCAGGGCTTTAATTAAGAGGTTTCCCAGTTTTTAAATTTGGGAGAAAAGCGATGAAAGGAATTGGAGAATTTGTACTCTGGTAAAATGAGATGACCTGGAATCCTTATCTAAACCAACAAATCTAAAGAAAACCTAAGACCTTGTTCAATTCTCTTTTTCTCTCTCACTTTTATATTTAAAAAGACTGTTCAACCAACTAATTTCCTAGCAATTCCATTCCTAGGAAAGTCCCTTGGATGGATTCTGATTCCAGTGCACAAGAAGACATAAAGAAGGATGTTCAATGCTTAATTTTTTATAATAGAGAAAAATTAGAAGTACGTTGAATGTCCATCAACTGGATAAACAGGATAGATAAATTGTGGTAGAGTCATATATGAAATGCCATACAGCCATGAAAATGAATGAATAAGAGTTATATATGTCTCAAAAATTGATGAAAAGCAGCAAAAAATATATATATAAATATATATATTATATATATAAATATAAATTTTTTATATATAAATATATATATTATATATAAATATAAATGTTTATATATAAATATATAAAATATATTTTTATATATAAAAATATATTTAAAAATATAAAAATATATATAAAAATATAAAAAAATAAATATATATTTATATATATTTTTAATATATATAAAAATATATATATGTATATATGTATAGTGCCATACTATTTAGGTATAGTTTTAAAATATAAAACAATAGTGCCTAGTGCTTATGGACATAAACACATATAATAAAAGTGTAAAGCACTGGGCAGGAAGATACACACCAACTTTAGGGAGACAGTTGCTCCTGGATGAAGGCAGGAGATAAGTACAGTATTTTATTATTGCAATTATTTTAAAGATCTGAAGCAAATATGAAAAATGACATTTGTTAAATCTAGATGGTGGGTCATGGAGACTTATTAAATTATGTTTTCAAACTTTTCTGTCAGTTTGAAACTTCATAGTTGAAAAATAAAGTTATTTAAGCCATTGAAGCCACTGAGTCAAAAATATATACATGAATTCCTTGGGTAGAAATATCTGATTATGACAGAAAAGCCTGCCTTCTCCTATTGAGAGACAAATGCAAAACTCAATGTTTCTTAGGGATGCAGACACAAAGAAAATTGGCAGAAGGAATTTGCTAAGTTGTTAATAAAATAAAGCCCAAGGGCCAAACACGATGGCTCATGCCTGTAATCCCAGCACTTTGGGATGCCAAGCTGGGAGGATCGCTTGAGCCCAGGAGTTCGAGGCTGCAGTGAGCTATGATCGCACCATTGCACTCCAGCCTGGGTGACAGAATGAGACCTTGTCTTTTTTTTTTTCTTTTTTTTTTTAAGTTCAACTAAAAATTTTATATAATTTAAAAAATAGTGAGATAAAAGTATTCCACTTCATGAAACAGCCTTGCTTTTTAAAAACACATCGCAAAATAATTCTTTTAACTTTCTTTCTTTCTTGAATTTGCTTAAAAAGTTAAAAAAGTAATAGGTATTCATTTAACAAGTCAGGCAATACAGAGACAGTTAAAGAAGACTATATCGCATCTCTCATTTCAATTCCAACCCCAACCCCCAAGTTAACCTAGATCAACAATTGGACATGTATCTTTTGGTCCCTTTCTTTAAAAAATGTCTAAAATAGTTTTGCAAAATTTTTCAAACCAATTCAATTTTTTGTTGGATGTTAAATATTTAATTATTAATAATTATTAATTAATAATAATTAATTATTAATAATTAATTATATTTTTTAGACAGAGTCTCACTCTCTCATCCAGGCTGGAGTGCAATGGTGCATTTGGGGTTCACTGCAGTCTCAACTTCCTGGGATCAAGTGATCCTCCTGCCTCGGCCTCCTGAGTAGTTGGGATTAAAGGCACAAGGTACCACGCCTGACTAATTTTTTTTCTGCTTTTTATAGAGATAGAGTCTTGCTATGTTGCCCAGGCTGGCCTCCAACTCCTGGCCTCAAGCGATCTTCTCATCTTGGCCTCCCAAAGTGCTGAGATTACAGGCGTGAGCCACTGCACCTGGCCAATTCAATTTTTATAATTAAAAATCATTATTTTTTTCATGACCAAAGCAATCCATAGTTGTCATAGAAATATATAGAAAATCCAAGTGAGTAAAACCAAGGTAAAATAAAAATATGTAAATGGGCATGCCTTTTAATTCATGGCTTCGGTAAAATACATATTTAAATCCTGAATCAAAGATTTAGGACAAATGCCACTTGCTAGCACACAGGTGGCTAGCTTCATTTACAGCAGTTGCTTAATGATCCCCCAGGGGAGTCAGGCAGAATGGCGCCACTTTAGGAGGGGTGTAATTTGTGTTGCTAAATCACTACTCATACCCTGAGGTTTAAAGAAGGGTGCCATCCTGGTCCCCTAGAGTACAGCAGAGGGTGCAGGCCGAGAAAGGATGTTCCACTCCCTTCCGCCAGCCTGCAGGACTGCCGTGGCTCTTCATGTCCCCCTTTGGTTTTCCTTACTCCTCCCCACCCTCCTGTCACTGTCCTCCTGTTCTTCTCTTCACCACCTCCCTCCCCCTCCTCCTTCTCTTTCTCCAACTGGCAAAGGAAGTGTCCATGTCACTCCCCTCTAGGGTAACTGGAGCCCTTCAGCTGTTTGGGTGCCTGTTTGAAAGGACATCTCAGCATCACCCAGGGCTCCCGGGACAGCCAACCTCCCAGAAGGCTTCATCTGTCAGAGCAGGAGCTTACTTAGAATTCCTTACAAGAACACTGCAAGAGCAATTAAAATAAGTTATCTTAGGTGATGAAAAAAAAATATCTCCAGAGGAGCCTCAGTCCCTTCCTGAGACTTCCATCTCAAAATAAAACTTCGCCCTATACCAGTTTGGGGGTGGGGGTGGGCACTCACCATGCAGACCTGGAGGGTGAGCAGGGAGAAAGCTGCAAGGAAAAGATGAAAAGGCAGCACTATTACTCCAGAAAGAGGGTGGTAAGGCAGATTTAGGGAACAGGAGAAGAGTGTGAACATCTTAGGCAAGAACTGCGTTAGCCTTCACCTGCCAAGAGCTTCAGAGACTGGGGGTGGGACTGGCCTGGGTGAGTGAATGGTCTTTTCTCTTTTCTCTCTTTTCTTTCCTCCATGCCTTTATTTCTTTCTTTTGCACTTCTGCTCAATCTTAAACCCCTTCTCCAAAACAGGTTATTTGGAAATAAATTAGCATCACCAGCCTTGCCCCGAGCTATTTGGATAGGCTTCCGCAGGACAACTACTGGTGTAAAACGTCAACAACTCCCATAGAAAGTGCAACACCAAGAGTGAACCCTAGTGTACACTGCGGACGAAGGGCGATAATGATGTGTCAATGGACTATAACAAATGTACCACGTGGTGTGGGATGTTGATAGTCGGGGAGGCTATGCTGTGTATGAAGGCAGGGAGTATATGGGAAATCTCTGTACTTTCCACTAAGTTTTGCTATAAACCTAAAGTTGCTCTAAAAAATAAAGTGCATTAAAATATTTTTAAATTTCAAAAAAATTTTTTTGTAGAGATAGGATCTCGCCATGTTGCCTAGGTTGCTCTTGGACTCCTGGCCTCAAGCGATCCTCCCACCTTGGCCTCCCAGAGTGCTGGGATTAAAACATTTTTTTTAAAGTCAACCACCACTGCCAGGAGACAGAAATACACACCATTCCCACTTGTACAATGCAGCTATTAAATAAACAAAGACATTAAGGGGAAAGAAACAAGGACTTTCAAGACAGTCCCCAGGGTCTAATATCAGTAGGCACCTAGTAATCGATGTGGGGACAAGGAGCCTTGGCTGGGGGCCACGTGCCCTTGCCTGGTGCCAGGATCCTTTGGCATTATCATTTTACACAGGGAGATGCAAGAATGTCTTTATAATCCAAGGCTTGGGCTCTCCCTCCTTGATCCCCATGGGGTAAGAAATCTGAGGACAGAATGAGCCTGCCAGCCATGTCCTCCTGACATTGCAAATCTGGCCAAGGGATGGGGCTGAACTTGCAAATCCCTCCGGGGCTATTCTCAGAAACCAAGTGATGGGGAAACCTGACCTCAGCTGATCTACCTGATATGCTGGGTTTCTCTACTGACCCTGACCAAGGTAATGTTATTATCAATCATACGTTATTCATCAGATATTATCAATCATGTATTATTACAAACTCAGCATCTGTTGATTACTTACCGTGGGCCAGTCACAATACTGAGTCCTTCACATACATTCTTTTACTTGCTCCTTTTGCTCCTACTTAAGACATAGGTGCCATACTTATCCCTATTTAACAGATAATGAGCCTGAGTGAGGACTGAGGTTTGGAGAGAGTAAATAATTTGCTAAAACCACAAATATTAAGGTTTGGAGCTCAGAAAGTCACTCAAGTCTTCCATGCACCAAGGTCCACACTCTTCCTTCCTACATCCCTCTCTTGGGGTTTCAATGTTGTTATAGCTGTAACAATGAGTGGGAGGGAGAGCCCTTTAGGTTTTACTGGTCAGTTGCGTCTGTTTCATAGTGTCCACAACTGGATTAGCTGAAGACCCTTGACTCCCACCTCTACGTATCTCTCCAGATTCTTCTGGGTTCACTCTCCCTGCCATACCCTATACAGCAGCCACCCTGGACCACTGACTCTTCTCCAGACTTATCGAGCTTTCCTACCACTCCATGTGGTATCTGGTGCTCATGTGGTTCTACCTTCTGGGAATGCTCTTTCTCCATTCCCTGTCCACAAATCCGTCTTTCAAGAATAAATTGCAATGTTGTCTCCTCTTCAGGGAAACCTTTCCTACCCTTGCAAGAATTACTTTTCGTGTCCCCACTGTGTTCCTGCCACACTGTGAGACACTCTCAAATCTAGCTCCTAACATATTGCTGTTTGCTACCTTTTTTATTCATGAGTCCTTCCCACTAGACTCTGTGGGGGCAACAGTTGTCTACCTTATCTTACTCACTTTCATAGTGATTAAGTACCAGTCCTATCATACTAAATGCATCTTGGAGGCTCAAAATATCTATTGTCCTATCTATTGTATGAGTGAATGTGTAAAATGAGCTTTAATTAGGAAGTATAATGAGGACTTTCGAGATGAATGGTAGCATAGGATTTAGTTTGCATTTGCAGAGTCTATGGCTCACAGCAATTGGCTCAGAGTCACACTACCCAAAGCATGAAATAATAAACGGGGAAAGCTAAATTAAAACCAGTGTAAGTGCATTGAGCAAACATTTAGCATTAGATTGGAACCTCCTAACTGAATTTTTATGTGGTCCAAGATGGAAGGTTTGTCATGAAAACTGGCTATGGTGACACGTAGGATTTAATAGGAAGATTTTTATTCAGAAGGATTTAAGGAGACTTTCCCCGTCTATTGACTTCCAATAGTCAAATATTTCTTTTTGGGACCACGTGAAAAAGACAGGATATCACTTATTCTGGAAATTAGTAGAAACCAAATAGCAATGAGTTCTATTTTAACTGCTTGGCAAATAATACTCCTTCCTAATGTGCCCCCATGTAGCTATGAGAGACTTCCCAGTTCATTCCAGACTGGGTTCTACACCAGCCAGAGAAACCACAGACTGTGTTTGCACAACGGTCCGTTGGTTGCCTGGCGTAGAAGCCATCTGGACCGTGGGTCCTGGGATGTAGGAGACCCTCTGATGTTACCGACTGGCCAGTGCTTTGGGGGTGTGACTTGTGAAGCAGGAAATATTTGGGGAATTTAGCCCCCAAACTGGACTCCAATTCAATTGGCAAACAGGTGTGTCAAATGATTAGGTCCATCACTAACATGTCTGTCTAAGCTCAAACTCTATCTGAAGCATTGCCCACTCAGATAGTAATTGTGAGGTGGTAACGGGATAAGCCAGAAGGTGTGGACCCTACCATTTCATCCCAACTCTTCTTCCCACCTTCATCAGCTACATATTATTGTACACACAATATGAAACTCTGGCCACCACCAGGTCATGGATGGACCTGACACTTAAATTCAACTGGTAAAAACAACAGGGTTGTGTTAATAAATGCTGTTGGGCAAAAATAAAACTTAGCTCTGAAGTTCCCTGACTGGTTGTTAACAAATGGAAGTTCTCTGCACATGTATTCAGCTCTGGACTGCCATCAGCAGTGCTAACAGCAGCAGAGTGCTGAGAATGAGGATCCTTTTTAGGAACTATCACTTGCAAAGCATCTACTTTTTGCTGTTTAGGAAAAATTTGGCCTCTTCGTAGGGTGAACTGGTTTGTCTTGGTTTCATTGGAAGGAGAGCATCGCAGTGCTTTTTCCATATTGGCCTCAGTTTCTCTATTTGAACACGGCGGTCCCAATCTTTACTCTTTAATAATTCCATATTCTAATCCACTGCCATAACACTGAAAGAAGAAATTAAACATTTCAAAAATGTAAACATTTCAAAAAAAAAAGTAGTTTTTTTTGTTTTTTGTTTTGAGATGGAGTTTTGCTCTTGTTGCCCAGGCTGGAGTGCAATGGCAGGATCTTGGCTCACTGCAACCTCCGCCTCTTGAGTTCAAGCGATTCTCCTGCCTCATCCTCCTGAGCAGCTGGGATTACAGGCACCTGTCACTACGCCCAGCTAATTTTTGAATTTTTAGTAGAGATGGGATTTTGCCATGTTGGCCAAGCTGGCCTCAAACTCCTGACCTCAGGTGATCAACCTGCCTTGGCCTTCCAAAGTACTGGGATTGCAGGCGTGAGCCACCATGCTCGGCCTACAGTAGTTTTAAGCTTCTTTCGTTGCCACTGAAAACCAAAGTAGGCATGAAGTTTCAACTCTCTTTTTTGTTTTGAGGAGGTGGGGATGTTTTGTGGAGGTTCATGACTTTAAGAAACCTTTTGATTCTATTCTTTATTAAAACTGATACTCTTGAAAAGTGATCTTACCACATTATTGCTTCTATGAATGGACAGTCTCTTCCATACGCTAAAAACACCATGCCAGTAGGGATTACTTTGAATGAGTTTAACACAGGCTTCTCCATGGGAGAATGCAAGAGAAGAGCCAGATGGGAGCCCTGGAATTAGTACAACAATAAACTCGGCAGCAGGAGAGGTAAAAGAGGGCCCGCTAACATGATGGAATGCTTTATCTACATTCCAAAAGCTTAAAAGAGGTGCCAGCCTTGGAAATCCCACAGTGGCGAGGACAGGGACTGGTCACACTGCATTCCCACTGTTGCATGGGTAAAGTTTAATATACAATGACTTCTGGCTTCCTGCCTGCTGAGCCATGCTGTAGGAATTGTCTGAAATTACTGAGCTGCTTCCAAAAGTTCCAACCATTTCCTATATGCGATTGCACTTAACTGTACAACGTTCCTCCGGAAGGGAAGTGCCCTGTTCTTACTTCATTCAATGAATGGTGACACCAAACCTTGGAGACAGATATTTGAGAGAAGCTGGCTCAGCACAGACTAGCATGTAGGAGATGATGGAGTTATTTTGTCCATTCTGGTTCTGCTGCAAAACTGCTGTCGGATCAGAGATAAGGCATTCAGTTACTCAGTGAAAATCCATCCACACATTCATCAATTTGAGTGCCTATAAGTGCTATTACTGGGCTGGGTCATGGAAGGAAGACAGGCATGAAAGCTATCCTTATGGAGCTAAGAGTCTTGCAGCTGATTGCTTTATTATGTGCTAGATGATGTAAGAGAAATACAGACATCTTTTAAAAAAATCCTTTGCCATCTAGGAAACCTATGATCACCCACATGCCAAGCTCCTTCCTACCCCAGGGCCTCTGCACTTGCTGTTCCTTCTACCTGGAAGGCTCTTTCCCCTCATTTTTGCATGACTGACACCTTCTATCATACACATTTCAAGTCAAATGTGTTCTTCTCAAGAGATCTTCACTGAGCAGCCTCTCTCCTCCTTAGTCGCTTTATCACATCATCTTGCTTCATTTTCTTCACTCTTTGGAATCATTGAATTTGTGTACAGTACTTATTTGACCTGCCTCACATATTTGAAGACAAGCTCCATGAGAACAAAACTTGTTCATATCACCGGAACCAGAAGAATGCCTGGAATATAGTAAGTGCTCAACATACATATACTGAGGGCAGGTACAATACCACCTTTCATAGAGAAGTACCTTATGAGCACAACAGACAAGGTTTTGCAAACATGCAAAGGAGACTCAGCACTGTTGATGGGGTTGACTTGCGAATGAAAATCTAGATTTTTCAGAAATGTCAGAAATTTCTGAAAAATCTAGATTTGGATCTGGATGATAGCGAATAAAATAAATGAACTGGTAGGGGCCATATGAGGGCAAGTTAGCAGAGCATGAGTAAAGACTCAGAAGAAGAAAGGGATTTTCATAAGGGAAAGGATGCCAGTGTGGCTGGGAGCAATAGTTTATGGGAGAAAGCAATGAGAGATGAACCTGTAAAGAGAGGTTGGACCAGCTCATGAAGGGGCAGGCTTCAATGCCAGCTGCAGAAATTATTATTCCAGATGGGAAAAGACTCAAGAATATCCAGTTGCATCCCTACTGAATAAAATCCATGGTGTTTTTTTTTAAAGGAATGACCATCCAAATTTCTCAGATAACATATAATATTTAGACCTGTCTTTTCCTACTTAGAATGTAAGTGCATCCATGGGAGGCTAGAGAAAGGAGAAATAAATCCACCTGTAGTCAACTTGTCCAGAGCTCTCTCAAACCTGCTACAGGGTGAGCAGCAATGAGGTCCTGGGTGGGCACAGAGAGATGAGGTCGACAGTGTGTGCAAGGCATCCATGGAAATGGCAGGCACATCACATTTAATCAGACTTACTACCTAAGAACCATAAATCTATTGGCAGCTCTGGGACTTAATAAAAAGTAGATTACCAAGGAGTTTCACTTTTATGAGAACTGGCTTTGCCATTTAAGACAGTTTAAAGTAGACGAAAATAAGGCAAATAAAAACCTTTGTTCTGCCACCATTTTGGAATAACAGAATATCGATTAAAAATCTAACAGTGGAAAGATAATCTTTTCTTGCTATTTTCTTCTTCTTTTAATATATAAGCCAAGTGGAAAACACTGAAAAGGGTCTGTGTGCATGGGGAGAATGACACTGCAGAACTTAAAAACAGAACCTGATGATGCCTAAGAGCACATGTGTAACACTTGAAGCTTCCTTGACATAGATCAGCTTCTGTTTGCAGCTCAGCAAACCATATGCTATATTCACTCACTCCTCAAGGATCATCTGCTCCTTTCCAAGTATTAAGATGTCAGCGAAAATCTACCTTCTGGTGAAATTTAATCTGCAGGAGAAGAGCTGCTGATGCTCATAAAAATAGCTGTCAGATGTTATGACTCCTCTGAGACACATACGACAAAGAAGGGGTCATGGAGCCCAGGACAGAAGAGTAAAACCACTTAGAACCCTTGAAGGCTGAGCAGCCCAGAAGCTCTCAACCTGGGGTCAGGAAGCCCTAAGGGGTCTATGAATGGGCTTCAGGTTATCTAGAAATTCCTTCAAATTGAACAAACATATTGTGCCTTTGTGGGGGAGGGGAAACTTTTGTCAGATTCTCAGAGCTTCATGACCAAAAATTATTAAGTATACCATAATATATCATCAATCTAGTATATTATTTCCACAGAAATTTTTTTCACACCCCAAAATTATTTTTTATTGCTCAAAAAATTCTTGGATAATAATCTTAGCAGAAATTTTAAAATTATAGATAAGGCTGAAGTCTCTTTGTCCACACCTCCATTCCGGATGTTTCCCCCACCACATTTCACGTAGACCATAAATTGTATTTGATCCATGTGTGTGCAACTTGCCTTTGCATTTCACAAGGTCTTGGGGGCAGTTCTACACGTGCACATGTAGAGCCACCTCATCCTTGTCACTTGCTGCTTGGACTCTATAGTAAGGCTGGCCTCAGTATACTCAGGCATTCCTCTAGTGATGGACACTTGGGCTGTTTCCCACTGCAAAAACAGCATGATGCATATGAATATCTTTTATTCATCATTTTATGCACTAGTACAAGTGTGTGCGTGCATGTGGTTTTTGTTTGTTTTGCTGTTGTTTTTGAGATAGCATCTTACTCTGTGGTCTAGGTTGGAGTGCAATGGCACAATCTCGGCTCACTGCAACCACTGCCTGCCGAGTTCAAGCAATTCTCCCACTTCAGCATCCCAAGTAGCTGGGACTATAGGTGCGTGCCACCACACTTGGCTAATTTCTGTATTTTTTGGTAGAGACAGGGTTTCACCATGTTGGCCAGGCTGATCTGGAACTCCTGACCTCAAGTGATCTGCCCGCCTCAATCTCCCAAAGTCTTGGGATTATGGGTGGTATAAGTGTTTCTTTAGCAGGGAGGCCAAGGAGGGAATTGCCTGGTCCTGGGATATACATATGTGTAATCTGTAATTCAACTGACAAATTCTCTCTAAGGTTGTTATAGTGGTGGTGGTTTACCCCTCCACTAGTCGTATATAAAATGTTTTCCTGTCTCCTACTGTCACACTGGATATTATCGATCATTTCAAGTTTTGCCAGTCTGAAAGATTAAAAAGTGTATCTCATTGTTACTTTTTTTTTTTTTTGAGACAGAGTCTCACTCTGTCGCCTAAGATGGAGTACAGTGGCAAGACCTCAGCTCACTGCAACCTCCACCTCCCAGGTTCAAGCGATTCTCCTGCCTCAGCCTCCTGAGTAGCTGGGATTACAGGCATGCACCACCATGCCTGGCTAATTTTTTTTTTTTTTTTTTTTTTGAGATGGAGTCTCCCTCTGTTGCCCAGGCTGGAGTGCAGTGGTGCTATCTCAGCTCACTGCAAGCTCTGCCTCCCAGGTTCAAACCATTCTCCTGCCTCAGCCTCCCAAGTAGCTGAGACTACAGGAGCCCGCCACCATGCCTGGCTAATTTTTTGTATTTTTAGTAGAGATGGGGTTTCACCATGTTGGTCAGGCTGGTCTCGAACTCCCGACCTCAGGTGATCCACATGCCTCGGCCTCCCAAAGTGCTGGGATTACAGGCATGAGCCACCGCACTGGCCCTCATTGTTACTTTCCATTGTATTTCCCTAAAAGTGGTTGAACATCTTTGCATATGTTTATTGGCTATTTGTTTTTCCTTTTCAATGAATTGCCTGTTCTGAGAGCAGTGGTTCTCAAACCTTACTGTACAACAAAATCATCCAGAGAGTTTAAGATAGAGTTTCTGGGCCCCACCTTCAGGGTTTCTGATTCAGTGAGTCTTGGGTGAAGTGCATGAGTTTTCATTTCTATTATGTTCCCAAGTGATACTAATGCTGGTGGTCCAAGAACCAGACTTAAAAACCACTGAACTAAAGAAACCACTTGATCCGTGTACCTCTCTGTGGTTTTAGCTCAGTGGTTCTCAACCCTGGTTGCACATTAGAATCACCTGGAAAGCTTTATAATGGTACTGGTACCTGAGTCCCACCCAAAACTAATTATGTCCAATGCCCTTCCCGTCCATAGTTTGTTTGTTTGTTTGTTTGTTTTTGAGATGGAGTCTCACTCTGTCACCCAGGCTGGAGTGCAATAGCACAATCTCGGCTCACTGCAACCTCTGCCTCCCGGATCCAAGTGATTCTCCTGCCTCAGCCTCCCAAGTAGCTAGGATTATAGGCATCCACCACCATGCCCGGCTAATTTTGTATTTTTAGTAGAGACAGGATTTCACCATGTGGCCAGGCTGGTCTCGAACTCCTGACCTCCGGTAATCCCCCTGCCTCAGCCTTCCAAAGCCTTCCATAGTTTTTTAAGCTCCCCAGGTGGAACCAATGTTCAGCTAGGACTGAGAACTATCACTAGCTGATACTAGTTGCCTTGAAGGAGGGCAAAGTTCTTCGTTCTGTTTCCTCCTCCCTTGCAGCATATCATAGATGTACAATGCTTGGCTGGGGCCATCTCAAAACATTCTTGCCCTGTATTTTACCCAGAGGTGTAATCCTGTGAATTTACAGCAAATAACTTATATTTGTTCAAAATGTTTATTATGTGTTCTGTTTGGGGACAACCCAACATGATAGGCCTTTAGACCTGGCCTCTTATCCCGATTCTGCAATTACCAGCTGCATAACACATATGCTAGTGACTAAACTTCCATTTGTTCACCTATAAAATGGAATTCATTAAAGCTACCTGATAGGCTCATGTAAATAAAATGAGGTATACTAGGTGCTACAGACAGTGTGTAGCCCAGCAGGAATTCAACAAATCGACACTTGGATCCCTTCCCATTTTGTGACTCGTTTGAGATAAAAATCTGGTTTCTGGATCGCCTCCTCACAAATGGCACAATTCTACTTTCGCTCATTTTGAAGAGCAATTGCATGTCTTTTTCAGGTCTCCAACCAACATCTTCATACTACTCTTAAAACTTAATTACCTAGGCAGCTTCACTTTTACCTAACTGGACAGGAATACACTTAGAAAGACAGGCTGCAGGCTGGGCATGATGGGCTCATACATGTAATCCCAGCACTTTGGGAGGCCAAAGCGGGCAGATCACAAGGTCAGGAGTTCGAGACCAGCCTGGCCAATATGGGGAAACCCTGTCTCTACTAAAAATACAAAAATTAGCCAGGTGTGGTGGTGGGCACCGGTAGTCCCAGCTACTCAGGAGGCTGAGGCAGGAGAATCGCTTGAACCCAGGAGGCGGAGATTGCAGTGAGCTGAGATTGTGCCACTGCACTCCAGCCTGGGCAACAGAGTGAGACTCCATCTCCAAAAAAAAACTGTGGTATGGAATGATAAAGGATAATTAATCAACATTATTGAGTTTCTATTACATGCAAGGCTCTGAAGGAGTTCCAAGAAGGACACCAATCCCATCCTCAATAACTTGTAATGAATTTAGGGAGACTCAAAACTTAAACACAACCAACAAAGTCAGTTGGCTACAATGGTAAGTTATAACAAACTCTAATGAGTTCCAGCAAGCCGAAGAGAAAGGTCCCTTAGAGTGGGATGGTCAGGAAAATATTTAAAGATTTTGAAGAAAAAGCAGAATGTTGCTAGGTAGAGAGAAGAAAGGTGTTTCTGTTGAGACATGTGAAGTAATCAACACCAAAGTAACTGAGTTACTGAGTACTTTGCAGGGCAAGGGGTAATCCAGAGGGATAACCAGATACACTCATGAAGCGGGTGGTGAGAAGCAGAGCTGAGCAGACAGAGCATGAGAACAGCTTGTGGAAGGTCTAGAAGACCAGGGAGGGCATTTGGGTGTCATTTGATACATTGGATTTTTGATAGGCGTTACTTTGTTTTCCTGAGATTAAAGACAAACATGATTAAATTGTTTTTTTTTCATTTTATTATTTGCATTTGTTTTTTAAGTTTAATTTTTTGATGGCTACACTTGTGTAGCCCAAAACAAAAAAGGAATTATAGTAAAGAGTCCCCTCCCACCCCGTCCCTCAGCCACCTAATTCTGTTTTTTGGAGTCACTGGTGTTACCAGCTTTTTATATATCCTTCAAGTGGGCTTTCCCACATGAATACAGTCAATTATCATTATTTGCAGTAGTTCTATAAAATTACTGTGGATGCTGAATTAGTGAATACAGAGCCATTGCTCCTAGGGGAAATACAGGGTTCGGTTCCTGTGAGCCTCTGGTCACATTTTCATCACCTGACCAATACATAACTTTGTTTCATGTGTGTTTCTATTTAAAGACACCTGATTATTTAAAGACAGTTATATATTGTTTATTTATTAACATTGAACTCGTGGCCAATAGCACTGTAACCCATGCCTGAATGTAGCTTGTCTAACATATGTATTTCCTCCACAAGACACATCACAGCCTTCTTGCACTTAGGGACACTGGGCAGAGCTTCAGCACTACACTTGGGAGCCATTTGTAAGTCACCAACAAAATGCACAAAAATGCAAAAAAAAAAAAAAAAAGTAGTACTAAATAGACCACAAAAAGGACACGTGTTTATACCATGAGAGCCAAAACAAGAAGGCCAAATGCCACCTTGTTTGACCTAAGCTGAGAACATGCAGGTTTGTTCACTCAAATTCTTCTCCATCTTGCACATGTCCTCAGATGATCACAGAAGTGTGCAAGTATTGATTTGGAGGTTATGAATAAATTCTGGCAACTAGATGAATTCACAAATATGAAATCCTCAAAGGATGAGGATCAACTCTATATGCCAGTCATTTGAAAGAGATCATTTGTCCCCAGTTTCACATAATGATGAAGGTTATGATTAAGAAAGGTGGATGATAAGCATGATGAGGGTGAAGTGACATGGGTAGGAGCACACCCCACCTTTGGAGCACAGAGCTCTGGAAAGGAGGACAATGACATTGGTTCTGCTGTTGGGTCACCAGGAAGAGTGACTGTATTGCCAGGATGGGAGGCAGGGGCCATGATAGGCACTGCCTAGGGCAGAAATTCTCAACTTGGGGGCAATTCCACCCCCCTGCCCCTCCAGGGGACATTCTGCAATGTCTGTAGATATGTTTGATTGTCACATCTCAGGGGAAGGGGGTGCCACTGAGAGGAAAGGCCAGGGATGCTACTAACATCCTACAACGCACAGGTCCACCTCCTACAACTTGTCAATAGTATCAAAGTTGAGAAGCCCTGGAAGAGGCAGAGTAAACAAAGTAGTTTTGATCTTCCTCTTCCAGGGCTTCTTGTTCAACATGCGTTTAAAATATATTGAAATATATTTCAATTGTTACTTCTAGTCAATTTGCTGAGAGGTTATTATTCATGTAACTCAGGACTTATAGTTCAGGGTTTGACATATGAATGGCAATCAAAACACACGTACACAGGAATTAACTTTCCGGATTCACACTTTCTGTTGCACTTTCTGCATTTCACTTTGCACTGCTGACTCAATAGATTTCCTTATTTTATCACCATGTCCTCAAAACTGTCACTAACAATGATGCTGAAAGAAGTTGACATGAGTTCATTTAGCGCAATCTGAAACTTCACATGCATGCTACTGATCCCACCTCTAGACCAGCAGAAGTAAGAGATAAGACTGTGGTTTTTTTTTCCCACACTGGTATTTACCTTAGGACAGCATCAAATGTCTAAGTGATAAAGATACCACAACTGATTACTCACTTAAAAGGATGCATTAATAGTGCGTACATAAGAAACAATATGTTAGGAGATAAAACCATTCTAGAAAACACTATTCTTATTTTCTTATGAGAAATTCCCAGAGTTTTAAAAATAATTTTCTCTGCCTTAAATGTGAATTAAGTGAAAATTTAACTATGAATCTTGGACATCGGACTAGGAAGCATGCTATATTGTGATATGAATCACCTGGGGATCTTGTTAAATGCAGATTTTGATTTAGTAGCCTGTGGCATGGCCCAAAATTCTGCATTTCTAATAAACTCCCAGCTGGTGCTGATGCTGCTGGCCCATGGACCTCTGAGTACCACCCGATCGTAGAGGATTCTAAGTAGCACTTTGTCAGAATTTGTCACTGTTTTATAGTCACAGAGTTATAGTCTCTGGTATTTATAAATCCCTTCCATTCCCTCATTTTTTTCTTTATGTGATGAGATAGAAATCTTGAGCCTTTGCTCCTTTGAGGATCTAGAAAAAAGAAACATTTATATGAGCTGAAAACGAATAGAGGATGTTTATAGATAATAATCATTAGCTACTTTTTATTTTTATTTGTTTTGAGACAGAGTCTCACTCTGTCACCCAGGCTGGAGTGCAGTGTTACGATCTCAGCTCACTGTAACCTCCATCTCCCAGGTTCAAGCAATTCTCCTGCCTCACCCTCCTGGGTAGCTGGGATTACAGGTGCCCACCACCACTCCCGGCCAATTTTTGTATTTTTAACTAGAGACAAGGTTTTACCATGTTGGCCAGGCTGGTCTCAAACCCCTGACCTCAGGTGAGCTGCTCACCTCAGCCTCCCAAAGTGCGGGATTACAGGCGTGAGCCACTGCACCCAGCCCATTAGGTACCTATTTTGACTTGAAAAATATTCCTTGTTCAAAATAAATGTCAAAAATTTGATGTAGTGAAAAACTCACTGGAGCAGGAATTAGTAGAAACAGGTACCATTCTATGTCTCTGGGTCACCTTGGAGAGTTGGGTAGCCTCTGTAGGTCCCAGTGTGAAGCGTATGAGGTCCTTCTACATTCTGAAAGACCTCAGCTGTAAGGGGAGAAAAACTTGGAAAGGATAGCAGGAAGGGGCACACAGGACTCTTTGAGGGCAAATACCTTTGCTGGGTGTTTCTTAAACTAGCTGGAGGATACCACGTGTTTATGTTATTATGATTTAAACAACACATATATTCTATATATGTTCTTTGGCATGTATGAATAGTTCATAATACCAACACTTATTTCAAAAGTCAATTGGTGGGCTGGGCACGGTGGCTCACGCCTGTAATCTCAGCACTTTGGGAGGCCAAGGCAGGTGGATCACCTGAGGTCAGGCATTCGAGGCCAGCCTGGCCAACATGGCAAAACCCCATCTCTACTGAAAATACAAAAATTAGCCGGGCGTGGTGGCAGGCACCTGTAATCCCAGCTACTTGGGAGGCTGAGGCAGGAGAATCGCTTGAACTTGGGAGGTGGACGTTGCAGTGAGCTGAGATTGTGCCACTGCACTCCAGCCTGGGGCAGCAAGAGCGAAACTCCATCTCAATAAATAAATAAATAAATAAATGTCAATTGGTGATTCTGTTTTTAGGTTAATGTCTTATTTAATCTGTAAATAGGTCCAGTTGAAATTTCCTATAGAATGTTGATATTTGCCAAACATGTACCTCAGGACATAAGCCTCCGAAGGGGCACTGAAATATCTGTATAAATATATATGTGAGGCCAGGTGCAGTGGCTCATGCCTGTAATCCCAGCACTTTGGGAGGCCGAGGCAGGCAGATCACGAGGTCAGGAGGCTGAGACCATCCTGGCTAACACGGTGAAACCCCGCCTCTACTAAAAATACAAAAATTAGCCGAGCGTGGTGGCGGGCACCTGCAGTCCCAGCTACTCGGGAGGCTGAGGCAGGAGAATGGTGTGAACCCGGGAGGCGGAGCTTGCAGTGAGCCTAGATCCTGCCACTGCACTCCAGCCTGGAAAATAGAGTGAGACTCCATTTCAAAAAAAACAAAAAAACAAAAATATATATATATATGAAAGATATTAGACATTGCAATGTAGCTAATTATCTGCCTATAAATGTAGAATGCAAATCACAATTGAGAGAGATTTGGAATGGAGAACTTCATAGACCTGCAAGGCAGTCCAGCCCTGCCTTAGGGGTCGTGGCTTCAGTGGGGTCCCAATGTAGGCAGAGATTGCATAAATGAGTCCGATGCACAGAATTTTGGGGAGCTTTTCTTACAAAACGACATCTGTTGGCACCCTGGAAACAAGAAATGGGTGTTTCAAGTACACATTTAAGGAGTAAACTTTGACACAGTTTTATACAGGTTATGACCAAGTTCTTATTTCATGTTCCATTCTCAATTACATCCTTTCCCATCACCATAACCACCAGCAAAACAAATAGTAGGGATATTGGAAAAGAAAAGGGCAGTGAGTTTGTAAAACAACCTATGCTCCCTGGTTTGGAAGTGCCTGGTTTTGGATTCTTTTGTTGTTTTTGTTTGAGACAGGGTCTCACTCTGTCACCCAGGCTGGAGTGCAGTGGTGCAACCACAGCTCACTGCAGCCTCAACCTCCTGGGCTCAAGCGATCCTCTCGCCTCAGCCTCCCAAGTAGCTGGGATCACAGGTGCGTGCCACCACACCTGGCTAATTTTTTTGTATTTTTCATAGAGACAGAGTTTCACCACGTTGCTCAAGCTTGAACCCAAACTTCTGGGTTCAAGCAATTCTCCTGCCTCGGCCTCTCAGAGTGCTGCAATTACAGGGGTGAGTCACTGCACCCAGCCCCTCATCTTATATGATGATTCTTCTTCTTGAATTCTTAGCATCTTGTTACATTTGGCTCCTGCCTTTGGGCAAAGAAAAATTCTCTAGATGAACCTGATGGCCCTAGATCTCCCTTCTCCAGTACACAGCATTCAGCAAATAGCATAATTCAACTAATGTGAAGAATTTCAACTCTCGCTCCCCAGTGACAATGGGAGCCTACTATCAGAGAGAGCCCTGAGTGTCGGCATGATGAAAGCACTATCTAAGGGACTAGCAAGAAGAGAACTAGAGAGAACACTGACAAAGTCGAGCTTGGAATGTTAGCAGAACTCCGACCTCCGTCCCTTAAACTGGGAATCCAGAATAGTTCATTGCAATTCCGCTGGAGAATTCCCCATTGATGCTTCTTGCGACAGCAGGTTTTGCTCAGTGAGTAGCTAGAAAAGGCCCACTTTGTACATCATTATGTCAATCATGCTCAGGGTACTCATGCTCAAATAGATATTACGGAAAACTTCTTAGTTCCTAAACAGGTGCTGAATGTCTTAGTACAGCTGCTTATAGTTAAAACTAAGGGTGGTAGTGGCAGAAGAAGAGGATAAATGTTGATAACATGATAATTTTAAGAAGCTGAATAGAGGCCGGGCACCGTGGCTCATGTCTGTGATCCCAGCACTTTGGGAGGCTGAGGCGGGTGGATCACAAGGTCAGGAGATGGTGGCCATCCTGGCTAACACAGTGAAACCCCGTCTCTACTAAAGATACACAAAATTAGCCGGGCATGGTGGTGGCGCCTGTAGTCCCAGCTACTCGGGAGGCTGAGGCAGGAGAATGGCTTGAACCCGGGAGGTGGAGGTTGCAGTGAGCCGAGATCGCACCACTGCACTCCAGCCTGGCGACAGCGCAAGATTCCATCTCAAAATAAATAAATAAATAAATAAATAAGTTGGATAGAAATGAAAAGAATTAGTTTTATATAATTATAAAGGAATCACAAACCACTGGAAAGTGATTTATCCTCTCCTACCAGGTTTAGATGAAAAAGATCCACTTTTCCCTTTGAGTTTCACGTCATAAAAGAATTGACCAATCCAATCGATTTGAAAACTTATGTCCACACAAAAACCTGCACGTGAATGTTGATAACAGCTTTAGGAAATCACTAAAAACTGAAAGCGGTCAAGATATCCCTTAGTAATTAAATGGATAAACAAAGTGTGGTACATGCATACAATGGAGCATTATTGAGTGATAAAAATAAATGAGCTATTGTGTCATGGAAAAAGCATGGAGGAACATTAAATGCATATTGCAAGCGAAAGAAACCAGTCTAAAAAGGATACATACCATATAATTTGAATTATATGACATTCTATAAGAGCCAAAAGTATAGAAAGATTAAAAAAATCAGTGGCTGCCAGAGGCTCAGGAAGAAGGAGTAGAATGTATAGGTGAATGAGGGGATTTTCAGACCAGTGAAACTGTTTGTCTGATACTGTAATGGTAAATAAATGAAATTATGTATTTGTCACAACCCACAGAACTTATAGCACAAAGAATGAACCTTAATATATGCAGACTTTAAGAATGATTTAGGAGGTCAAGGGATCCCAGTAAGGAATGCAGACTATGATAAGAGAATGTAACTATATGACAAATTTATGAAACAATCTTACTGAAGGAGATGGGGAGAAAAGGTGCTGACCTCAGTAGCTCTGGACATAAATGGCATCTGTAAACCTAAAAGAAAAAGGAACTGCATATGAGCACTGTACTCTACTCGATTGTTTCCCAGGGAGGTCCAGGGTAATAATTCTGATACTGCTATGCATGTATATTGGGATTTGAACAACTAAGTAAGTGGAAGGCCAACTATGGAGCCAGGTTTCTCACCCTTGAAGTGGAAGTTTACAGATAAGCGAGGGGAGGAGGCTAGAATGGTCCATGTGGTAATGGATTATAAAGTTCATCACTATGAACTCATGTTGAGCTTAATATAGAGATTGTTATGTACAGACATGTGTATACACATAGGTTTGTATGCACACTTTTATTTCTTTGCTCTGTCAGCTGAAAAGGCCTAAAAGAAATGATACTCCAGTAGCAATGAGCATGCGTAGAGCCCAGGTATTGCCTTCTAAAGCCATTATCCAATAAAGGGATAATGTTTCCTTGGAGAAACAGCTGAATTAATGACTGGGAAGGGAAATATACAAGATGAGCTTGGAGCATCTCGTAGTGCCAGAAAGTAAGAAAGTACTCAAACAAATGAATAAACAAAGAACCTACACACACAATAATGGGGATATGTCAAAGGAGCACAGGAGCTAAATGAAAGAGCCTCTAGGCTGGGCACGGTGGCTCATGCCTGTAATCCCAGCACTCTGGGAGTCCAAGGCAGGTGGATCACCTGAGGTCAGGCGTTCAAGACCAGCCTGGCCAACATGGTGAAGCCCATGTCTACTAAAAATACAAAAATTAGCTGGGTATGGTGGCGGGCACCTGTAATCCCAGCTACTCGGGAGGCAAGGCTGGGGAATGGCTTGAACCCAGGAGGCAGAGTTTGTAGTGAACTGAGATTGCACCACTGCACTCCAGCCTGGGCGACAGAGCCAGATTCCATCTCAAAAAAAATAAGAAAAAAAAGAGCCTCCAGTGGCTAAATATGCAACAATATGAGCAAAAAAAAAAAAAAAAAAGCATTGGATTATAACCAAAAGTATAAAATAAATACTCATGAATCTATACTGATATAAATACATGACTGAATAAATTAATAAATGGCGGAGAAGAGGCAATTCCCTATGCAGGAGAATTGCAAAGAATTTATGTAGGTATTCTGCCCTCAAGGAGGGGGAGCATAACTCCTGACAAAGAGTGTGGGCTGCCCATAGTGACTTCCTTCTGAAGAGTACAGTATGGAAAAGGTGGAAAAGAAGCAACTTTAGAGTGGAAAACTTGGCACCTACCTCAGCCAGGTGATCAAAGGTAACATTAACAGTCACAAATCATGTGGATGAAAATGGCACTTTACCTCTGTGATCTTTGTCCCCAAGCCCCAAAACATGGGACCTGAGAAAAACATCAGAGAATAGAGAAGCATCCTGTCAAATACCATCGCAGTACTCCTCAAAACTGTCAAGGTTGTCAAAAGCAAGGAAAGTCTAAGAAACTGCCAAGGCCAGGAGATGCCTAAGGAAAGATGACAACTAAGTCTAATGTGGCCTTCTCATGAGATCCTAGAAGAGAAAATGAGTATCAGGTAAAAACGAAGGAAATAAGAATAAACTAGGAACTTCAGTTAATAATAATGTATCAATATTGGTTTAGGCATTGCAACAAATGAATGATTCTCATATAAGATGTTAACAATAAGGGAAACTAGCCAGGCACAGTGGCTCACGCCTGTAATCCCAGCTCTTTGGTGTGGTGGCTCACACCTGTAATCTCAGCAGTTTGGGAGGCTGAGACAGGCAGATCCCTTGAGCTCAGGAGGTCGAGACCAGCCTGTACAACATGGCAAAACCCCGTTTCTACAAACAATACAAGGCATGGTGGTGTGCACCTGTGGTCCTCAGCAGCCTGAGGCGGGAGGATTGCTTGAGCCCAGGAGTTGAGGCTGTAGTGAGCTGTGACCGTGCCACTCAACTCCAGCCTGGGTGATAGAGATAAACTAGATGCAGGGTATATGGGAATTCTCTGTACTATCTTCTGTTTTTCTTACAATCTAAAACTTTTAAAGAATACATTCTATTAAAAAATAAAATGTGTTAGATTTGAAAGTCTTGAGCCAGGCGCTCATGCCTATAATTCCAGCACTTTGGGAGGCTGAGGCGGGTGGATCACTTGAGGTCAGGAGTTTGAGACCAGCCTGGCCAACATGGTGAAACACCTTCTCTACTGAAAAATACAAAAATTAGTCAGGCATGGTGGCAGATGCCTGTAATCCCAGCTACGTGGGAGGCTGAGGCAAGAGAAATGCTTAAACCGGGAGGCGGAGGTTGCAGTGAGCCGAGGTTGTGCCATTGCCCTCCAGCCTGGGCAACAGAGCGACTCTGTCTCAAAAAAAAAAAAAAAGTCTTAAAAAGTAGGGGTGGAGGTGTTGAGGGGTAGAAAAAAACAATTGTTTCCATAGAATAATTGACAAATAAGGCTTTGGCTCCATTTATATGAGAAAGTCCAAATTTCCAATACATTTCTTCATATTCTTCCTTTAGTCTATTATGAGGGCATAAAGATGGAAGCAGGTTCTAGCTAATGTGGCTAATCTCCTCCAGTGCTGTTCCCCCCAAATAAGAAGGCTGGAGAGTACCAAGACTACGGTCCCTACAGACCTATAGCTGTCAATCAGCAGCTACATACTCTTCTAAGTTTCTACGTCAGACTGTAGCAGAGTCAGATGAGTTTCTGTGGCTACAACAGTCTGCCAAGAGTTGGCTTATCTACCGCAACGAGGGTGCTGAGGGCGTGTTCTTGTAAATCAGCACCCAGCGTCTCAGCAAGTTTCGTGACGATGTCAAGTTTCCATATTTTCAGCAGTTCTTTTCAAACAAATCCTTAAATGCTCTCACAAACATGCACAGGAAAATGAGCAGCGGTTTTATTTTCCGTAATGTGTATCTTTAACCGACAGGTGTAGTTATATTTATTAGGCTTTATAATTTCTTCTATAAAGAACTTGGAAGTGTGAGGCTATAAAATTTCAAAATCCTGTAAGAGTATATCCCCCCGCCGGTGCTTTATTTAAATGTACAGAATAAAAAATAAAAATAACCATGAGGGCAAAGAAATAAAACAGCAAAGGGGAATGAAATTGGGGTTTCCAATTAATGGACACACAGATAACAATTAGGGTAATTTTAGGAATTTTAAATCTCTTACATTATTTATTAAGGAAAAGGACATTTTAAGCATTACCCTCTTTTCACTAAGTTTATATCTTTTCACTCCCTGACATGAAGAAGTGTAAATCCATCATGTTCATTGCAAATATATGCTTTGGAAACATTTCATCTCATTTAAGGAGTGAACTTTGCTGAGCTAAAGAGTTTGTGTTAAAACTAACAAGAAATCAACCAAAATGTTTTCAAATGGGATAGCTGGCAATTTGTCTCATATTCCCTTTTCAAGCACAGTCAAAGCGTCCTGCAACCATGAGCATCATTCGTGAAATGCTCTGAACAGTGACTGGTATTTGCAGATGGCTATTTAGTGTCTCTTTCCCCATCTCCACCTGTACAGCCCTAGAGAATGTTATCAAGATTTTGGATTAAGCCTTCTCACTACTAACCAAAATCATCTACTCTCCCAAGGCAGAGCTGTGTAAAATACTCATACCCCCTGCTATCACAACTGGGAAAGACCAAGATCCACTTACGAAATGCCTTAGGAAATACACAGTACCTTTTGGGCATTTATAGTAGACATCTTTAAACTCATTTTTAAAACTAATTCATTATTCCTTTCTTCACTTAAATGTGCTAGGTACTTCACCTACATGTGCTAGATACTGTTTTAAATGCAGAGGGGAATAAAAGATAAAAAATATAGGCCCTCATGGGGATAAGAACACATATGGATGAACATATATAGCTCTATCTCAAACTTTTAAATATTGATTATTAGCTCATTGCATGGGTATACATAATGTTTTAAATCCGTCTCCCATTGATGAGTATACAGGATTTTTTCACTTTTTTTTCTCTTATTGCAACCATTGCTACAATAAATCTTGTGTTTATATATTGGTACACCTATGCAACTAAGTGTACAAGCTAAATTTCTACAAGTAGAACTCTTGCCCAAATGATTTGTGCATTTTGAGTGTTGATAGATATTCCCAAGTTGCCCTCTTAATGATGTTGCCTCAGTCTATACCTCCACCAAAATGATTTGAGAATCCCTTGCCACAGGCATTTTTAAAAGGTAGACGAATGGGCCACAGAGGACTAGAGCTGTACCAGGGCAGGAAGATAATCTAATCCAACCCCCTCAGCAAACGAAAATCCTATTTCTGGGGGAGGAATCACCCTGTTTACTTCAAGGTTGCTATGTGACAAATGTGTCCCCAGCTCAAATTTACAAGTTCCAGATGAAGGTGGCTTGTCTGTCAACACAAGCCATCTTTCACCAGGCTGATTGTGAACCTCCCGAGGGCAATACTCTACTTAGCACTCTGTGCTCAGGACGTGCCTGGGTAGGAGAAGGAACATTGTGAAGTCCCAGAAGAATAAGTACAATTTTCTTTCATTATTAGCAGATGCTTTTCATTTCTTAAACTGAGGTATTTCTTCTCCATCCGAACCTACTTCATTCTTTCAGGAAGATAACATTAGGGATGTTACACCTGGGATATTTTAAATCTTTGGCCAAGACCCTTATATTTGGATAAATTGATGAAGAAGAAATCTGCACAAGGCATGTTTATAATTATTACCAGTTGATAGCAAAAATACACAATATCAATATCTTATGTACTATTTCTGGAACACTTGACAAATGAAAATATCCCTTTAAGCTGATCAAACAAGTGGACTCACTTTGGTTTGATGCAGGGTCATCCCTTCGGTTCTTTGACTTAGACTTAAGTGGATGAGACAGAATTCCTTAATTTTTCTTAGGAGAGTAAATGTTTATTCACAAGTCAGGAAACCAAGCTCTTGCTTTTCCCGAGGGTCAGTACACTGACAGATGATGCTCTGTATCCAATTACCTTTCGAGACATGCTAGCTTTCCATGGGAGCTATTTGATGGCCAGTACTCTACAGACAGGTAGGACACTGGTGGGGTTACAGGAAACTAATTTCACTGTTTTTTTTTCTCCCTTTTCTATTGACCCTGCTGCCCTTGGCCTCACTTTCCTTCCATCCCTGCATACAACAGTATCATTAGATCCTCTCTCATATTGCAAGAGCCACTTCTCATCTTATTTCACTTGAATTTCCTCCTGCCTGCCTCCTCTTCCTTCACTTTTCACTCTCCAAGCCTTCCAGGCCCACCACCAGTGTCCTCACATCTAAAATCTGCCCTGGTCCTCTCTTGCCACTGGTCTCCTCTAGCTTCTCCAGCCTGCAGCCTTAACTCCTCCCTCTATAATTTACTTGGCCTCCAATCACCATTCACTCTCATAGTTTTCCACTAACAGAAGCACATTTGTAACTTCTCTTGACCTGGGCATGGCAGATAACTTACCATTCTGAACTTTCAAATGACTGTCTTTCTATTTCATAGACTGTAGGTATAATCCCACCTTTCCTGTGGGTACAAACTTCCCCTTGAAATGCTGCATTTCCACTAATGCGTTTTGACAGAGAGTGTCAAAGTGTCAAGGACCATCTGTTACATTTCAATTAACCCGAATGGAAATTTAAATGAAGGCAAAAAGTAATAAATCTAAAGTGTTGAGAATAAACCACATTTGGAAGGGGAAAATGCTATATTTAAACCATCTTTGATAGAAAAACACAATTTTTTGAAAACCAAAGAGCAAGATCGTCTCAATATTCAAGTTTCTCTGTTATATACGATTCAATCGTTTCTTATCAAAAGTTAAAAGCTTAGGATGGCACAGGTATTTCTGCTGGCATAGGTGTTTCTTGGGAAGTATAAATTGTACCCACAACAATCAAATCACAATCAGAGAGTTACTTAAAAGTTGACATTCACAAATGGGTAGCCACTATGGAAAACAATATGAAGCTTTCTCAAAAAATTAAAAAGAGAACTATTACATGATCTAGCAATCCCAGTTCTGGGTATTTACCCAAAAGAACTGAAATCAAGATCTCAAAGAGATAATTGTACTCCAGTGCTCACCACAGCATTACTGATAATAACAAGAAAGTGGAAACAACCTAAATGTCCATTGGTGAATGAATGGACAAAGAAAAATGTGGTAACTACATAAAATGGAATATTATTCAGCCTTAAAGAAGAAAATCCAGTCATAGGTAACAACATGGATAAACCTGGAGGACATTATCCTAAGCGAAAGAAGCCAGTCTCAGAAGGACAAATACTACATGATCTCACTTCTACGTAGAATCAAATTAGTCAAACACATAGAAGCAGAGAGTAGAACAGTGGCTGCCAAGGGCTAAAGGGAAGGGGCAATGGGGAGTTGCTGTTCAATGGATATAAAGATTTAGTTACACAAAATGAGTAAGTTCTAGAGATCTGCTACACAACACCATGCCTAAGGTTAACAATACTGTATTTTATGCTTAAAAATTTAAGAGGGCAGGTTGAGCGTGGTGGCTCACATCTGTAATCCTAGCACTTTGGGAGGCCAAGGTGGGCAGATCATTTGAGGTCAGGAGTTCCAGACCAGCCTGACCAACATGGTGAAACTCTGTCTCTACTAAAAATAAAAACAAAATTAAAAAAAATTAGCTGGGCATGGTGGCGCACACCTGTAATCCCAGCTACTCGGGAGGCTGAGACATGAGAATCGCTTGAACCTGGGAGGCAGAGATTGCAGTGAGCTGAGATTGTGCCACTGCACTCCAGCCTGGGTTACAGAGTGAGACTCTGTCTCAAAAATAAAGAAAAAATAATTTAAGAGGGCAGATTTCATGTTAAATGCTCTTACCACAATTTTTTTTAAAGTTGACATTCACCAGACTTTTTTGGCTACTGGTGATATTCAACCAAACAAACGTCAAAGTTGGCTACACTTCTGATAAATATGTGTGATCTGAATCGATGGTGTGCAGTTATGACTGAATGAACACACACATAAACACACGGCCTGGTCCCGGGAGCCAATGTATGGTTGGAGGAAAGGGAACAGGAAAGTGTTGAATCGCCTGGGAGCAGGCAAGCCAATGGCAGCCACTCTCCCAGTTCTCAGTCCCAGCAGAGGCCAAGCACAGGCAAGGGAGTCAGGGATATTGGAGGAGGGTCCCCTCCACCTCAGCCTGGCCATCTGGCCCCTGGTTTGATGAACAACTTCAGCAAAAGCAGCTCCCATGACCTCTCAGCTTCCTATCTTTTTTCTACAACTTTCCCTCCCCAGCCTTTTCCTTCCTATTCCAGTCCTCAACTGCTTCTTCTATCCTACCTCAGAAAAACAAGTAACTATAAAAACTATAAAACAAGTAACTATAAAATAGCTACCCACTGATGTTTTAAAACACTATTTCCAAATTCACATGCCCTACTCCCATCTCAAGATCCATTTACATAAATATACATATGTTTATTGGATTGAATTATATATATATATTTATGTAGATTGATAGATGTCAGATCTGCACTGATATTCTAATAAAACAGAAACAAGTTAGAATAACAAAAACAAATATATAAATGTTCTATAAAAATATAGGGCCAGTTGGTCGGGTGCGGTGGCTCACGCCTGTAATCCCAGCACTTTGGGAGGCCGAGGTGGGTGGATTACCTGAGGTCAGGAGTTTGAGACCAGCCTGGCCAACACGGTGAGACCCCGTCTCTACTAAAAATACAATAAATTAGCCGGGCATGGTGGCACATGCCTGTAGTCCCAGCTACTCGGGAGGCTGAGGCAGGGGAATTGCTTGAGCCCAGGAGGCAGAGGTTGCAGTGAGCCGAGATTGCACCACTGCACTCCAGCCTGGCTGACAGAGCAAGACTCTGTCTCAAAAAAAAAAAAAAAAAAAAAATAGGGGCCACTGACTAAATACTACTGACATTATTATTTGTATAAAATGAAGTAAGAAGAACAGTTTCTTCTATAATAATCTTTACAAAGTAAAACACCTTAAAAAGCTATTAGCAAATAACCATCACTTGCAAAGTATGTATTTAGTATCCTGAATTAAATAGTAAGGTACAGTCTCCACTTCTTTTTTTGTTTTGTTTGTTTGTTGTTTTTTGCTATTTAATATTTTGCTTCTTTGCTCACTCATTGCTGCTTAATAAAGATCCATATCCTCTACATCTCATCAATTCACCCTTCCATTTGACAGATTCTGCTGATGTACCAAAAGGAGAAAATTATTGTTATGGGCAATTCAGATTTTTGCTTAAAGATGTGTTTTTTGGGAGCAAAGTATTTCTGAAATCAGTCTTCCAGCAGTGAAATACTGACATAACCAAGTTAACAGTTGACTCTAAAATTGCCATGATATTATTTCAAAGGCAGACTACATGCTTTTGGTAGCCTTATCCCTAAACTGGATTAAGCATAAACATGGTCAGAATAACATGTAGAAGAAAGCTACTGGAGTGGCAGCGATGTGCTGGTTTTCAACGTGGATGCTAATTAGCTCGTTGTTTTCAGTTGGTGAAAATTCATCAAATTGTCATCTTATGATGTTTAGTTGTTTGCATTTTATATCATACTCAATAAAGAGTTTTTCTTCTAAAAAATGCTATCTTCATATAAAGATAGCAGAGAAGTGGCAATCACTGTGGATATGTTTTACTAACAGTTTATCTGGTTAAAATTCTGTAATGGTTGCTGCTTGAAACCAAAAAAGGGTCAGTTCAGGGACCCAATCTTATAACCTCAAAGTGCATTTTTATATGCCTGTGCATAGTGAACAATAAAATCCTTTTAGCAATAATTAAACAGATAGGTTTAGCTCTCAAGTAGCTTGAGGCTATAGCTGTGGCTTGACCTCACAGAAAAAACTGCTCTGTAACCACAGCAATCCCCAAGAGACACTGCCTTGAGTAACCAGGTGTGCCCGTTCATCTATCAGGCAGTTCAAGTTCAGGATACCAGAGCCAGTTGCCACAATCTAGTTACCAAGCCACACACCCACTGTCTCTCTCTGTCTAAATCCTTTCTCTTCCCCTCCTCCTCCAGGACGTCTCTAATGAGTTCTAGACTTCAACTCACCCCATCCCCACTTTTCTGCCCTCAAACACACACATATACTCTCTATCTAAAACAAACATTAAAAGCTTACCTCCTTTCAATGGCTTCTCCCCTTGTCTTTGTCAAATGCTTCCCTCTGCACCAGCCAATCCCTCTTCCCCCTTCTCAATACCCTCAGATTTCTGTTTGGGCATCTATACAGTCCCAAGGAAGGTGACTTTCCTCTTGTTACCTCCAGGGATGGATGGGGCATATGGCCTAAGCTACGGTCTTCAGTTTTGTTTTCCCTGCTCATGTACACCTAAAAGTATAAGTTACAGGGCAGAGCTGAGAGGCCAAAAGGATCTGAGCTCTTGATAGTATCACTGAGCTTCCAGATCAAGCCTTGCCTTATGCTAGTCTTCTCTCTGATCCTTCCAGATACATTAGCTGACACATTTAATGTTTTAGCTTCTTTGAGTTGGAATTCCTGGTGCTTTTAACAAAAACATAGCAATTGAAACATTTTAATACGTTTATTTTCTTTTATTTTTTTAGACTGAGTTTCACTCTTGTTGCCCAGGCTGGAGTGCAATGGTACGATCTCTGCTCACTGAAATCTCTGCCTCCTGGGTTCAAGCGATTCTCCTGCCTCAGCCTCCCGAGTAGCTGGGATTACAGGCATGTGCCACCACACCCAGCTAATTTTGTATTTTTAGTAGAGACGGGGTTTCTCCATGTTGGTCAGGCTGGTCTTGAACTCCTGACCTCAGGTGATCCGCCCACCTCGGCCTCCCAAAGTCCTGGGATTACAGGAGTGAGCCACCGCGCCCCACCATAAATTTCTCATACAAATAGTCCATGCCACTGGCTCCATTCCCTTATCACTTCCTCTTGACCTATCTAAAATCAGCTTAGCTAAGGGGTAAAGATACGAACCAATTGCCTCTCTATGGGCCCATAGCCTTTTATTTTTTTTCTTTTCTTTTTTTTTTTTTTCTGAGATGGAGTTTCACTCTGTCACCCAGGCTGGAGTGTAGTGGTGCAATTTCAGCTCACTGCAACCTCCGCCTCCCAGGTTCAAGTGATTCTCCTGCCTCAGCCTCCTGAGTAGCTGGGATTACAGGCGCACACCACCACACCAAGCTGATTTTTGTATTTTTAGTAGAGATGGGGTTCCATCATGTTGGTCAGGCTGGTCTCCTGACCTCATGTGATCCGCCTGCCTTGGCCTCCCAAAGTGTTGGGATTACTGGCGTGAGCCACTGAGCCCGGCCGTTTTTGTTTTTTTTTTTGTTTTTTTTTTGAGACAGGGTCCCACTCTGTTGCCCAGGCTGGAGTGCCATAGTCTTTTTTACAGTGGCATTTATATCACTTTGTCATGTGTTGTCTAGGTCCACCATCCCTTATCTACAATTCTGAAATCCAAAATGCTTTGAAAAGACAAAATCTTTTTTTTTTAAGAAAATAAGTTTTCCCTTTCACAACAAAACTTGACTGAAAGTGGTGTAGAGATATTTATCTCTCTTTATCCCACTTAGTGTGAGTATTTATGTGCAGAGATTCTTTCACTGCAGAAATATGAAGTTGTTTGATTCTGAGGTCCTCTCCCAGATCCTGCTGGGGATACTAGGGAGTATAGATCCACAACTCCAAATCCACAACCTTTGGGGCCAGGTGCATTTGGAACTCAGTATTTTAATAACTTTTGGAAAGTTTTACAGTGCACATCACATATATTACCCTGTTGGGAGTATGACATAATATTCAGTAGTTCTTTAGGGAGAAACTGCCTGCAAAGCAGGAAGAACATTCAAAACTTCTGGCAGAACAGTGGGAATCCACTGATAACATTACAGAAACAGATATCTGGTAGTCAAAGAAAATTCCTTCATTGATACAGCATTAGTCTACACTGTCTCTGAAAAAGAAATTGATATCTATGTGATACTGTAATGGTGGATGTATGACATTAGTCAAAATCCATAGAATGACCAACACAGAGTGAACTCTAATGTAAGCTATGGACTGTTAAATGTAGACATATCGTATTGGGTAGTATATTGGATCAGATAACTTCAAAGATACCATCTAGCCTGTCCATGATTCCTCTCTGTAAGCCCCCCACTCCTTTAGAATATCTCAGAGTTGGCTAGGCACGGTGGCTCAAGCCTGTAATCCCAGCACTTTGGGAGGCCTAGGTGGATGGATCACAAGGTCAGGAGATCGAGACCATCCTGGCAAACACAGTGAAACCCCGTCTCTACTAAAAATACAAAAAATTAGCTGGGCGTGGTGGCAGGCGCCTGTAGTCCCAGCTACTCAGGAGGCTGAGGCAGGAGAATGGCGTGAACCTGGGAGGCAGAGCTTGCAGTGAGCCAAGATCACGCCACTACATTCCAGCCTGGACGACACAGTGAGACTCCGTCTCAAAAAAAAAAAAGAAAAAAAAAGAATATCTCAGAGTCATCTCATATCTGTAAGCCCTGCCCACACATTCAATCGAAACTCACACATGCCTCTAATCGCCAGCGTGAACTCTTCTCCCACAGTCTACACTATACTTCCAGATTTGCTTCTCTAACCTACGGCGTTCTTCTCCCTCCTTTTTCCTCAAGACCTTCAGTGACTTCTATTGCTTACTAAGCCAAGGCCAGAGAGTTCCCCTGGGCATTTAAGGTCTTACTGAATTCAACAGGTATTCCTTTACCCATGCAAACTTTTAGATCACTCTTCCTCCACAAGGACCCTCTATTAAGAGAAAATACCTAAGAGAATATTTGTCAAAGGGGCCCTGACCCCTTTTCCTCTCACACCTCTCCACCATTTACCATTGACTGATTTGAAATGTGTCCCTTTAGGTTCTTTTTGTCATTAGCACAGTCACTCAATTCTTATGCATTAATCTTCTCTTAGCTCCTCCGAATTGCTCTACCCTTTCAAAAACTTTTTGGTTCTAATCTAACATTTCTCTCATGATCATCGTACTTAATCTAATTAGTGCTCTCTGAGCTTTTAAACATCATTTTCCAAAGGGGAATCCTTGGTGAATTATACTCCCTCTGAGTATCTGATCTGTATAAGAAACTCTAAATTTGCGTTCCACACATTTAACAGTGCATATTATCAGATTCATCAGTAGGAAAAATTAATTGTCTCATTGTTTTTAATAGAAGATCAGGAAGAGAAGGGATCATTTTCTTGACGTATAAAAGCACCATTCAATCGTGAACAATTTAGCTAAAAGAAAAGAATTAACTTGTATTTGAAATATGTCATTTTCTGTCATTCCTGGAACATAGAGAGGGGACTAGTTCTCTGAGATCAAAACTCAGAATGCCATTTTTCTTGATGTTGGTCTATTTTATCTTTCATCTTTGTTACCTACATGTTTTGTTTGCTTTTTGTCAAAGCACATGCCAATAGACTAATATGAAGCTTCAGGCTACTGCAGTGTCTCATCTAAGCATAAACCTAAGATTTCAAAGAGGAATCAACATCCCTCTAGTCTTTAGTTTTTTTTGTTTGTTTTTGTTTTTTTTGTTTGTTTGTTTGCTTGAGACAAGGTCTTGCTCTATCAACCAGTCTGGAGTGCAGTGGTGTAATCATGGCTCAATGCAGCCTTGAACTGCTAGGCTCAAGCAGTACTCCTGCCTCAGCCTCCCGAGTAGCTAGGACTTCAGACATGAGCCATCATGTCTGACTCTTTTTTTTTTTTTTTTTTTTTTGTAGAAATAGGGTCTTGCTTTGTTGCCCAGGTTGGTCTCAAATTCTTGGCCTCCAGTGATCCTCCTGCCCTGGCTTGCCAAAGCGCTAGGATTACAGGTGTTAGCCACCATGCCCAGTCCCCAGTCTGTGATTCTATTTATTTTGATTGCCAAAAATAAGCCAGAGGAAAATTACTGTGAAATTTCTTTTAAAGGTCAATCCATTTCTTGAATGACTTGCTACAGAAGAAGACTTCAGGATTATTCACATCCAATAGCCTCAAGAGAAAAAGAACTTTTCTATAAAATAGCCTGGTCCTTCAGCAATTATCACCGAAACTTTTCCAAGCAAATAAAACCAATGTATTAAGAATTTTGACAATATTGAAGGAAGATCTGACAATGATATACATTGACACAATTAGACGTAAAGTAATGACTTCTTAGATGGGATGGTTAATTTTATGGGTCAACTTGGCCAGGCCCCAGTACCCAGTTTTGGGTCAAGCACCAGTCTAGACATTGTTGTGAAGGGATTTTTATTTTTATTTTTTGAGACAGGGTCTTGCTCTGTTACCCAGTCTGGAGTGCACTGGTGCAATCATAGCTCACTGCAACCTCAACTTCTTAGGCTCAAGTGATCCTCCTGCCTCAGCCTCCCAAGTAACTGGGACCACAGGCATGTGCACCATGCCTGGGGCTAAAATTTTTTATTTTGTAAAGACGGGGTCTCACTATGTTGCCCAGGCTGGTCTCTAACTCCTAGGCTCAAGCTATCCTCCCACCTTTGCCTCCCAAAGCGCTGGAATTATAGGCAGCAGCCCCCATGCCGGGCCAAAGAGATTTTTTAAGGATGCGATTAATATTTAAATCAGTAGACTTCAAGTAAAGCAGATTACTCTCTATTATGTGGGAGGGCCTCATTCAATCAGTTGAAGGTCTCAAAAGACTGAAGTCACCAAAGGACTTAAGACTACAACATCAACTGTTTCCTGGCTCTTCAGCCTGCTAACCCTGCTCTGCTGATTTCAAATTGCCAGCCTCACAACAGTGTGAGCCAATTCCTTCAAATAAATCTCTCGCTTTCCCTCTGTGTGTGTGTGTGCACACGTGCGTTTGACTCCTTGGAGAATCGTGACTAATAAAGCAGATATGCATATTTACAGTTGAGGCATACAAGTGAGAACATGGCAATGTGATACAGAACAAACAAATAGTAGTGCTTACAAATAGGAAAATTTCTTGAACTCATCCCCTTCTCCTCCAGCGAAGGTCCAAACTTTGTTACTATGACAGTACATTAGTTCATAAAATAATAAGTATATGAAATTTTTATAAAAACTGGAATGATCTCTTCAAATCAGCAAATCTGCTGCATCTGAATTTCCAGGTTCATATTGCTTGCTCAGATACTGCCCCAAGTCACCTTTGAGCTAGCACTAGACTGTCATTGAGTCAAATTTTGCAGCTTCTGGAATGTAGGAATTTACTTGGTGAGACACAAGTCTGGGTTTTCAAGTTGTGGATTAATGGACCAAAGGAAAATCAAGAAATGAAAGAACACCAAACTTGTAAATTCAATAACTAGAGGTGAGAGGAATGGAGAAAAAATCTGTTGTCAATAATTGGCAGTTTGTCAAAAAAATACACATTTGGAAGTGAAGGTGATTATCTCAGTTTTTAACATGAGATAGATGATCTGGAAAAGTCTACACAAAATTGGGAGTACAGGAAGAAACAGCAAGTATAGTAGGCACAAGCTTTTAATCTGCTCAGGATTTCTTTAGGCAACTACCCTTCCCCCATTCCCAGTCCCCATCAATCTGAGACTGACTCAATCTCCAGGATTCAGGAGTCTGTCATCCTTTTGGCCACAGGTGGTTGGCATAGGAATTAGGTTGCCAAGTTCAGCAAATAAAAATACAGGATGTTCAGTTACATTTTAATTTCAGATAAATACAATTTTTTTAGTATAAGCACGTCTCAAATATTGCATAAGACATACTTATAGTAAAAAAAATTTGTTTTTCTGAAATTCACATATAACTGGGAGTTCTCTATTTTATCTGGGAATCCTATTTAGTGATGAAAATGTGACATTAACCAGGCCAATCAGAGCCCTTCCAGAATTGGTACCGGAACTCCTGGGAAAAGTCTTTCTCTTTTCCTTAGACTATCAGGACAGTGAAAACCTAGAGCTGCCACGAACTGGATTTCCCACCACAGAGAGGGAGCTTGTTGCAGGTATGAAGCCAATACAGAGAAAAGCACAGTCAAGAAATGGAGAAAAAGAGCAATTCCTGGAGGTGTCATTTTAATCCCAAGATTGAAGCCAGAATACTTTTGTTTGTTTGCATTACATTGATTTGAATTTCCATCACAACCAAGATGTCCTAACTGCAGGGTAAGAAGCCAGGGTTAGAAAAGATTTTAAAACTCATCGATGTTGATGGAAGCTGCCAGGCATAGCAAGTTCTTGAACTGAAAGAGTCCTTGGGCTTCTAGATCTGGGAGTGGTTGCCTTTGGGGATGGCTATTGTAGGTCTATACCAGGAAAAAATAGAAATGCTTTCTGTCTCTGGTGGGCTTCTCAAGAACTTCATGGTCTTTTCACCTCTGAGTGTATGTTTCTCTTTCCTGATTTTATAGCCCTGCTCTGTCTTGACCTTCAGCTTTTGGGGATTCACTGGCTTCCAGTTTTTGTCCTGGCTATACACAAACTCTTCTCAGCTTGCTTTGGAACCCTCTTCCCACCTTTTAAAAATTTTTTTGGTTCTCCTTATCCTGGATTATTGCCATTTTTATGAATGCACTGTAGGGGTGAAAGGAATTTTCCTTCTCTGAACCCCCCGCCTTAAAGGTTTGGTAATTTAAATTTACAAAACAAAATTATAATAGATAAACGGGAGAAAAGGCATACAAATTTACTATAAGCACATGTATATAGAAGCCACTCAAAATATGAGACTCAAGGGAGGGTCAGATGACTGAAGTTTTTTTTTTTTTTTTGAGACGGAGTCTGGCTCTGTTGCCCAGGCTGGAGTGCAGTGGCGCTGTCTCGGCTCACTGCAAGCTCCGCCTCGCCGGTTCACGCCATTCTCCTGCCTCAGCCTCCCGAGTAGCTGGGACTACTGGCACCGCCACCACGCCGGCTAATTTTTTTGTATTTTTAGTAGAAAAGGGGTTTCACCGTGTTAGCCAGGATGGTCTCAATCTCCTGACCTCGTGATCCGCCCGCCTCGGCCTCCCAAAGTGCTGGGATTACAGGCGTGAGCCACCGCGCCCAGCCGACTGAATGTTTTATACTGTACAGAAAGGGACAGGGGCTTGGAGCTCCCAGAAGGAGGTGACAGTAGGTCATGGGATGGTGAGGGAGGAAATACACTGTAAACAAAAGTAGTTGTCTTATGCAAATGAAGCCACTCGGCTGACAGTCCTCAGAAAGAATAGATGGTAGGCTATGTACAAGTTTCTCTGTCAGACCTTTAAAATGTCAGAGTTCGTCTCCTTTTCCTCTGAGTTAATCTCTCCTAGATCCGGATAAGGAGAACTCAGAGAAAGCCTCTGCATCCGCTGTTTACTTCACTAATGTAGATTTCCTCTACAGATGCAAATCTCCCCCACAAAAGGATAGCTTTTCAGAGCTATTCCTGTGTCTGCAGCCCCTCTGAATAGCCATCTTGAAATATGCCAAAAGAAGCGTACTTTGGGGTGTCAGATTTTAATCTCCCACACCAGAGTTCCCTATAATCTAATTCAGGGGCATATTAAAGGACTAGTTAGTTCCTTATTAGAAATTAATCAGGACTAAGCAGCTAGCCCTAATTCAAGGACAGATTAAGATTCTAGAGGCTAAGCATTGAAAAAAAATAGAAGTCCCTTCTATATAATTTAAATAAAAGGAAAAACAGAGGGCACCCAATATAAGTGTGCTTCTTTTAAGGGGAAGGATTCACACAGACCCCTTTGAATCCTAGCTCTGCCTCTTTAAACTGGGCAGCATTGAACAAGTTATTGAACCTCTCTAGGCTTTAGTAGCATAGTGAAAAAAATCAAGAAAATGATGCCCGGCAGAGTGAAAATCAGGGGAAAGCCTGGGTCTGAAGGACCTGCTATCTGGTAGTTATTCAGTAAATGTCAGTTTGACTTGAGTCTCACAGTTTGCTTCAACCTTATTGGCTTTTCTTCATTTAAGTGATTGCTCCTTGCAAAACATGTATCTGACAAAGAACTTAGTGTGTGTATATATATATATATATATATATATATATATATATATATATATATGTGTGTGTATATATATATGTATACACATATACATATATATGCCATTTTAAAAAATAGACAAAGATTTTAAAAGAGAACTTCCTAATAGAAGATAAACAAATGGCCAAGAGTGCCTTAAAAGATGTTCAACATAATGAGTCTACAGGGAAATGCACATTAAAACCACAATGAGATACTTCTTTAAGCCTAGCAGATAAAGCTAAAGCTGAAATTAGTAAGACTAACAGTTCTTAGTGTTGGTGAGGATGTGGAGAAACTGGAGTTCTCACACCTTGGAGGTGCAACTATAAAATGATAAAATCAGTTTTAAAAGGTGTTTGACAACTTATTATAAAGGTAAATATATACATACCCTATGACCCAGCAATTCCACTCTATTTATCCAAAAGAAATAAAAATATAAGTCCATGCAAAGACTCTTACATATATGTTCATAGACTCTTTCTATAATAGTAACAAATTAGAAACAACCCAAATGTCTGTCAACAGGAGAATGAATAAACAAACTGTGTTCTTTTTTGTTTTTTTGGGAAGGAGTCTCGCTCTGTCACTCAGGGTGGAGCACAGTGGCGCGATCTCAGCTCACCACAACCTCCACCTCCCGGGTTCAAGCCATTCTCCTGCCTCAGCCTCCCGAGTAGCTGGGATGACAGGTACATGCCACCGTGCCTGGCTAATTTTTTGTATTTTTAGTAGAGACGGGGTTTCACCATGTTGGCCAGGCTGGTCTTGAACGCCTGACCTCAGGTGATCCACCTGCCTTGGCCTCCCAAAGTGCTGGGATTACAGGCGTGGGCCACCGTGCCCGGCCCAATCTTGTTATATTTTTAAAATAGAATGCTACTCCATGATTTTTAAGAAGATCAAAGTACTGATATATGCCACGACATGGATAAGTCTCAAAAACATTATGCTGAATTACCAGAGGCTGGGAAGGGAAGTAGGGATAAAGAGAAGTTGGTTTAAGAGAATAAAAATATAGTTAAAAGGAATAAGTTCCACTATTCAATAATACAGTAGGGAAATTATAATTAACAATTTATTGTATATTTCAAAGTAGCTAGAGAGAAGAACTGTAATGTTCCTAACATATAGAAATGATCAATGTTTGAGGTGATGGATATCCATCCCAATTACCCTATTTGATCGTTATACATTGTAATACATACAACTATGATAAATTAATTAAAAAGTGTTTTTCCTTCACCTTACTCCAATACCATTTGATTCATTTACTCACTACATATTTACTGAGCACCTACTATGTGCCAAATACTAACTAGATAAAGATTCTTACCATGAGCAATCTTACATTCTAGGGAAAGGAGGAGAAACATATGATACATAATAAACATAATAAATAAGTAAATATATAAAATGTAAAAAGACATTAAGTGCTATGAAAAATGAAAATGCAGAACAGGGGAACGAGATGAGTAACATGGAGGGGAAGGAGCAAGTGACAATTTTCAAATATGGAGGTCTAGGTTGGCCTGTTCATAGCTCCCCATTTCAGTACGCTGTCCTTACATGTAATATACATAGGAACACACTTATAGATACAGACTACTTGTGGTTTTTTAAACAAAAATGATAATACTCTTTCAATTGTTTTGATAACTTGCTTTTTTCTCCCTTAACAATGTATCCTGGACATAAGAAAAAAAAAAAGGGAGTCAGACACAAAAGAGAAGAAAGTGAATGATTCCATTTATATAAATCCCAGAACAAATAAAGCTAATTTGCGGTGAAAAAATTCAGAGAGTGGTCACTTCTGTGAATAGAGATTAAGTGGGACAGGGCACAAGAAAACTATGAGATAGCAAAATGTTTTAAATCTTAATCTGGATGATGATTACATAGGTGTATACATAAGTGGAATTTCATTGATCTTATTACTCACTGATTTTATTATAACTCAATAAAACAATTTTTAAAAATGATTGTGACATAGAATCCAAACTTTACTTGTATTATATAGTTAAAAATTAAAATACCATATTTCATCAATATCAAGACAAAATTTTTTCCACATTTTAACATTTCTAAAGTCAGGATGTGCCTTAGAATCAATGGCATTTCAGAGTTTAATTGGCACATTTTTTCTTTTTTAAAAGTATGTCAAATAATGTAAAATAAAATGATTTTCATTAAAAATTGGCAGCTTCTTTCTAAACATTTTTTTATTTTGAAAAATTCTTGTTAAATTCACCAGAACTCAATGTTTCTTGTAGAGTCATTGCTTTGGTAATGCTCTAAACTTATACTTAAGCTACTCGGTAGTCTAGGATTATCCTGATTTTAGAATTTATGTCCTGTTAAATGCATTCTCTCTCGGAGTCTCACTCTGTCACCCAGGCTGGAGTGCAGTGGCACGATCTTGGCTCACTGCAACCTCCGCCACGCCGGTTCAAGTGATTCTTCTGCCTCAGCCTCCCAAGTAGCGGGATTACAGGCATGTGCCACCACGCCCAGATAATTTTTGCATTTTTAGTAGAGAGAGGGTTTCACCATATCGGCCAGGCTGGCTGGTGGCCAGGCTCCTGATCTCAAGTGATCCACCTGCCTTGGCCTCTCAAAGTGCTGGGATTACAGGAGTGAGCCACCATACCCGGCCTGAAATGCATTCTTTAATAACTACATCTTTGAGTCATTGAAGTCAAATTAAAACGGCTCTCTGGCTGCAGCCCCACATTGTTCCAGCCCCTACAGCTGGAGCCTTAGCCTCCACTCATAGGCCCAGCCAGGTCCCAGCCTTAGGCATCACCAAGCCAGAGGCAGGAGAACACAAGTGCTGCTATGGTATGGCCATTCAGTAGTTATTCCACCAGTCCCACTCTCTTCCCTAAGGACTGGTTTCACAGAATGGAGAAATGTGTCAAGTGAAGTTTCTCTTTTCCCCAAGTTAGTGTGAACGATACTCTATGTTGGCTCACTCCGCATCTATTCCCAACCTCATCATCCCATGTCATCCTCAATTATGGAGGTTGGAAAGCCAAATGCTAGCTTTTCCAACTTCTCTTGGTACTTGTGGTATCCACGTGATACAATTCTGACCAGTGAGATACAGCTGGAAGTCGGGTTGTAAGGGTAAGGGGCAAAAGGATCTGGGAAACCTTTTGCTTTTTGCTATCCTGCCTCCCAGTGTTTGGCCTTAAACTTAGATGTGACGGCTGAAGACAGAGAAGCTCTCTCACAACTGTTAGCAAGGATAAAGAGCCACATGCCGAAAAGGGCAGAGTGGGAAAATACAAATAGCCTTGAAAATATAGCCAGGGATTTTACGAGTGCTAATGATATTGTGCCTACTTTTCTAGGAGTCTTTATCTTTTCGTGATCCATACTGAAATATTTATAGATTAAATGTAATGTTTACAACTTGCTTCAAAATAGCCCAGGGGTGCTACTGGGAAAGTAGATGGAGGTATAGATGAAATAAAATCAATAATTGTTGAAACTGGATATAGATACATAGGGGTTAGCTATATTGTTTTCTCTACTTTTGTGCATGTTTCAAATTCTCCATAATAAAAAGACTAAAAGATCAGTGATCAAGTTTAACATTACCAGCTGACTATCACAAGGTTAACATCACTAGTGATAAGTCCTTCTGATATCAGGACACCTGGCAATGAGTAGGGCACTCCACCCCAGTGGTATTCCCTGCCAACCCACAACTCCAGTCTAATTATGAGAAATCACCAGATGAGCTCAAACTGAGGGACATTCTACAAAATACCTGAGCAGTAGTCCTCAAAGTGTCAAGACCATGAAAATCAAGTGAAGATCAAGAAACTGTCACAGCCAAGGGATGCCTATGGAGACATTAGAACGAATGATACCCTGGATTAGATTCTGAAACAGGACAAGGATAAGAGAGGAACAACGGATGAAATCCCAATGAAGTCTGTACTTTAGTTAATAGTAATGTACCAATATTAATTTCCAGTTTTGACACATGTACCAAAGTTATGTAAGATGTTAACATGAGCAAAAAACTGGGTGAAGGGTATGTGAGAGGCCTGTACTGTCTTTGCAACTTTCCTATGGATCTAAAGTTATTCCAAAACAAAAAGTTTGCTTGGAAAAAAAGTCTGAAAGAAAAGAAAAACTTGGGTTCCTAGTGGCATTACTGAACCACTGAGCTGACATCAGCAATGGTCTACCCCAAGATTTCTTGTTATGTGAAAAAAATAAAACACATTTTTAAAAGCAAATGTCACTAAACTAGTCTGTTACTTGCAGCTGAATGAGTATCTACTGATAAAATGTGTTTATCTTTATCTTATTTTTTTTCTGATGCAATTAGCTCTTAAAACCCACAGCTGAGAACAATGGCACCAAGTACCTAACAGCAAATGGTACCCTTTTCCTACCCTCGGGCTGTCCAGAGGTGTCATTTCAGCAGAACTCTCATAACTGACCACCACTCCACTCCAATCCCCTAGTTTTTATAAGGGAAAGGCAGGAAGTGAGGAGGAAAGCACGGTCTCTTCCGGAACCTGCCTAAAAGCAAACAGTTTGTAAGCCCCTTTAGTAACGAGTTCTATACAAAATCAACACCCCAAAACAACAGTTTTCTTTTCAACCTCAATTCATCTTCAGTTATTTCTTTTCAACTTCAATCCATCTACTACAATGAATTAGTAAATATAATAGAAAACAAATCTCGTTCAAATAGCAAAAAAAGGTACAAAATACCTAGGAATAAACCAGGAAAAAAGTGCAAGAAATATAGGAATAAAACCATAAAACTTTATAGGACACAAAGACTTGAATATATAAAAAAAGTATTATCATGTTTCTAGACATAAAGATGCTACATTGTAAAAATGTCAGTTCTTCCTAAATTAATCTATAACTTAAATCTCTTGCCAATCAAAGTTTCAATGTAAAACCTAAATCTCATAAACGATACAAAAATTAACTCCAAATGGATGATGTATCTTAATGTGAAACAAAGCAATAACAATTTTACAAGAAAACAGGAGTGAAAATCTTCATGATCAAAGAGTTCTTGGACATGACACCAAAAGTGCAATCCAACAAAGAAAAAATTGATAAACTGGACCTTATCAAAGTTGAAAACTTTGTTCTGGGAAAAACACTACTAAGGGTATGGAAAGACAAGCTAGCACTGTGAACGTATATTTGCAAATTGCATATCCAACAAACAGGACCAGCTATGTAATTTATGGGGCTAAGTACAAAATGAAAATGTGGGACCTCCTTTTTGAAAAATTATTAAGAATTTCAAGACTGCAACTGTAGAACATTGAACAAAGCTCTGGGTCCCTTTGAGTGTGGAACCCTGTGCAGCTGCACAGGTCACACTCCCATGAAGATGTCCCTGCTCACAAAGGATTTGTATCCAGAATATATAAAGGACTCTCAAAGTTCAAAAGTAAAAAGACAAATAGCCCCTTTTAATAATGCGCAAAGGATTTGAACAGACACTTTACCAAATGAAAACATGTTTAACATTATTAGCCATTAGAGAAATGCATATTAAAACCAACGTGAGACACGACTATACACTGCTCAGAATGATTAAATTAAAAATATACTGACCATATTGAGTGCTGTTAGGGATATCGAGGAGCTGGCACTCTTATACACCTCTGGGGGAATGCAAAATGGTATAGCTACTCTAAAAATGTTTTGCAGTTTCTTATGAAGTTATACCTATGCTTATCATTTAACCCAGCAACCCCACTCCTTGGAATTTACTCAAGAAAAATGAACTTGCATTCATACAAAAACCTGTACATGAATGTTTAAGACAGCTCTATTCATAATGATCCAACGCTGCAAAAACCTAAGTGTCCTTCAGCAGGAGAGAATGAATAAACTGTGGGACCTCCATACAGTGCAATACTACTTACCAAAAAAAAATAGGAACTACTGATACTGTCAAGAACTTGGACGAATCTCAGGGCATTTTGCTGAGTGAGAGAACAGTCTCGGCCAGGTGCGGTTGCTCACTCCTGTAATCCCAGCACGATCTCGGCTCGCTGCAACCTCCGCCTTCTGGGTTCAAGTGATTCTCCTGCCTCAGCCTCCCAAGCAGCTGGGATTACAGGTGCCTGCCACCACACCTGGCTAATTTTTGTATTTTTGGTAGAGACGGAGTTTCACCATGTTGGCCAGGCTGGTCTCAAGCTCCTGACCTCAGGTGATCCGCCCACCTTGGCCTCCCAAAGTGCTGAGATTACAGGCGTAAGCCACCTCGCCTGGCCTAGATATCCGTTTTTTAAAGTAAAGTTAAATTTTTACATCACGTTACATATAAAAATAAATTTTACCTGCATTAAACAACCAATTGTATAAAACAAGATTATAAAAGTATCCTCCAGATACATATGTGCCTATGTGTATGTGTTTGAGTATAGAACAGAGTGTTTGTTGGTGCATTGTTTGTAATAGCAAAAAGAAGAAGAGAAAGAAAGGAATGTTCATCGGAAGTTAAATAACATATTTATATTACGGAATAGATATATCAATATATGTTCGGACATGAAAAGATTTTTGAGAAGTAGAACAAAATGTACAGAATGATCTCTTTATTACATGTTTTTGTATGTGCATATTAAAACTGCATACAAATTGATCCGAAAGGCCATGCTCCAAACTGCTAAGAGTGGCACGAAGGGGAGAGAGGGAAAGGAGGACATTCACTTTTTAACTCTATATGCTTATATACTTAATTTTTACAATGTTATCACTGCATATAGCAAGGTATTACTTATTGCAAAAAACCCTAAGTAACTTCCCCACCACATAGTCAACACCAGAAAGAGGTCTGAATAAAGGGCCATGTCCGACTGGAGAAAGGCTTAGTGGAGTCTGTGAGAGGCTGTCACAAGAGAAGGGACATTTGTGCTAGGTCACTGCCAGATCCCTCTTGGACAGCAGGGCATTTTGCTCAGACCTGTCCTTTTGCCATCCAAGGCTCCAGTTCCCCAGTTAAGAAATAGTTGTCAAGGAATAAGAGGATTCTTCTAGCTAAAATTCAGAGTCAGTAAGTGTTTACCAATTTGTATTTTCCAATACTTTCTATTAAAAAAGAAAAGCAAAAAGCAAGACAGTGTTAAACTGTGAAAAGAATATCTTTGCTTTCAAATATGAAGACCAATCATATTCAGTCTTACTAGCAGAGGCTTAGAGAGTGAATAACTAATGACTAGGTCCACTGAAATGCTTTGATAACCATTTCCTGTGGGATTTATAAAAGCAAGCCATTAAAGAATATCAGCAGCAATAACTTACATATATGTATATATTATATAATATAGGTATGTATACAGTCATGCACCACATAACGTTTCAGTCAACAATGGACCACATATACAGTGGTGGTCCCATAAGATTATAACGGCGCTGGCCGGGCACGGTGGCTCATGCCTGTAATCCCAGCACCTTGGGAGACCGAGGCAGGTGGATCACAAAGTCAGGAGTTTAAGACCAGCCTGACCAACATAGTGAAACCCCGTCTCTACTAAAAATACCAAAAAAAAAAAAAAAAAAAAAATTAGCCAGGCGTGGTTGTGCATGCCTGTAATCCCAGCTACTCAGGAGGCTGAGGAAGGAGAATCACTTGAACCCGGGAGGCAGAGGTTGCAGTGAGCTGAGATTGCACCACTGCACTCCAGCCTGGGCAATAGAGCCAGACTGCATCTCAGAAAAAAAAAAAAAAGATTATAATGGCACTGATAAATTTGTATTGCCTAGTGACATTGTAGACCTTCTAGTGGGACAAGATGTGGAGATGGTAGACAGTGATATTAATGATCCTGTGTAGGCCTAGGCTAATGTGTGGGTTTATGTCTCAGTATTCAACAAAAAAGTTTTAAAAGTCAAAAGAAATTAATTTTAAAAATAGAAAAAAGCTTAAAGAAAATATTTTTTTCAAAGCTATACAATGTGTTTTGTGTTTTAAGCTGTGCTATTACCAAATAGTCAAAAAATTATAAAGTAAAAATGTTATGGTGAGTTAAGGTTAATTTATAACTGGAGAAAAATACGTTTTTATAAATTTTATGTAGCATAAGTGTAGAGTGTTTATAAAGTCTGCAATAGTATACAGTAAGTAATGTCCTAGGCCTTCACGTTCACTCCTACTCACTCATTGACTCACCCAGGGCGACTTCCGGTCCTGCAAGCTCCATTCATGTAAGTATCCTATATTGGTCTGACATTTTTAAATCTTTTATATCATATTTTTACCGTACTGTTTCTACGTTTAGATGTTTACATACATGAATATTTCCCATTGTGTTACAATTGCCTCCAGTATTCAGTATCGTAACATGCACGTAACAGGTTTGTAGCCTAGGAGCAATAGGCTAGACCATATAGCCTAGGCATGTAGTAGGCTATACCATCTAGGTTTGTGTAAGTACACTCTATGATGTTTGCACAGTGAAGAAATTGCCTAATGACATATTTATCAGAATGTATCCCCATTGTTAAGTGATGCATGTCTGTATATGTATATATATACTTATACATATATAGTGTTTAGTGTTATGCTGATAGAGTGCTACTATATATATATATATATATATATATATATATGCTGTTATACATACACACATGCATAGGTATATATAGTTTTTCCACTTATGAAACCCTTTGTCTTTCGCTGTTTCATGTTATAACAGTATATCCCAGATTGGATAATTTATGAATAAGAGAAATTTATTTTTCACAGTTCTAGAGGCTGTGAAGTTCAATATCAAAGCACTAGCATCTACTGAAAATCTTCTTGCTTGTCATTCCATTGTGGAAGACAGAACTGGAGGAAATCAGGAGAGAAGAAGGGAAGAAGATGTCCAACTTATCTCATTCTTTTATTAGGAACCCACTCTTGCAATAACAGCTGAATCCATTCATGAAGGAAGGGCCCTCGTGTCCTAATCACCTCTTAAATATCCCACTTCTCAATCCTGTTGCATTGGGAATTAAGTTTCCAATACATGAACTTTGGAGGACACAGTCAAATCACAGCACCCTTATACACAATTTTTTATTTGATCTGTAAGCAGGACAGGTGTTACAATTCTGACCTTACATATAGGGCATTGGAAGCTTGGAGAGTTTCATGATTTAGCAATTCTCTCACCAGGTCTCATGGCTGTCCCAGGTGGGTGGCTAGGCATCTCACCACCAGAAGATACATCTCCCAGAACACATGAGAAAGAACCTTGCAGCTTATTTAGAAAAACTCATAGAAAAGACCATCTCATCTCAGCAATGGGAAGAAAAAGTTTGAAAAACATGGTTCTAAAAATATTTATTTAGTGACTATATAAATATAACATATATATTTATACATACACATAAAAACTTTTTGTTAGAATTATTGAAGCCTAAAATAATAAGAATGGAATTTAAAATTACTTCAACTGACTAACCAATAATACTCGTAAGGTAAATAAGTCTTGCCTTGTGTTTTGAAGTTATTCTCAGTCACTTTAATTTTACTTGTAAACCCAAGGAGGAAATTCCTTTAGCTGTGCTCCTAATTTTAAAAGTCCTTTAATAATGCTTGGGTAAATTGGAGCTATATTTGGAAGTCATGGTGAGTTAATTATCACAAGGTTGTTGGGTAAAATTATCCTCTTATGAAAAGTTAGTTTACCACTTTGAGGGAGCTAACACAGCTTTCTACAAAAATAACAATAAGAAAATAAATTTAATGTAACATGTATAGTTTCTCATAAAAATATTTGTAATTTCAAGGTTATAAGCGAGCAGTCCTTGGAATTAGTAAAATATATTTTTCAATATTACGGGACATTTTTTGGCTTATCTTAAATAACAGACTTAGAGAGAAATTAAACTTCAGGTGAGGCAATACAGAGTTAAGTATCACGATGGAGGGGCAGCAGAAACTGTCAAAAGTTAAGCAATGTGGTTAAAAGCACACAGCAGCGAGTTTCAGAACCAAGACTTGAACCCCGCAGATCCATGTGAATCCAGAGCATAGGTCCTCATCAGAGAACATGAAAATAGATGCCTCAGAGTGGGATCTAATTTTTTTTTTTTTTTTTTTTGAGATGGAGTGTCGCTCTGTCGCCCAGGCTGGAATGCAGTGGCACGATCTTGGCTGACTGCAATCTCCGCCTCCTGGATTCAAGTTATTCTCCTGCTTCAGCCTCTGGAGTAGCTGGGACTACAGGCGCGTGCCACCAGGTCCGGCTAATTTTTGTATTTTTAGTAGAGACGGGGTTTCACCGTATTGGTCAGGCTGGTCTTGAACTCCTGACCTCATGATCTGCCTGCCTTGGCCTCCCAAAGTGCTGGGATTACAGGCGTGAGCCACCGCGCCCGGCGGGATCTAATATTTTCAAAGTAGTAATTCATGTGTTTAACTTTGTGTTTCCTTCCCCAGCATTCCATTTAAGAAATATTGATTGTGTCCACCAGCACCAGGAAATACCCTCAGTGCCAGTCAGATGTGGTGGTAAATGAGATTTCCTTGACTTATGTTCTAGTGAGGAGGGAAGACAACAAATTCACAAATAAGCAAACAGATAAATAAAGAAAAACATTGGAAAGGGCTCTGTCGAGTACTAAAGAGGATAAAGAGGGACTGTAGTTATTTGTATTCCCTGCTCTCATTTCTCTTCTGTGTTGTGAGCTCTTTGAGAGAAGGAACACTTTTCAGCATTCTCTGTTTTGTCTTACACCACAATTTGCACGTAGTAGAATCAATGCATCAATGACACGCTATTTAAAGAGCAAAGTACACTATCTGACAACTTGCTATTTGAATATACATAATGGTCTTTTGGAAATCGTAGTCTGCTGTAGCTTTAGTTTATTCTACCTATATTTTGAAGGTGAAACGCAGAAGAATTTTCTTCCTTTATTCTGTAGAGTATAAGAGCTCATATTGTCCTTCCTGTAGTCAAGAAGATCAGAAAACCCCAAAGAGCTCAACGCGGCAAGTGCTCCTGATAGAACAAAAAAATGCAGGCCGGGCGGGGTGGCTCACGTCTGTAATCCCAGCACTTTGGGAGGCCAAGGTGGGTGGATCCTCTGAGGTCAGGAGTTTGAGACCAGGCTGGCCAACATGGTGAAACCCTGTCTCTAGTAATAATACAAATAATACAGGTGGTGGGCGCCTGTAATTCCAGGTACTCAGGAGGCTGAGGCAAGAGAATTGCTTGAACCCAGGAGGTGGAGGTTGCAATGAGCTGAGATCGTGCCACTGCATTCCAGCCTGGCCAACAAGAGTGAAACTCTGTCAAAAAGAGAAAAAAAAAAGCAAAGTTTCCTTTAATTTGGTGAAGGCATTTAGGTTTCTAAACGCTGACCTTTTTGCTTGTTTTTCAAAACTCTCTCATAAGCCAAAACACTAGTTGGAGCTACTAGATGAACAACAAGTGCATCATTTGTTAAATAATTGATGTCTTGCAATAAATGGCACCTTCAAAGGGAATATTTATCTTTCAAAGGACTTGTATCTAATTTCTATAAAAGTCAGCAGACACTGAAAAATATAGTTGCACAATACGTAGGCCTCACAAATTGCATTTCTTTCTTTTATTCAACAAATAGTTTCTAGTCCAGACCATCTGTCAGGCACTAAGACAGGCCCTTGAGGTATAACGGTGAGCAAAATTGGACCCTACCTTTGACCTCATGGAATTTACCAGGTAATGGTACTTTTTCCATGAAGTTTTCTGAATTCCGCTCCATTTCTTCAGAATCAGAGTCCTTAGGGCAGTGATTCTGAAATTTTAGTGCATTCCAAAATCATAGACTGTGGGGCCCTACCCCCAGAGTTTCTGATTGTGTTGGTTGTAGGTAGGGCTTGATAAGTTGCATTTCTAAGAAATTCTCAGGCGATACTGATGCTGCTGGTCTGGGGATCACACTTAATGAACCACTGGCCTGGGAAATAGAACCCAAGCATCTGCAGGTTATTCTGATGTGTGTTCAGGGTTGAGAACCACTGGAATACCAGGTTCCCATCAGTATGCTGGTTGCAGCTGAGGCAGGGAATTTCAAAAGAAGCAGAAGTCCAGTCCCTGCTTCCAAGAAACCTACACCGATAAAGGAGAGATGAAACACAACGTTGAAATGTTATGAACAATCGAAGCAGCTTGCTGGGTGTTATTATTATATGGACACAAAGGCTTCAGAAATGTGGAGTCTCAGTGGGGATTGTAATGGGTGGAGAAATCTGCTGGTTCTTGAAAAGTGAGCAGCCTTTGGACTGGGAAAATATGAAGTTATTAAGAAACAATTAACCTGCAGTTCATTTCCTTCAAATATGATGTGGGAAACAAACCCAAGTACTAGTAGTAGTGCTTGTGACTTTGTCGCTTTATCAGTCACGGTTCTCCAGAGAAACAGAAACAACTGAATATATGTGTGTGTGTGTGTGTGTATCTATATCTATATCTCCTTGGCCCCGTCAATTTGACGCATTAAATTAACCATCACAGTCACCAAGACAGATATTCATATCATATTTCAGTAGTTGTAAATATTTTATTTTATTTTTTTGATAGAGCCTTGCTCTGTTGCCTAGGCTGGAGTACAGTGGCATGATCTCAGCTCACAGCAGCCTGTGCCTCCTGGGTTTAAGCGATTCTCCTGCCTCAGCCTCCCAAGTAGCTGAGATTACAGGTGCCCACCACCATGCCCGGCTAATTTTTGTATTTCTAGTAAAGACAGGATTTTACCATGTTGGCCAGGCTGATCTTCAACTCCTGACCTCAAGTGATCCACCCACCTTGGCTTCCCAAAGTGCTGGGATTACAGGCGTGCCCAGCCAGTAGTTGTAGATATTTAAAAATATTATTTATAGGCATCAACACTTTGAAACTATAATACAGTCATGCACCAAGCAATGGCACTTCAGTCAGCTGATAAAAACTTTCTGTTCCTAAGTTTTTGCTTGCGGGACCTGAGTAGCTCAGCCAACATCACGCGATTCAATTGAAGATAATTTCCAGAAATTCAGTTTCTTTATTCCACTTATTGATTTTCCTGAATGCCAAGTTAGAATCGTTTGCTTTGGTAAGATCTTAGCAGGGAGCACTTATCTATCTAAACACCCAGCTACCCCCTGATGAGTCTGAATCATCCAAGAACAGTAAGTAGCTCCACCGTTCCTGCCTTTCTCCTAATTGCAAAGGGCACTTTTAGTTAAGTACATGCATGAATGCTAGGCACACATAAACACACAGTGCACCCACATGAAGTACATGCATGAATGCTGGGCACACATAAACACACAGTGCACCCACATGTACACACGCCAGCATCTGATCTTTGTTTCATCCATTCTTCCCATAATTTTTACTTTGAAGACTGTTCAAGATTGGCCAGCTAATATTTTCCTACAAGGATATGATATATCTTGGGGGTTTCCAATGATCATTTTTGTTCTTATTGCTCAAAGAAGAAATAATTTAGAACATTAAGCTAGAGTCTTCCACAGGGCAATCAAAACAAAGCAAATGCCTGTGTTCATGAAGGTTTATAAAAGGGGCAAACGATGAGAAAATCCATGAAAATGTCTGCCATCATGTTTTCCAAATAGACCAGAAGAACAACTGGGTCTCCAGCATTTGGCTTCCTGAAGCTTGGCCTTTGGCCGCATTCCTTTTGAAGTGCTTCTTGAGACATGCCAAGTAGCAGCTTCTGCACAGGACTAGTACTTTGGATGACATTACCATCCTTTCCTTCAAAAAAAAAAAATTCTTCCTCAAGATCTAAAAATACTCTTCAGCCTTGGAACACAGCCTTGTTTTAATCAACTCCTGTCCACTGGACCAGTTGCTTGACCTGGGACAAGCCAAAACCACAAAGAAAAAGCAGCAGTTTTGAGGAAGTTGATCCACATTTGGGTTTCTTTAAAATGTCCAGCTCACAGAATAGCAAAAATCTTTCCTCCCTCAACCATGAGAATTCCATTCCCACCCTAATTCATACTTCTATTTTTCTTTTCTCTTTTGAGATTTGGGTTTGCATTTGTTTGTTTGTTTGTGGGGGCATAATTTTGGCAGGACAAGATGAAAATTATTTTAATCCAGTTTTTATTCTTGCAACTGAGAGAAGGAAAACAGAATTGGGTTAATTGAATACTTTTTCCATTCCTAAAAATTGACTTTAAAAAGCACCATAGTCAAGTAAAATTAAAATTCCTCAAAAAATATTGGTAGATTTTATTTTAAAGTAAGCATGAGATAATTTTGGTCCTCAATGATACAGCATTCTAAATTCATGGAAGTGTTGTTTTGGCTAACAGCCCCATATTCATGGGTTAACTTTTAATTTTAATTTTTGTAGAGATTGGGGTCTCATTATGTTGCCCAGGCTGGTCTTGAACTCCTGGACTCAAACAATCCTCCCACCTTGGTCTTCCAGAGTGCTGGGATTACAGATGTCAGTCACCGTGCCCAAGCCAAGAGGGTTAAATATTTTATTCAAGTCAAACCCTGGTGCCAAGCATTCAAGGCTCGTTGTTGTCACAAGCTGAGTGGGCTTGGCAGGGCAGGAAAAACAACCCATAACTGTTTCCAGCTTCTACAGGCATCAGCAGGAGGAAGGACGTTGGTCACAGAAGTAGGAGAGGGGTTAAGTGCCCTGACTAATAGGATCAAGTATGGTCAAGGGTGGGAGATCATGAGCAAAAGGAGGCCAAAGGAGGAGGCCAAAGTGGACGTGTGGATATGGGGGATGGAAAACTAATCTGAGAGTGTAGAACCGAGTGAAAAATAAGGAAATAAGGGGTCTGTGGTCTGAGAACAAAGATAAAAAGAAGCTGCTCTGGTCAGCCTCATTTGGAGTTCTGGGCCAGAACATTCCTTCTTAATGAGTGAGGCCTGACAACAGCTTCTGATGCATCTGGTTCCAACTGTCTCCCTAGACTTCTTCCTTACACTTATGTTAGACTCCAGTCAGACAAGACTGCTCTCTCCTCCTCAAACAGACTTCAAATTTTTTTCCTTCCACTTCAGTTCTTTCAGTTTCTGTTCTTGCACCTAGAACTTCTTTCTTCCTGGATCTCCATCTGTTAAATCCTACCCATTCCTTCATGGACCATCTCAGATGACACTTCTACAAGGCCTTCCCTGATCCTTCAACAAAATGCTACTTCTTCGTTAAAGAAATCTGCCTATACTCTCACAGTCAGTGTGCTAATTTTGAAGAGACTGAGCAAACAGGATAGCAGAGGGTTTGTGGGGAATGCCCTCTCCTTTGGGGATTTACACTTAACATTTTCTACATCCTGGAATAACTATTGGCATATTTATCATTTTATCTTCCTCACAATATTGTAAGAAGCCTGAGTAAGGCTAGCAGTTTATGAATGCACATCCTAATAGTCAACCTAAAGGCGTTAGAGCAATTCTGGAGTGAACAGTACTCAGGGTTAAATATATTAGGCGTTAAAATCAATGGAGAATGGGGCAAGAAATCTTTGAGCTCCACCCTGATTAGGTAAGCCGTATAATAACCCTTTAGATCATGGTTTCTTAGAAAACAAAGAAGAGAAGAGAATTTATCTGTGCTATCCGTACTTCAGAGCTGTTGAAAGAGGCTCACTTTACAGGCTATAAAATGCCAGGTAAGTAGTGGCATTATCAGAATAACGCTTATTCCTTTGTCATCCAACCAACACGTATTGATGCCTAATATTTGACAGGCATGAGGACTATAGAGTTTATATACATACTGATTGTGCCTCTTAATTGCATAATCAAATTAACCTAATGAAAGATGGTAAGCAAATGTTGAAATGTGCAGAAATGAATGCATTTTTTTCTACACTCACTAGTAAGAAATCATTTCTCTTAACTTTCATTCTTTTGTTGTGCTTTTTCCAAATTTCTAGAATATCCATGTACCAATTTTACTTTTGTGGATAGAAAAACAAACAAACGTTAATTTAGTCTTAAGGGAGTTAGTTTTGCTTCTCCCAAATTTTTCCACGAAGGATCACCAAACTCCCTTATTTACATGCAGATTATGTGTTTTGTGCTGGTGGAACTGCTGAGAGCTAGGCCCATCTTCCTCTCTCCTGAGCACTTAATAGAATGCTTTACATACAGCAAGTCTTTGGATTCTTGGATTTTGATATAGCACCCCCTCCAGCAACTTCCTGTACAATTCTACCCATGAGTGCAAACAGATACAAATTTTCCTTTTTCCACTTATTTCAAATTAGGACTAAATAATGTATTCTTTGAAAGCTAAATCTGGAACTAAAAAGAGTAATGTAATATATGATAAAAATTATATTTGTAATTTATATATAAATACATTTAAATAAGTACATAAATTTGAATATATGTATATATTTTTATTCAAATTATAAGTGGCTCTGAATTATGTCTCTCAATAACTTCAAATTATGAGCTCTCCTACAGGCCTCTTACTAGCCAATTTTTTTCTTTATAAAGCAAATTTTCAGAAAGTTCTATGACTAGACATTTGGAAGTAGAGCTCTCTATCGATGGGGCTTTATACGTGTGGGTTACTGGTGCAAAGGTACCAAGTTTGAAACAGAAAACCAATGCATTCCTAGAAAACAATATCAACACTCATTAACAATGTGGATTGATGGGCCTGGAGTTTAGTCCATGGAAAAAACACAGAAGCAGTCACTGGGAAACTTTCATCTTGAGTCCTGACTCTTCTAGGGCTTAATCTGGCATCTCTTTAATTCTTCTTTTAATCCCATCTGTTCTTTTCTTCCAATGTTTAAGGGAGATCCTGTTTTGGCAAATCATCACTTTTAATTTTTAAAGCAATAATACATGCACCCAGCATAAAATTTTGAAAATACAAAAATGGTATGGTATGAAACGTCAGTCTCCCCTCCACCAAGTTACCTAACATTCAGTTCCCCGCTCCAAAGATCACCTGTTAACCAATTTCTTGATCAGTTATCTACTTCCATCACCAACTCCCTAGCCTGGGCCCTCATTTCTTCATATCTTTCTTTTTTTTTTTTGAGACGGATCTCGCTCTGTCACCAGGCTGGAGTGCAATGGCGCCATCTTGGTTCACTGCAACCTCCACCCCCTGGGTTCAAAAGTGATTCTCAAAGAAGACATTTATGCAGCCAAAAAACACATGAAAAAATGCTCATCATCACTGGCCATCAGAGAAATGCAAATCAAAACCACAATGAGATACCATCTCACACCAGTTAGAATGGCGATCATTAAAAAGTCAGGAAACAACAGGTGCTGGAGAGGATGTGGAGAAATAGGAACACTTTTACACTGTTGGTGGGACTGTAAACTAGTTCAACCATTGTGGAAGTCAGTGTGGTGATTCCTCAGGGATCTAGAACTAGAAATACCATTTGACCCAGCCATCCCATTACTGGGTATATACCCAAAGGATTATAAATCATGCTGCTATAAAGACACATGCACACGTATGTTTATTGCGGCACTATTCACAATAGCAAAGACTTGGAACCAACCCAAATGTCCAACAATGATAGACTGGATTAAGAAAATGTGGCACATATACACCATGGAATACTATGCAGCCATAAAAAATGTAGAGTTCATGTCCTTTGTAGGGACATGGATGAAGCTGGAAACCATCATTCTCAGCAAACTATCGCAAGGACAAAAAACCAAACACCGCATGTTCTCACTCATAGGTGGGAATTGGACAATGAGAACACATGGACACAGGAAGGGGAACATCACACTCCAGGGACTGTTGTGGGGTGGGGGAGTGGGGAGGGATAGCATTAGGAGATATACCTAATGCTAAATGACGAGTTAATGGGTGCGGCACACCAACATGGCACATGTATACATATGTAACAAACCTGCATGTTGTGCACATGTACCCTAAAATTTAAAGTATAATAATAATAAAATTTTTAAAAAATTAAAAAAAAAAAGTGATTCTCCTGCCTCAGCCTTCCGAATAGCTGGGATTACAGGCGCCAGGGATCACACCCGGCTCATTTTTGTATTTTTAGTAGATACGGGGTTTCACCATGTTGGCCAGGCTGGTCTCAAACTCCTGACCTCAGGTGATCCACCCATCTCAATCTCCCAAAGTGCTGGGATTACACGTGTGAGCCACCACGACCAGCCTCTTCTTACACCACACCTTTCTTCATGTAACAGCTAATGCCAGTTTGTCTCTCTGCGCAGGCCAAACTGCCTTTTCTCTATCTGATGGAATAATTGAGAAAATGTCTGAATAAGAGCTGAGCTGGATTTTGATATAATGAAACAATAATATGAAAGAGAGGAGGGCATTCCATAGTGGCAGTGGGGAGTTTACCCGAGAGCCTGCCGTATAGTCATGCTGTGCAAATGTTTATTGAGTGACTGAAATGATCAAGGGAGCATGTCTTGTTATAGAGATCAGAAAGAAAACTAGTTTCACTTCTGCAGAGACTTCAGAATAAGAACTAACAAACTGTGGGGGGCAATAGTAATCACAATTGTTAATATCAGTTGAATGAGTGATGGGTACCAGGCACTGTTTTCAGCTTCTAAGCACTTTCGTGTCTTGTTTACTCCTCACAAACCCCTATGAGGTAGCACTTATCCCTTTTATAGAGCAGGAAGCTGAGTCTTGAGAAGGTTTAGTAAATTTCCAAGGATATCCAGCTGGTATGCAGCCAAAAGTTAAATCCAGGTCCCAATTTCAGTTATTGGGGACAAGAATGATTAGGATAAAGAAACCCAGGGCATCTGAGAATTTATAAACTAGAATTTCAGAGCACTTTCTACATGTCAGCACTATCCTAAGTGTTGATGAGGATCAAGTAGATGCAGAAAATATGGATCCTTTTCTGCAAAGGATTTACACACTGTAACTTTTAAAGGCCGCCGTCACGTTGTTCTGAAGGTGACTTGAGCCATCTATTAGTGCTCTCCCGATTTCTCAGATTGTAACCTTCCTGAAGACCAGATCAGTGGCTGCTACTCTCTCTGAATCTCCTTGCATGGCATAGACAATGCAAGGAGATTCAGAGAGAGTATCAGCACTCTTAAATTAGCTCATTCCCAAGCTGTCACCACACCAAAATGTGACAGATAGTCCCAGGTGTGAGCAATGCAAAGTAGAAAGCCTCTGACTTATTGCAGCAGTGGTAAAAATACAATGAAATCAAGAAAAGGACACAAAGTGAATGTATGTCTTTGACCTGTTTACATAGTGGAAAAGATGATCCCGAATGACATATTCCTTAAGCTCTTGTTCTCAGAGAACATTTAACAGTCACAGATCCTGAGCCAAGTGGCACGGGAACAATTAAGGTGTGTCTCTTAATTACTGGGAACAAGGCTTTGCATTTTCTTCTTTATAGTCAAAAACAATGTATTAGACAGCGGCTACCTATAGAACACAGTATTCACTGAAGGAGTTTACCAAATGAGGAAACAGAATATAGAACCATGGATTGACTTAAAATTGAAGATCAGGCTGGGCGCGGTAGCTCACACCAGTAATCCCAGAACTTTGGGAGGCCGAGGCGGGTGTATCACAAGGTCAGGAGATTGAGACCATCCTGGCTAACATGGTGAAACCCCATCTCTACTAAAAATACAAAAAAATTAGCTGGGCGTGGTGGCATGTGCCTGTAGTCCCACCTACTTGGGAGGCTGAGGCAGGAGAATTGCTTGAACCCGGGAGGCGGAGGTTGCAGTGAGCCGGGATCATGCCACTGCATTCCAGCCTGGGTGACAGAGTGAGACTCCATCTCAAAAAAAAAAAAAAAAGTGAAGATCATTTTGTAAATAACATAAAATAAGAACTATTTAATAAAACATAAGGAAAATGCCCATTGGCAGCAGAGATGGAACAAGAGAATATTAAACTATTGCTGTGGGCACTAAAAATGGCTGTTTAGTTTGGAAAAACAGCTCAACAGCTCACCTTAAAACAGAGCTTCCCAACCAGTGTATCTTGGCATCAAAAAGGTAACTGATGTGCCATAAAATGTTGATCTCTTCAGTCTCAGAATGGCTGGATGGGGAGGGGGACCTTGGGAGGTGGCTCCTAGCTGGGAGAAGGCTGACTAAGGGTTCCTCAGAGTGTTGACTGGGCTGCATTCGAGTCTGACAGCATAACCTATGATTCCTACAGGAGGCAAGCACAATGGTGGTATTTGCCATGTGCTGGATGGAACCAAGAAGGACTTCAGCAGCCAGCTGAGAATGTAATGCTGTCTTCTGCAGTCAAGAGACCCCTGGAATTGCTGGGAGGGTTGGTGTTCCAGGATGCCTGGGACAAGGCATGCAGCCCAGAGAGCATCCAGCCAGAGTAAAGGTGCCAGAAGGCTAAGTAGGTTGTACTGGAAGAGGTAGCCCACAGTAATAGCTCCAAACCTTAGACTTTGAATAGATCAGGTACTTGTGTGTATTTGTGACTGGTGTGCCCTTTGACCAATGCTGATGACTCCTTTAACCCATGAAGTTTTTGAAGATTAGAGCTTCATTATCCTTTGAAATATTTGATATGAAAGAGAGAGTTTAAATGGATTAAAAACTTATTTTCACTGTACGAGAATATTCAACATTATATTTTTCAATGAAGGAGAAAGAAGAACTGGTGAATTTTTAAAATACTCCAACAGTTGTAAATTACTTGGTTTTCCATTTTCATCCCTCCTTCTTGGACAAAAATCCCCGCTATGGTAATTATCAAGAACACAGATACTGTTTGTATCATTTTTGAAAATTTGATCTGGAAATTTGTGTCATATTTCAAGAATAAAGTCAGAAACAAACAAGTTTTATTTGTAGGATATAGCTCAAATTTTTCCTTAGGATTTTCAAGAAGATATTATTTGTAAGTTTCCGACATATTCAGTATTTAATATTTTCCTTAATGCTATGTGTATCATAGTTATTATATTTATATTACATAAAGGAATGTAAAAAAATTAAAAATATTCTCCCCAAGCCCTTTACAGATATAGACAAATCCCTTCCACATTACTCTAGCATGCTACACTAATATTGTCATTTTTTTCTCAGCGGGCTATGACACGAAAAAATGTTGAAAAGTACTCTCTAAAAACACCTCTGCTACTAGAAAATATTCAACCTTTTTTATTTCAGGCAAGTCAAATGGGTAGGGGGACAGGAAATGGTGTGCTAAGTAGAGGGAACAACTTTGGCAAAAGCAAAAAGGTGAGCGAGCAAGGAAATTCCTGAAACTACAGGAATATTGGAATAACAGAGAGGACCTTCTGTCTCTTTAAGTTGTTGAAGGCACATCGCTTAATTTTGCAGGGCTGGAAAGAAAGGACCAACAGGTAAAAATTAACTGTCACAAAATTAAAATACATATTTGTATTTTATTTATGTGACTTAACACGTGAAATATGCGAAAGTGATGCGAGGCAAGCCCGAATGCTGTGCCCAGCAAAGCCAAAAAGAAGTTCCGAGGGAAGCCAGGTATCCTGGCTGCCCAGCCACTGCCTTTATCCACCAGCTTGACTCTTTCAGATCATCTTCTCAAATTATCCATAGGAGATTTATCCACATACTCAATAAGAAAAATATTTCTAATTATATCCAACCATTCTTAATATGAATGAGAATTATGCGGGGACGCTAGATTGCCAAGAGGTATTTTGCCAAACAATTCCTTTTGACTTAAGAAAGAAGAGGCAGCTGCATTGTTTCCATAGCTATCCATATAAAAGAGCCCTTGGAATGAGGCTGACTCGTCCTGCTTTAAAAAGCTCCAAGGTAAGTGGGAGCAGGACGGGCCTTTCAAGAGGGACACTGGTCACACCGCCCAGTGTCAGCAGCAGCTGCTAGTTCTGGTACTGCTCCTTCTGGAACTGCACGTTTTACCTCTATGAATTTTGTTACTTCTGTTTACAATAGCAAGCCATGCCATAAATGGGATTTTTTCCCCCTCTTTTTGGTCAACTAATCAAGTGCTTTTCCCTTTTCTTTTATAGAACTGTCTCACTCCCAGGCTACATCTTCTCACTTGCTAACAAGGTAAGATTTGGACTAACCAGTTCCTGGAGGAGAATGCAAGAGGCTCTGGGATGGATTTCTGTCACTTAGCAACCTTTCAGAAAGTGCTTGTCTCAGTAAATACCCTTTAACAACTGTGCTTCAGGAAAGCGGTGAGAAAGGGAGGACTGTCCTTTCAGGACAATGCACACATCCTCATTTACGGCTCAAGCATTGGTGGGGTGACATTTGAGCAGGGGAATCGCTTTGAATAAATATATTGTCTGTGCAGGAAAAAAAGAGTCTACCCTCAGATTCCCTGGCTAAAAATCTCAAATTTGATAAAAATGTATCCTGCTGTTAGAATTCATTTAGTAAACATAATGTCCAACAATGTAAAATGGAAGTAAGACAATCCTTTCTTTAAACTTCTTAAAGCCCTTGTAAAAAGTCACCTTACACAATGCCGAGTGCTGTGGCATTTTTCTTATATATAATAGAGGTATTAATCTGCCCTCCCACTACTTACTGCATTTCTAAAGGGAGAGACTAGAAGAGACGATTCAAATGAGTTTCAAGTAATTTGATCATGTAATGACTGCGGTAGAATTATTTGCCAAACCTTTCATTCTACTGATACCACTGGCAACCTACAGATCACATAGAACGGAGCAAACAGGGCCTGCATGCTTCAAAGGAAAATTTGGAATAGTAAAGGGAGCCCTTAGATGTAGAAGAATGAGGTTAACGTTGGCTACTGTTTTTATCCCTAATTAGTTTAAGGGGGTTAAACTGATGAACTGTATTTAATATGCAAAAAATTATGTCAGAGAAACTATACTAAGCACCTAACCTAAAAGAAAAAAAGGTAAACAAAATTATAATCTCCAATAAGCCACTGAACTTCAACAAATCTGGCTGAACAGGTAAAGGAGGAAATAAAGTTCTTCTACATTACATTCAAGACATGGAATTTTGTGACATGATAATTCATGACATCTCATATATAAATGGTGGCCTGAACAATTTCAAATTACTTTCTCAGTCATCATTTAAACCTCTTTTTCAAAGTATCTTCACATATATCATGGGCTGTGAATTTAGAAAGGCAGAATTTATAATCCCTATTCTAAAGATGGAGTCACTTAGGCTCAAAAACATCAAGTGACATACCCAAGGTCACAAGCTACTTGACAGCAGCACTGGACTGTAATTCAGTTCCCAATGAGAATGTGAGTCCTGGAGGATGAAATAAGACAGTGGATGCAAAGCCCTAAATACGGCATTGGGTACACAGAGACCACCTGATGCATTTTCGTTCTTGTGATTATGTTTGTCTCAGTAACTATAGTATGGTGAACAGTAGACCTGTCTAGTGGAATTTCCAACTGGGCCTATGAAATACAATAAATATTAAGATTTATTGGTATACATGGCAATCCAGACTCTCTAATGTGAAAGTTTTATCTCCTTTAGGACCTCTGAGTTCAGCAGCCATGAGTTCAGACTCAGAATTGGCTGTTTTTGGGGAGGCTGCTCCTTTCCTCCGAAAGTCTGAAAGGGAGCGCATTGAGGCCCAGAATAGGCCCTTTGATGCCAAAACATCTGTCTTTGTGGCGGAGCCCAAAGAATCCTTTGTCAAAGGGACCATCCAGAGCAGAGAAGGAGGAAAAGTGACGGTGAAGACTGAGGGAGGAGCGGTGAGTAGAATCCCAGGAGCTTGCCACATTTTATTGATTTTTGTTGTTGTTGTTTGGTCACTCAATTAATGTAAACGGTTATCTTTCCTGTTTACCAGACTCTGACAGTGAAGGATGATCAGGTCTTCCCCATGAACCCTCCCAAATATGACAAGATCGAGGATATGGCCATGATGACTCATCTGCATGAGCCTGCTGTGCTGTACAACCTCAAAGAACGTTATGCAGCCTGGATGATCTACGTGAGTGTCCCCTGCCAGTGCTCTGTATAATCATCCTCATGTACCCTACCATCCTGCTTCTTCCACTGAGCATAAATAGGTCACAGGTAGTGACCCATTTCACTTTCATTGCAGCATAACTAGTTAAAAGGCTTCATGATTGCTATCGTAAAGCACAGCTCAACAGCCAGCACTTCCTTGTTTTCCCATCCAAAGCTGGGGAAGGCCGCTGTCCATGTTGACTAGGTTTGCCCAGAAACCCTTCAATAGGCATTTGAGCAGTTACTACTTATATTTCAATCACAGGTAATTTTCCCCATTCCTTTTCCCCACTCCAGCCGCAGAATCATCCAGAGTGAAAAGATAAACATGTTTTAACACTTTAAACTATTTTAATTTTTTTTTGAGACAGAGTCTTGCTCTGTGTCCCAGGCTGGAGTGCAGTGGTGCGATCTCGGCTCACTGCAACCTCTGCCTCGTGGGTTCAAGCGATTCTTGTGCCTCAGCCTCCAGAGTAGCTGGGATTACAGGCATGTGCCACCATGCCCGGCTATTTTTTTTTTTTTCGTATTTTTTTTAGCAGAGACAGAGTTTCACTATGTTGCCCAGACTGGTCTCGAACTCCTGGGCTCAAATGATCCGCCTGCCTTGGCCTCCCAAAGTGCTGGGATTACAGGCATAAGCCATCATGCCTGGCCTACATTTTTTTTTTTTTTAAAAACAAATTTCACTCATTTTCAATCCCCTGAAATAACAGCAATTTGTATCTGTGTGTTCTGGTCCCTTCTATCTGGAATGTCACCTCCTCGATGAAACCTCTCCCACTTCCCCAAGCAGTGAGATGTTCTGTCCTTTCCTTTCTGTCCCTGCCTTAACACTAACCATGTTTCTCCTTGATCATTCATTTACATGACTGTCTCCTACATAGACTGGGGATTCCTCAAGGGACATCATCTCATTTATCTGGTCTCATTTATACTGTCTGGTAAAGGTCTGCACATAATAAACATGCAGTAAATATTTTTAAATCAAATTTATTATACTATATTCATATTTTTGCATAGTTTAGCCAGTGCTGTTATTTAGCTAGGCAACACCTATACAAGTGTACCTAGAGTTGATGGTCAGCATCCAGTTTAACTAGTTGGTGCTTGTCTTGAACCAATTGTCAAAGATTTTTTAAATCCCCCTATTGTAATCATGATGTATATATATATATATATATATATATATATATATCATTTCGTGTCCTGTTTCCTTATAACTTAAAAACGTTTTGTAAATATTTCCTGAGTGTTGCTGTATACTTTCATGTTTACTTTTTTAAATGCCTGCATCAAATTGTCTTAGAAGATTTACCATAGTTCACCTAACCATTCCCTTACTGTTGGCCACTTAGCTTATGTCCAAATTTATGTTCTCATAAATTTGAATTATCTTAATGCTGCAAAGAAAATATAAACCATTTCCATAAAACAATAAAAGTTTCATAGCACATGTGTTTAATAACATGTACTTCTTCTTCTGCTATGTAAAAATCACTGTGAAAAGCCCTGAGGAGAGCAATAAGAAAGCTGAATTGTAGTCACTTCCCTCAGGATTCTGCTATCACATTGTTGAACTTGCCAACTAGTTTTCAAGCTGATGCCTTGAAGAAATAAGAGTACTCACTTAAAGTGCTCCTTTTTGTTAAAATTCAATTAATTTCCAGACCAGCCTGGGCAACAAAGTGAGACTTTAGCTCTACAAAAAGCACGTACAAAATTAGCTGGGCATGGTGATGCATGCCTGTAGTACCAGCTACTTGGAAGGGTGAGGTGGGAGGATTGCTTGAGCCCGGGAGGTTGGGGCTGCAGTGAGCTGAGGTAGCACCACTGCACTCCAGCCTGGGTGACAGAGCAAGACCCTGTCTCAAAAAAACATTCAATTAATAAGTTAATTTCACAAATAACAGGAAAGGTCTTTGGGTACTTATTCTTTTTCCTTCTCATAGACCTATTCAGGTCTCTTCTGTGTCACTGTCAACCCCTACAAGTGGCTGCCTGTGTATAAGCCCGAGGTGGTGACAGCCTACCGAGGCAAAAAGCGCCAGGAGGCCCCGCCCCACATCTTCTCCATCTCTGACAACGCCTATCAGTTCATGCTGACTGGTGAGTGAGCCGAATGCTTTGCAAGTGCGTAAACCTTTAGAGCAGAACCATAGGAGAAAGAGACTCGAGGCAATCTCAACACATTCCTTGAGATCGTCCCTTTTAGTTGAGGCTGGTGTATTTATGAAGGAGAAGGTCCAGGAAGGGGAGAAAGGCTGATTTGTAATGCGTAATATTACATAATTGCTAATGATCTCTTAAATTTTGAAAAGTTCAACAGAGGCTGGCCATGGTTAGTTAGTATACTTTTGAATGACTCAGAAACTCAAATAAATATGAGCAAAAATACAAATATTTCTGTGTATGTATATATACACACACACACACACACTCATGCACGCACAATCACACATACAAACTGTGTCTCCGTTACTATGAGCCAAAAAATGGAAGAGTAAAACTTGTCTCTGTAGTTTCAGCCTCAGCATCCTAAATTGTGACAGATTAAACAGTCTCTCTATATGAAGGACGGCACAATGCTATCGCCCTTTGCCCAGAACCAACCTGAACAGGCTCCAGATTTAAGGTGTATTTGGTATTAAAACAGTTAGATGTTGAATCTGCTTCCTACAATATTGTCTTGGCTAGACCAATCTAAACTACTTGTGGCACCTTGAGAAGGGGCTTAGAGAATTCCTCTTCAGAGACAGTAAAACATCAAAACAAAATTTTACCTTTTCCTAAAAATATGACCAAAGCCGTATTTCTAAAACTATCACCTTTACTGTACTTACTCCTTTTCACACATTAAAAATATCTCTAATGCTCATTCTTCATTACGCCTTGCACCCACAATATATATGTCCCTAACTTAAATCATCAACTAAACCTAACCAAAGAGCCAAGTCTACTTTTGGTGTTTATTTAGTGATAGAGTATTAAAAAGAAAAAGTCTGGTGCTTCAGGAATACACAGCCACGTGGTCATCACTTATAGAGTGGCATTCAAACATTTTCCTTCATCTTAGAATTTTTTTCCTCGAAGGAAATATTTCTTGGAAGATTTGAATATAAAACCAATAAAAGTAGTGGTGTTCTGTTTAAATGGGTGGATGTGTGCTAAAGTTGGGGAGGGAGAAAGTGGTAGGTCTAAAGCCTGCCAAGCCCTAAAGGTTGCAAAGTCCAGACTGAATAATACTAAGTTCATTCCATTTTACTTTACTTATCATTTACAAATATGTAAGAAAACAGTATTAAATGTCTATAATTTCTTTTGTAGACCGAGAGAATCAGTCAATCCTGATCACGTAAGTAGATTTTATGCTTTCTTTACATGGCTGTGATAGCTGCTAGGTTTGAGACCACATCTGATTGAGTTTTGATTTGACAGTGGAGAATCTGGTGCAGGGAAGACTGTGAACACCAAGCGTGTCATCCAGTACTTTGCAACAATTGCAGTTACTGGTGAGAAGAAGAAGGAAGAAATTACTTCTGGCAAAATACAGGTGAGTCTGATTGTCACAGTCAGAATCCAGACTCTGTCGGGACTCTCAGGTAGGAAATTCCCAAGCCCCAGATGCAAGGACTGCTCTTGCCTTTGCAGGGGACTCTGGAAGATCAAATCATCAGTGCCAACCCCCTACTGGAGGCCTTTGGCAACGCCAAGACCGTGAGGAATGACAACTCCTCTCGCTTTGTAAGTCTCTTGGACACGCTAATAGATGCTGTTCACTGGTCAAAATTTATGAGATGTTTGTAATTACATTCTCTGAATCTTTTTCATTCCCATTCTATTACATCATTGTTCTTTCCTTTTCCTCTGAGCATGTAATAACATAGATCAAAGCCCCATCTTGAAGGATATATGGCCTTTTTCCTGAGTTCTTTCTTATCTGTCATGATCTACACTTACTCACAATTTTAAAATTTTTATTTTTAATTTACAAATAATAATTGTACTTACGAAATACAATGTGATGTTTTGATATATGTTATGTGTATATTATGGAATGATTAACATGCTAATTAACATATCCATTACTTCACATACTTAAGAAATATTTACAATTTTTAAATCAAAGATAAAACTCTTCTACTTATAAAATAGGAGATACACCTTTTTCTACCTGATGCAAATACTCTCTGAATTGATTTAATATTAAAGTACCAGCATCAAATGTTTGGAATTTCTCAAAGATTTAATATTATATAAAAAAAAGGTAGTAATATTAGCTTTTATTTCAAGGGTAAATTCATCAGAATCCACTTTGGCACTACTGGAAAACTGGCATCTGCTGATATTGAAACATGTAAGTGTTCAGATATCTTTAAAATCATTTCTGATTCATATGACCTAAAAAACTGACCAAAAATCAAATTCGCATGTCACATGAATTTTTACAATTTTCTTATGTGTTATTTGTTTCCTTCCAGATCTGCTAGAGAAGTCTAGAGTTGTTTTCCAGCTTAAGGCTGAGAGAAGTTATCATATTTTTTACCAGATTACATCGAATAAGAAACCAGAACTTATTGGTAAGAAATGTCATAATTCTTTTCCAGAATTACTGCATCAGTACCTATCAATGCACAGTCCAACCTAGTATTCTATGACTGAATTTTGTCAAGTTTATGTGCCTTTTTATTTTATAAATAGCTTTGTGAGTTTGGTAAAAATTTATATGTGCTCATTAGAAAAATTCAAAGGAAATCAAAAGGAAAACTGAAAATAACATCTCTAATTCCTACTACTATGAAATAACCACCATGAACACTTGGATGAATATCTCTCTAGTCATTTTCTGTATACATATCTCTACATATAGATACATACATACAATTTTCATAACTGAAATCATGGTTACATGCTCTCCTGTAATCTACTTTTTTACTGAGCAATTATGTATCATAGCTTTTTCCATGTCACTAAATATAGCTCCACATCATTATTTCCAATGGTTGCATAGTGTTCTATTCTAGAAATAAGCACAAATTACTTAACCATACCCTCTTTACAGATAGATTATTTCCAATTCTGGATTGTATATAATCAACACTATAGTGATACAACTTTTCCCATTATGTGATTATCCTCTTTGGATTACAATAGTTTTGTTTGTTTGTTTGTTTGTTTGTTGAGATGGAGTCTCACTTTGTCACCCAGGCCAGAGTGCAATGGCGAAATCTCAGCTCACAGCTACCTCCACCTCCCAGGTTCAAGCGATTCTCCCTGCCCCAGCCTCCCAAGTAGCTGGGATTACAGGCATGCGCCACCATGCCTGGCTAATATTTGTGTTTTAGTAGAGATGGGGTTTCACCATGTTGTCCAGGCTGGTCTCGAACTCCTGACCTCAGGTGATCTGGCCACCTTGGCCTCTCAAAGTGATGGGATTATGGGCATGAGACACTGTGCCCGGCCATTTTATTTTTTAATAAGGATTTATAAGAGCACCATGACATCAACTTCAAGGTGTTTGCGATGGTGCCTAATATCCTTTAAACGCCTCTCCAGTGCCCATCAGTCATCAACAAAGCATCATGTGATATCGGGGGAACCCACCCCCAATAATTCAATGTTATTTCACATAGGTTCTTTTCTATTTCCTAAGTGCTGGCTGGTCTGAGAAATAAAGGGAAAGAGTACAAAAGAGAGAAATTTTAAAGCTGGGTATCTGGGGGAGACATCACATGTCGGCAGATTCTGTGATGCCCCCCAAGCCACAAAACCAGCAAGTTTTTATTAGTGATTTTCAAAGGGGAGGGAGTGTACGAATAGGGTGTGGGTCACAGAGATCACATGCTTCACAAGGTAATAAAATATTACAAGGCAAATGGAGGCAGGGTGAGATCACAGGACTGGGGTGAAATTAAAATTGCTAATAAAGTTTTGGGCACCCATTGTCATTGATAACATCTTATCAGGAGGCAGGGTTTGAGAGCAGACAACCGGTCTGATTAAAATTTACTAGGCGGGATTTCCTTGTCCTAATAGGCCTGGGAGCGCTAAAGGAGACCAGGCTTATTTCAACCCTTATCTACAACTGTAAAAGACAACATTCCCAGAGCAGCCATTTTAGAGACCTCCCCCTAGGAACGCATACTCTTTCTCAGGGCTGTTCCTTGCTGAGAAAAAGAATTCAGCGATATTTCTTCTATTTGCTTTTGAAAGAAGAGAAATATGGCTGTGTTCCACCCGGCTCTCAGGCAGCCAGACCTAATGGTTATCTCCCTTGTTCCCTGAACACCGCTGTTATCCTGTTCTTTTTTCAAGGTGCCCAGATTTCATATTGTTTAAACACACATGCTTTACGAACAATTTGTGCAGTTAACGCAGTCATCACAGGGTCCTGAGGCAACATTCATCCTCAGTTTATGAAGATGACAGGATTAAGAGATTAAAGTAAAGACAGGCATAGGAAATCACAAGAGTATTGATTGGGGAAGTGATAAATGTCCATGAAATCGTCACAATTTATGTTCAGAGAATGCAGTAAAGACAGGCGTAAGAAATTATAAAAGTATTAATTTGGGGAACTAATAAATGTCCATGAAATCTTCACAACTTATGTTCTTCCACCATGGCTTCAGCCGGTCCCTCTATTTGGGGTCCCTGAGTTCCCACAACAATATAGTGCCTCACAATTTGTCTAGAAATCTCTTGTTTTAATGAAGAAGATAATTATGTTTATCTTTGTTCTGTTTCCTGTACTTAGAAATGCTTCTGATTACCACGAACCCATATGATTACCCATTTGTCAGTCAAGGGGAGATCAGTGTGGCCAGCATCGATGATCAGGAAGAACTGATGGCCACAGATGTAAGTAGAACACAAGAAAATTGGAATTATTATGGTGGGTCAGAGTAATGGTGATCCAGATAAATATTCAGTGTCTAGTAGAAATGGCAAAAGAAGATTCCAGGATGCAAATGGACATGCCCCTTGGAGTCAAATGAAAAGAGTATGATGTGCCCCTATAACATTTTGCTTACCCCTTACATTGTTCTAAAGATCTATCATTTCTGAAAATTTCTAAACTATTTTTTTTTTTTTGCAATTGACTTGCATTAGATTCCTACCATCTCTCAAAATAACAAGTTCCTTAGATTTACTATCTTTGTTCTCTGTTCTAAGTTCCCGTTTTGAATCTTCAGAGGGTATGCACCTATAATTCTAATGCTCTGTGCTGGCCTTTGGTTGACCAACTCTCTATATACCCAATCTAAGGGGTTCCTTGTCTCCCATTAGCACTGGTAGTTTCCTCAGGCCAGCAATGGGAATGTGCAGTATTAACAGTAAGCGTGTGGATCACAACCTAACAGCTATCCTATTGGTTATATTGACAGAGTGCTATTGATATTTTGGGCTTTACTAATGAAGAAAAGGTCTCCATTTACAAGCTCACGGGGGCTGTGATGCATTATGGGAACCTAAAATTTAAGCAAAAGCAGCGTGAGGAGCAAGCAGAGCCAGATGGCACAGAAGGTATCAACTAAGTCACTCCCATGATTTTGCATTTGTTTGAAAATCACATTCTTAACTTGTTACCCAGGAATTTTCCTAGGGAAGGTAAATTCACTTTTAAGAATTAAGTTTTAAAGTATCTGTATACCTAAATAATGTGCAATGGGAAACATAAGCACTAGGTAGGTGTTTCCTATAATTATTGAAGTTCTTTAGGGCAAACTACCCCATAATCAAAAACTTGAACTTAATGAACAAATGGGTAAGGATACTCAGAAAGAGATATTTAAAACACTGCACAAAATACTTGTAGTTTAAAAAATATTTTTAAGGAAGTGGGTTTCTTTGGGCCACAATAACATTGTTCTACTCTTTCTTCTTTTTAGTTGCTGACAAGGCGGCCTACCTCCAGAGTCTGAACTCTGCAGATCTGCTCAAAGCTCTCTGCTACCCCAGGGTCAAGGTCGGCAATGAGTATGTCACCAAAGGCCAGACTGTAGAACAGGTAGGTGCATAATTCAAATTAACTGCCAGGGATGAAAGCATTTTCATAGGCCTTTAATAACTTCGAGAGTTATAATTTTGTCTTTTAAGGTGTCCAACGCAGTAGGTGCTCTGGCCAAAGCCGTCTACGAGAAGATGTTCCTGTGGATGGTTGCCCGCATCAACCAGCAGCTGGACACCAAGCAGCCCAGGCAGTACTTCATCGGGGTCTTGGACATTGCTGGTTTTGAGATTTTTGATGTGAGTTTGTAGCTGATTGGTGAGAGGATTTTACAGTAAGGCAATGGAAATATCTATATGAAGGAATTAGTGAAGACTATGACCTTTTCTTACCACTGTAGAAATTATTTTAAGCCTTAAAAGAGAGTAACTGGTCAGTTATTGTAGTACCAATTCCACTTCTATAAAAAACAACAATGCACTTAATAAGGACTCCCCAACTTGTTATTGATACAAAGGGAGTTCTGAATTAGCTTAGTACAGTGGGATTGAAGGTCTATTTTAAGAAATACTTAGAGACAATAAGAGCTGAGAAACGTTAATAATTTAGAGTCAGCAGTAACAAATGCAATTAGCTTTTAAGACTCATTAGTGTGATATCATGAAATAAAAATTCATATTTGATTACGAAATATATTTTTCTTGATTATAGTTTTCAAGAAGTTTAATTTTTTTTTCTAATTATACAAGCAAAACTTAGGGCATTGCAGAGGATATAGAAGGTCCCAAGGAAAAAGATTCCACATAATTCTACTATTTATATATAATGTTAATATTTTGGTGATTTTTTTTTTTTTTTTGAGATGGAGTCTCACTCTGTTGCCCAGGCTGGAGTGCAATGGCGTGATCTCGGCTCACTGCAAGCTCCGCCTCCTGGGTTCACGCCATTCTCCTGCCTCAGCCTCCCGAATAGCTGGGACTACAGGCACCTGCCACCACACCCGGCTAATGTTTTTGTATTTTTTTTAGTAGAGACGAGGTTTCACCATGTTAGCCAGAATGGTCTCGATCTTCTGACCTCGTGATCCGCCCACCTCAGCCTCCCAAAGTGCTGTTTGGGGAATTTTTAAAAATACAAATGTATATTGTCATACTTTATATAATACTTGGTATCTTGATCTTTTTTTTTTTTCATTTCACATTAAAGAATAACAGGGGTGGCAAATTATTGTTCACTTGCCATGCTGACCATGTGATTGCCAAGCAAGATAGACTCCTCCCAGCCAGCTTCTCATGGGTTGCAAGTTGGCTCCTAAATGAGTCAACAGAAAACTGTAAACCTTCTGGAAAATGTAGAAGATAATGGGAATAAACACAGGATGATTAAGTAGGTACTCAGGAAAATACCTGAATAAACTTAAGCAAATGCAGGAAAAGAATATCATAATGGTAGGATTTTCTACAAAATGACAGCAGAAAAATAGTAGCTTCCACATGCCCTCAAACCTTCCATACTTTTCACCTTTTATTTCAAAGTCTCTTTAACCCAGTGATTTTAATATCTGTAATATAAAGGCTCTTGGACACATATTTTTAAAATGGAAAAGTTCTGTATTTTAAAAAATACTCAATTTGCTTAAGAGAGAAGTAAACATATCTATTTATTTAGTTCAACAGCCTGGAGCAGCTGTGCATCAACTTCACCAATGAGAAACTGCAACAGTTTTTCAACCACCACATGTTCGTGCTGGAGCAGGAGGAGTACAAGAAGGAAGGCATCGAGTGGACGTTCATCGACTTCGGGATGGACCTGGCTGCCTGCATCGAGCTCATCGAGAAGGTTGGTTTTGCATTTCTGAAACCATATTTTGCGGCAACTATATTATTCGCTGCTTTTTATTTTAATTCTATAGACAGAAAAAAAAATAGAAGTACAATTTTGTGTTGTGGTCTGCTTTTTAGCCTATGGGCATCTTCTCCATCCTGGAAGAGGAGTGCATGTTCCCTAAGGCAACAGACACCTCCTTCAAGAACAAGCTGTATGACCAGCACCTGGGCAAGTCTGCCAACTTCCAGAAGCCCAAGGTGGTCAAAGGCAAGGCCGAGGCCCACTTCGCTCTGATTCACTATGCTGGTGTTGTGGACTACAACATTACTGGCTGGCTGGAGAAGAACAAGGACCCCCTGAATGAGACCGTGGTTGGACTGTACCAGAAGTCTGCAATGAAAACTCTAGCTCAGCTCTTCTCTGGGGCTCAAACTGCTGAAGGAGGTAATGCTCAAATGTTAATAATACTCTCTAGGTATTACAAAATGTGATGTTAAATTGAAGCTAGTGATCTCTTAGGTCTGGCAGAAGGGTTGCAGACCAAGCCCCTGGTTCCTCCAAGTATTGAATAGATAGGCAGCCTTGTAATTATACATTTGTGGCTCACTCCACTGCTGACAGGAGCCCTATTGCAGAGTCAGAGAGGATTATCAGGCTCTCAACCAATGAAAAGCCTCAGCTTCTACGATTCTCTCCTACTTCTTCCTCCACATCTGCAGGATATATAGAGTATCTGAGGGTATAAATCTTAGGCAACAGAGTGACAAACTTCCACCTCTCAGTACTAGCTTCTATTGATGATTTTTGAAGTTAGCTCCTCACATGTCCTAATATTAGGGAATCCCTCTCTATACGGTCAGGTGAATATCCCTGGCCTCATTTCCCACTGGAGAAAGAATCACAGATAAGTGGCTGCAAACTTAGTTGAAAAATAAGATTCATTCAGGCTCAATCAGAGAGGCCAGCTGGGTAGAAAAAAGGCTCCACTCGATGAACACAGAAATCAGCAAATACGCAAGAAGTAGCCCTGCCAATTCAAAACAGTATTTCTTTTCTTCCTTTTTCTTCAGAGGGAGCTGGTGGAGGGGCCAAGAAAGGTGGTAAGAAGAAGGGCTCTTCTTTCCAGACAGTGTCTGCCCTTTTCAGAGTAAGGAAGAAATTGTTTTTGACATTCTCCAATTACTTTGGGATTTTTTTTACATGGGTCTGTTTTTCTGAACTTCTATTTTTGTTCTAAGGATATATTTATCTATTCATATACTAATATCACATTACATTTATTAAAATTACTTTGTAATATGCTTTGACATCTCGCTGGGCAAAATTCCCCTCGTCTTTTCTTTTTTTAAATTTATTTTTTATTTCAATAGGTTTTGGGGAACAGGTGGTGTTGGGTTACATGCATAAGTTCTTTAGTGGTGATTTCTGAGATTTTGGTGCACCCATCACCAGAGCAGTGTACACTGTACCCAATGCATAAAATTTGCTTTTAAAAGTACAAGATCATTCCATGAGTAGTTTAGAAAAGGACTGATAGTAACTAGTGACTCTGTTGATCTAACTTTGGAAAGAAGGGATTTAAATTACTCAGAAATTATTAGTTCACTTTTCATGCTAAGTCAAATAATGAGAAATATTTTATAGAAAATCTTATAGACCATAATACTCTGCCATTCATAATCTAGCTGAGCCATGAAAAAGAGCAATGACATGAACTCAGAGAGACTAAAAGACATCAGTATGGCTAATGAACTCATGAATTCTAGCAGCAAATCTGCAGTGCAGCTAATATGGTATCCTTGCTCTTAATCGAGTCAATTTTCAATTATAATTGGTAGGATTGCTCCCCTGTAGATAATCTCTATCCCCTAAAAATTGATAGAGCTGGAAAAGAGGAGCTGTATTATAAGGAAAACGTCCAAATGTGGTGCAGGCTTCCATTTCCTTATTGGAGAACTATGGAATTTGGTAGAAGAAAGAGCGATCATCTCGCATGGGAAGGCAATGGCCTTGTAAATGTATGTGTATGGCCAGGGACCAGGGTAGAAAGGATGGTGTTGGCATAAACTGAAAAGAAGCACATGCCAGGATGCTTTCCTTGTTCTGTGTGTAACTCTCGGAAACTCAAGTGCAGAAAGATCTATTGAGGAGGAAAAAGCATCTCAGAAGAAGCATTCAAAGTGTTGCCTTATATGAATGCAGTCCATACTGGTCATTCAACTCAGCTATAGATATTGATTTTATAGACACCAATGACTGCTCATATCCATGTCTAGAGCCTAAAATGACAGGATTTTTCCTGGTTTTACAGGAGAATTTGAACAAGCTGATGACCAACCTCAGGAGTACCCATCCTCACTTTGTGAGGTGTATCATCCCCAATGAGACAAAAACTCCTGGTAAGAAATTCCATAATGAAAGTGCAAAGGATGACTGCCACACCTCCTTTTCAACAGCTCTGCAGTGAAATAAATATGCATTTTTAGGTGCCATGGAGCATGAGCTTGTCCTCCACCAGCTGAGGTGTAACGGTGTGCTGGAAGGCATCCGCATCTGTAGGAAAGGATTTCCAAGCAGAATCCTTTATGCAGACTTCAAACAGAGGTCAGTTTCTCCTGATTATGGTGTATTCTGAAGTTTAATATGAACAAGTTTAATGCAAGCAAAACAATTTAGTGAAACATATGCCTCTACTTGTTAGTTTTGTCACAAAAAGAAGTAAAAAAATTACAAGTCTCAAGTCTCGAACACTTTTGTTTTGAGACAAAGTCTTGCTCTGTCACCCAGGCTGGAGTGCAATGGCGTGATCTCAGTTCACTGCAACCTCTGCCTCCTGGGTTCAAGCGATTCTCCTGCCTCAGCCTCCCAAGTAGCTGGGACTACAGGCATATGCCACCACGCCCAGCTAATTTTTGCATTTTTAGTACAGATGGGGTTTCACCATGCTGGCCAGGCTAGTCTCAAACTCCTGACCTCAGGTCATCCGCCAGCCTTGGCCTCCAAAAGTTTTGGGATTACAGGCATGAGCCACCATGCCCAGCCTCAAATACTTTTAAAATATAAATATACAAAATTTTAAGCACCTTGTGGAATTTTCATTGGATTTATCAGGCACTTAGCTTAGCTCATAGATGCACACGTTAACTCCAATAATAATTAAGAACGACCTTTTTGAGTGCTTAATATGTTCAGATTATCTTGTTTAATCCTCGCAAAAACACAGTGCAAGTAGGTACTATTAAGACTTCACTTTATAGATGAATAAGCTGAGGCTCAGGGAAATTAAGGTACTTGCCCAAAGTCACAGTTATTAAGTGGTTGAGTTAGAAACTCTTCCATACAAACATAGCTATTCATTTTCTGTCATTTCCTTTGGTATCATCTATGTTCGTCTTTTTCTCCCACATATTAGACTCCCAGGGTTTCCTGGAGGCAGAGGGAACATGTCACAATGACTGTTCCTCAGGTCCCTTTTCTCCTCTCTAGATAAGCCCATCTTGAGAATCAAAGAAAAGGCAGAGGTGGGGAAGGACTGGGTAGCAGCTGCTAGGAGCTGATCTCTCCCAGGTCTGGGTCAGGTGGCACTGACAGAGGATTCCAGGGCTCAAGATCCAAAGCATGTCTAAGTTTGATTTTAGGTGATTAGGATAGTTCTGAATACCTAAAGTGTACTGTCTACCAAATTCTTCAATGAAAAGTAGCTTTCTTGGATTCAGGGCCTTAAAAAGCAAATGCATCTAGTAAAGATAACAGATTACATTTTATTGGTTAGGCACACCATAATGTGTCCCTTTCTTAAGGCAGAACCCTTTTCTAAGAACAGGGTCTGATGAGACAGAAAGGAAAGTTGCAACTGCGAGGGAAAGGCAAATGGAATAAAAATTGGTTGCCAAAGGGTTGACCATTCAAATAAACAATGTTCTCCTTGTGAACAAAGAATAATATTTTTTTAAAGCTCTGCTTTAAAAAATGAATCATTTAATGTTTAGCTAGCATTTGTGTCATCAGTAAACTAGTTGTTAAAAGCTATATGTACTTCAACAGATACAAGGTATTAAATGCAAGTGCAATCCCTGAAGGGCAATTCATTGATAGCAAGAAGGCCTCTGAGAAGCTCCTTGCATCCATCGACATTGACCACACCCAGTATAAATTTGGGCACACCAAGGTAATTTTCTGTAAATCCTACCTGATGCTATTCCTGTCCCTTTGAACTTTATTAAAGCTTGTGATTTGCAACTCTTTCCATTCACAGGTCTTTTTCAAAGCTGGTCTTCTGGGGCTCCTAGAGGAGATGCGAGATGACAAGCTGGCCCAGCTGATTACCCGAACCCAGGCCAGGTGCAGAGGGTTCTTGGCAAGAGTGGAGTACCAGAGGATGGTGGAGAGAAGGTATAAAAAATATGTTTATTCACATATTCCATCTTCAAAAACATATTTGAAATGGCTTACAGTTAAGACTCAGCTTATGATAAGGACACTAAAGAAGAAATGAATAAGAGTCCTATAATGAAGTGGGAATACACATGTACCAGAAAACTTAAGGAAGGAACCATCACCATCTGATTGCATGGGTAAAAACTTGAGAAGTTAGGTAAGAAGTGTGTACTTCTTATCTAATAAGATAAAATACACCAGTGAGTAAGCAGAAGCAAACTTTTGCCCTAGCACCTGTTTCTAATATGAATTTATTGGACAGATCATTAGATAAGGGACATTGACCTGCAAAACAGACAGTATACTCAAGAGTGCTTTTACACAGGCTGTAGAGACAACTTTTTCCCTCTGATCATTTATATTATCAAACTCTCATGATTTAAAATATTAGGGGCCATTTATCTGTGAAAGACTTTTTGCAGTAAGTTAACACAATGCATCAGGGAATGTAGCTATTTGGTGATCTAATTTGATGCAAGGACAGAGTTCAAAGACTATAGAGCCAGGTGTCTCAAAGTACAGGATGTCTGTGATCAGGACCATTTCTCCATGTTGAGAAAGGCATTTTACATTGCCACCTATACATCTACACATATACATATGTGTATGCAGATATATAAATAATTTATATGAAGCAAATTTTATTTTTACCACTTGTAATTATGCTAATATTTTCAACTATATTCCATTTTATTAAAAATAATAAATTTTGGTCATGATCCACGATATATATATATTTGGGTAATTGTCTATATATGGGGTAATTAGCTGTAAAAATCATTTAGATGAAAACAAAAGTGGTATTAGAGAATAGAATACAAAATTCACACAACATTAACATATAAAGCCAGATATTTTCTAAGAAATTCTGAGTTTTTAATATCTCCTGCCCCATATACCCCTAAAGAGCTGTGTTCCCCCTTCACTGCCCTTAGTGGTGTTTTAGTAGCAATGTTTGAGAAGCACTGACATACAGCAAGGCTTCTCAAAGGGTGCTCCTTGGACTTGCAACATCAGCATTTCTTGCAAACTTGTTAAAAGTGCCAATTTTCAGGCTCCACCCTAGATCTTCTGAATCTGAATCTGAATCTACGGAGGTGAGGTTCAGGAGTCAGTATTTTAACAAGCCCTTCAGGTGATTCTTATGCATGCCAAAGTTTGAGAAGCAGTGATGTAGAGAAATGAGTGACCTTAGCAAGACCTTGACCATCATCCCGAAATAGAATTTTTTCATCTGCATGTTTGAAAGCAGAGTAGGAACAAGGTGAAGCAGAACCTCCAACTCTCACTGCCAAGGTTTCATCCCATTGCATCAACCACACAATACTAATTTGCATCAATTAAATTTCAGGGAGGCCATCTTCTGTATCCAGTACAATATCAGATCCTTCATGAATGTCAAGCACTGGCCCTGGATGAAACTCTTCTTCAAGATCAAGCCTCTGTTGAAGAGTGCAGAAACTGAGAAGGAGATGGCCACCATGAAGGAAGAATTTCAGAAAATTAAAGACGAACTTGCCAAGTCAGAGGCAAAAAGGAAGGAACTGGAAGAAAAGATGGTGACGCTGTTGAAAGAAAAAAATGACTTGCAGCTCCAAGTTCAGGCTGTGAGTTGGAATATCACCCTTGGTATCACTAACCAGGATGCAGGTGCTAGAACTTTGGCCATTGTGGGCCATGAGTTGGGTAATTGCAAGGGAGACACTCATTGGAAGGAAAAGGTTAAAACACTCCAATGGCACGAAAAGGTCCAAACATTCCTCCATTGCCCAATAACCCCCAACAAACCAGCACCAGGGCAGTGAGGTAGAAATATCCCTCATTTTCCATTGTACACAATTTCATCAAACCACAAGATTTTTGACTTATTTTCTCTTTAAATACAGTCCATAAAAATGATTTTAATATGACACAATCCCAAATAAAATATGAAGGGGAGGATAGCATGGAGAGAGTAATATTTTTCGGAAACTTCCTTGAACTTCTAGATGTCCACGGGTCTTAAATTATAATAGGAACAGCTGACATATGACAGCACTCTCATCAAATTTTACTGAATTATCGTGTGATATTGATCTCAAAAACTCAGACTCCCTCTTTCTAATCTGTCTCCACAGTCAGTGTCCCATCATGTCACACCCACATTGCTGCATCAGCACCAAAGTTGCTCAGCCTACTTCCCAATTGTCTCTTCTTCCATCCAGCCTGCTCACTGCCCTCTCCTGAACCAATCATTTTAGAACTGCTTCCATCAACTTCAGACTATAATTTATAAGACTATGTTTTATTTGGAGTGAATTGAATTGGTCTACTTATCATAAAGTCATATTTTTTTCTGTTAAGACTGGTCTCTCTGTCAACGTTGAGCAGTATAATAACTCCTTCTAGATTACAGAAGGAAAAAGCCCTCCAAATCTACCCTGTATTCTCTTCTGTTGTCCCCAGAGATTTATGCAGAATCTGTACTAAACCACTGTATTCGTTACACAGTTATACATAGCACCCTGCATTCCTTAATGTAGTCAAAGACTGATATGGAGGATTACTGATGAGTATATATTCCAGTGTCTCCTTCATTTCCCGCCTGCCCTGTCCCCCTTAATTGGAAACAGCAGGTTGCCAGGAATTTCTTGATTACTTTATGTTTCAACTTGAATTTAGTACATCATAATCAGGAGCATCCTCCAGTACTACAAAAAAAAAAAATCAGTAGCAGCTGTATCTTGAATTTGTCCTGCTAGAATGCTTCCCCACAACCCTCCTGCTCCTCTCCACAATAAGTTGATTTCTGCAAAAGCAAATCCTACCCCTCTCTCAAGGCCCAAATCAAACAGCAATTCTTTCATGAAACCATCTCTGATCCAACTTCTCTGATCTGTTATGTCACTAATTGCTTTCTACATTAATGGTAGCTTTTGGGAAATAGGTTTTCTAATCTACTGTAGAATACATTCTTTTAGGGGAACAAAATGACAACTGGTACATTTTGGCTTACCCACATGTGGAAAATGTACACAGTAGGGTGGTTCATGAAACAAAAATTTGTGAAGGAGTAAACAAATGAATATAGGAAATTCAAAAGATCAAATGCAGAAACATACACTCTTATCCATTGTGAAGTATTTCATTCTTTCTTCCCAATTTTGATCTTGTTTCCAACTTAAGGAAGCCGAAGGCTTGGCTGATGCAGAGGAAAGGTGTGACCAGCTAATCAAAACCAAAATCCAGCTAGAAGCCAAAATCAAAGAGGTGACTGAGAGAGCTGAGGATGAGGAAGAGATCAATGCTGAGCTGACAGCCAAGAAGAGGAAACTGGAGGATGAATGTTCAGAACTCAAGAAAGACATTGATGACCTTGAGCTGACACTGGCCAAGGTTGAGAAGGAGAAACATGCCACAGAAAACAAGGTATCAATCATATTCTACAGTACTGTATAGAGGTTCTGCCACCCAACAAAGGTGCTTTATAGCAACTAAACTGCTTTCTTCACCTTTGTAGGTGAAAAACCTCACAGAAGAGATGGCAGGTCTGGATGAAACCATTGCTAAGCTGACCAAGGAGAAGAAGGCTCTCCAGGAGGCCCACCAGCAGACCCTGGATGACCTGCAGGCAGAGGAGGACAAAGTCAACACCCTGACCAAAGCTAAAATCAAACTTGAACAACAAGTGGATGATGTAAGTCTGGTATCATCAAGGACATTCTTTTCTTCTAAAGGAAGATAAGCATTCCTTCTGATTCAACATAATTTATATTTAGCTTGAAGGGTCCTTGGAGCAAGAAAAGAAACTTCGCATGGACCTAGAAAGGGCTAAGAGGAAACTTGAGGGTGACTTGAAGTTGGCCCAAGAATCCATAATGGACATTGAAAATGAGAAACAGCAACTTGATGAAAAGCTCAAAAAGTAAGTAAGAAAGAATTGCTTATGGATTTGCTTCCAACATTAGATACGGACTAAATTGTTGTCCTTTGCTACTTTTCTAAAAGGAAAGAGTTTGAAATCAGCAATCTGCAAAGCAAGATTGAAGATGAACAGGCACTTGGCATTCAATTGCAGAAGAAAATTAAAGAATTGCAAGTAAGTACATGATTTTCATCAGTCTGGCTCGGAGGCAGTTATGACACAAAGAAGCTGAGTTTGTATTTTCCACCATTCCCAGGCCCGCATTGAGGAGCTGGAGGAGGAAATCGAGGCAGAGCGGGCCTCCCGGGCCAAAGCAGAGAAGCAGCGCTCTGACCTCTCCCGGGAGCTGGAGGAGATCAGCGAGAGGCTGGAAGAAGCCGGTGGGGCCACTTCAGCCCAGATTGAGATGAACAAGAAGCGGGAGGCTGAGTTCCAGAAAATGCGCAGGGACCTGGAGGAGGCCACCCTACAGCATGAAGCCACAGCGGCCACCCTGAGGAAGAAGCATGCAGATAGTGTGGCCGAGCTTGGGGAGCAGATTGACAACCTGCAGCGAGTGAAGCAGAAGCTGGAGAAGGAGAAGAGTGAGATGAAGATGGAGATTGATGACCTTGCTAGTAATGTAGAAACGGTCTCCAAAGCCAAGGTACTACAAATTCTGGGAAATTGTTATTGAAAATAATGCATTATGGACACATCATAGTTTGCACAGGGCACTTTTTACACATTAAGTCATTTGTTAACTGCAGTAATTCAGGGAAGTAAGCACAAAAAATCAGCATTTTTTATTATTTCAACTTAACAAATAAAGGATCAGAAATTCAAAGAGGCCAAGCACTTTGACCCATCACGCCATTAATAAACGACAACACCAGCTTTTGAACATAAGCCATCTGTGTTCTCCAAGTCTCCAGTTATAGAACAAAGGTCTCCAATTATTTCAAGGAAATTGAAATAAGGAAAGTTTCATCGTACATAAAGGCAATGAAGTATTTTAGAACATGCTTTTAGAAAATGTACACTATACAATTCTAACAAAATCTTAAAATTAGAATATAACCTTAACATTTTCATATTAATATTGAACAGAGCTCCATGATTAGCTTTCATAAAATATAAGAAAAGTCAACCAAGTGTGGTGGCGCGCGCCTGCAGTCCCAGCTATTCAGGAGGCTGAGGCAGGAGAATCGCTTGAACCCGGGAGGCGGAGGTTGCAGTGAGTCGAGATCACGCCACTGCACTCCAGCCTGGGGACAGAGCAAGACTCTGTCTCAAAAAAAAAAAAAAAGAAAGAAAGAAAAATTTTTCTGCATTACATTACATATAAGATAATTTGGTTTCTTTTCTATATTAAGATAAATATTGTATTTTTTATTTTGGGGAGAAGTTACAGTAACTGCAAAGGTGATTATTATTCGCTTAAAAGGTCTCTGTTTTCTTCTTTTACTTTTTCTTCTATAGGGAAACCTAGAGAAAATGTGCCGGACTCTAGAGGACCAACTGAGTGAACTGAAATCAAAGGAAGAGGAGCAGCAGCGGCTGATCAATGACCTGACTGCGCAGAGGGGGCGCCTGCAGACTGAATCTGGTAACTCTCCCCTCTTCTGTGCAGCTTCAGGGTGGAGAGGATGTGATTAAGAACAACGGACTGATTTGGTGAAGTGGGAGCCTAATAAAACAGCTGAGAACATGTCTGATTCACTGAACAGCTCAGACACCTGACCTATGTGCAAGGTCATCTTGGGACAATGCTGGAGATAAAGGTTTCAATAGGACAAAATCAAGCTCTGTTCCAGAATGGCCTTGAGTATTTGCTCATTGCGAGGATGCTGGGATTAGCGGTTACTCCAGCATGAGTTCAGGGCTTCTCTTTCAGGCCAAGTTTCTCTTTATTTATATGAGGGTCAAGTAACTTCCAGAATGGGGCAATGAATATCCCAGTCTCTCAAAAGTCCTATGGAATGGGGACCCTGTAGAATTAGACATTTTAGCTTACTCATTTGACAGTCCTCACCAGATTTTGCACAATATCATATAATTCTGAAAGAATTAGTTATGGAAAGGACAAAAGGAATTTAAGCTGTATTTATTCATTCCGATTGATCTGAAAGTTTCACCATAAAAACTGAAAACCTGCATTGAGCATGAAGATGTCAGTATAGAATTCAACCATCTGAGCACTCAATTTGGGAAAATAAGAGTCAAAATTTCTTTCTAACATGGGCTTGCAGAATCTTGTTTTTCACCTAAAAAATGGTGCCATTTCTTTTGTCCATCAGGTGAGTTTTCACGCCAGCTTGATGAAAAGGAAGCTCTGGTGTCTCAGTTATCAAGAGGCAAACAAGCCTTTACTCAACAGATTGAAGAATTAAAGAGGCAACTTGAAGAGGAGATAAAAGTAATTATGATTCTAAGACTGATTTTTTCCCTCATGAGCTGATTCTACATGGAGCCTGTTATACCAGCTTTCAAAAGGTTTTGAAAGTTAAGAGTTAAATATTTAAATATCCAGTAAAATGAAGGTGTAACTGCCTCCATAGGCCAAGAACGCCCTGGCGCATGCCCTGCAGTCTTCCCGCCACGACTGTGACCTGCTGCGGGAACAGTATGAGGAGGAGCAGGAATCCAAGGCCGAGCTGCAGAGAGCACTGTCCAAGGCCAACACCGAGGTTGCCCAATGGAGGACCAAATACGAGACGGACGCCATCCAGCGCACAGAGGAGCTGGAGGAGGCCAAGTATGTGCACAGATATGAGAGAATGAGCAGAAAACTTTGCATATTGAATCAGAAAGACATGACCTTTGAAGATTCAGTGAATTAGTCCACAAATGCTCATTAATCTGCTTTTATGTGCCAGTCACAATCAGGCCCTGAGAATAAGACATGAATAAATCAAATATGGTCCCTGCCTTACGATCCTAAAATCTAGTTAAGAAAACAAAGAAGAGCAAATAATTACACTGATAATTAGGGGCCTCATTGCTGTTTGTCAAGCACAATGAGCTCATCGCTGCATCAGGGGCTTGTACCTGCTTTTCTCTCTGTCTGAAATACCCTCTCCACAGACTTCCCTTTGGCTCTCTGACTTTTAGCTCTTGACTCAAATATCTCTTCATGGAGGCCTTCACTGAATATCTAGAGTAGTTGCCCACCATTTATTTTATTTTGCTTCATTGCACTTGTATCTGTAAGGTATTATTACGGATGTTCTGATTTGCTTATTGTTTACCTCTCTCACTTGTTTGTGGTCTTCATGAAGCAGAGATCTTTTTTGTCTTGGTCACTGCTGCGTAGCCAGTGTCTGGTTCATAAAAGGGGCTCATCAATATTTGTTGAAAGAATGAAAGGTGGCTGGGCAGCATTAATGTGAAGTTTCTAACACTCTTCAGCGTGTGTGGCAATAGCTCATAATTCATATTATGGTTCACTTCTCTCTGAAAACATGTATAATATTCAAGGAAGAAGCTGGCCCAGCGGCTGCAGGCAGCTGAGGAACATGTAGAAGCTGTGAACGCCAAATGTGCTTCCCTCGAAAAGACGAAGCAGCGGCTGCAGAATGAGGTCGAGGACCTCATGCTTGATGTGGAGAGGACAAATGCCGCCTGTGCCGCCCTTGACAAAAAGCAAAGGAACTTCGATAAGGTAATTCCTCCAGCATCTTCTGCTCTTTACTCTACTCTTTTGTCTTTGCAGCAGGTAACAGGTCTTGGTTTTTCAGATCCTGGCAGAATGGAAACAGAAATGTGAGGAAACGCATGCTGAGCTTGAGGCCTCCCAGAAGGAGGCCCGTTCCCTTGGCACTGAGCTGTTCAAGATAAAGAATGCCTATGAGGAATCTTTGGATCAGCTAGAAACCCTGAAGCGAGAGAACAAAAACTTACAGCGTAAGTCCCTATCATATTCAATAATATTCATAACTTGGAAGAATCTCTCCCTTATGTCACATGTTTAACCAAATCCCTACCTGTCTTTTACTCAAACAACAGAGGAGATTTCTGACCTCACGGAACAGATTGCAGAAGGAGGGAAACGTATCCATGAACTGGAGAAAATAAAGAAACAAGTGGAACAAGAAAAGTGTGAACTTCAGGCTGCTTTAGAAGAAGCAGAGGTACATGTAAAATTGTGCATTATAAAAAAATCTGGAAAATAATTAGGTACATCTGCATAGAGTGAATAAAAAGACACATAGCACAAAATTATTGCTGTGCAGAAAAACTTCATAAAGCTTTTGGTTCCTTGCTAATGTCACCTCTTGCTGTCATTAAGGCATCTCTTGAACATGAAGAGGGAAAGATCCTGCGCATCCAGCTTGAGTTGAACCAAGTCAAGTCTGAGGTTGATAGGAAAATTGCTGAAAAAGATGAGGAAATTGACCAGCTGAAGAGAAACCACATTAGAATCGTGGAGTCCATGCAGAGCACGCTGGATGCTGAGATCAGGAGTAGGAATGATGCCATTAGGCTCAAGAAGAAGATGGAGGGAGACCTCAATGAAATGGAAATCCAGCTGAACCATGCCAACCGCATGGCTGCTGAGGCCCTGAGGAACTACAGGAACACCCAAGGCATCCTCAAGGTAAATATGTCCAAGAGATGGTCCCAGGACTATTGGGGTGCCTGCAACCCTGAGAACATGATGTCTCAATGATGGTTTGTTTCACAGGATACCCAGATCCACCTGGATGATGCTCTCCGGAGCCAGGAGGACCTGAAGGAACAGCTGGCCATGGTGGAGCGCAGAGCCAACCTGCTGCAGGCTGAGATCGAGGAGCTGCGGGCCACTCTGGAACAGACAGAGAGGAGCAGAAAAATCGCAGAACAGGAGCTCCTGGATGCCAGTGAGCGTGTTCAGCTACTGCACACCCAGGTGGGATTCAGCACAAAGAACTCTCCTTAGTAAATTTTATATGTCCCAGAATAGATAAGCCTGAGTTTTCATAAGACAGCTAGACCTAATATGTCTATCAAATTTTCTTTTCAAATAATACAGAATAGTAATTCTGCATTACTGAGAAATCTTTCACTGTTTTGCTTTGAAAAACTATTGTTGATTTGCTTCATATAATATTCTAAGGCTGCCCCCGTATTCTATTGTGTTAATATCTTTATTGGCCCTCATTATCAATATTCACATTTCATTCTGGAGAAATGGAATGTTATGAGAAAGTCCATTATACTTTTATCCCTGTGAATGGTCTATTGGTAAATGATAATTATAAAATTATAGAGCTACTTGGTCTGCTTGTGACCTATACACTTGAAGATGCTGAATATTCTATAACATTTATATTTTATTTAATCATATTACATAACACAATCCTTTAATTCTTTAATATTAAAAGGCATTTTTTGACTTGCAAATTTTTATCTGAATTTTTTTCAAGAAGTGGTTACCAATAAATACTTTGGTAACACAATTTTTTAAATGTACAAATTCTTTTTAAACAGAACACCAGCCTGATCAACACCAAGAAGAAGCTGGAGACAGATATTTCCCAAATGCAAGGAGAGATGGAGGACATTCTCCAGGAAGCCCGCAATGCAGAAGAAAAGGCCAAGAAGGCCATCACTGATGTGAGTGGCAGGCACACTTGTCCACTGATTTAGCAGTAAGATTTCCTGACATCTATAACTTTCTTGGTTTTCTTGATTTATTTGCTATTTAGGCCGCCATGATGGCTGAGGAGCTGAAGAAGGAGCAGGACACCAGCGCCCACCTGGAGCGGATGAAGAAGAACATGGAGCAGACCGTGAAGGATCTGCAGCTCCGTCTGGATGAGGCTGAGCAGCTGGCCCTGAAGGGTGGGAAGAAGCAGATCCAGAAACTGGAGGCCAGGGTGGGTCTCCCAATATCTGTCTATTTCCATCTGCTTTCAGTGCCTTATTGGATCAAAGTTCTTAAGAGCCTACTTATTTGCAGGTACGGGAGCTGGAAGGAGAGGTTGAGAGTGAGCAAAAGCGTAATGCTGAGGCTGTCAAAGGTCTGCGCAAACATGAGAGGCGAGTGAAGGAACTCACTTACCAGGTACAGCCAGTAGTTTTTAGCGGCTAAGCACTGGTCGAAGTTTATGTGAAATACTCATATGCAATGATGCAATAGTCATGTGCTTTAGTAATTAAGGTCCTGGACTTTTTATAATCTTTCAGACGGAAGAAGATAGAAAGAATATTCTCAGGCTTCAAGATTTGGTAGATAAACTTCAGGCAAAAGTGAAATCTTATAAGAGACAAGCTGAGGAGGCTGTAAGTATTTTTAAGATTGAAGTCCTCAAATTAAGCTAATAAATAATTACTACTTCTTGTAGTGAACAAGCTGTTTGCTTTAAAGACTACTGCATGCATATTTAACATTTGTTTTTGTACAATAATTCTTGTGTATCATTTGTAATATCAGTAGCTTCATTTTAAAAGTAAACTTTCAATCCACCAAGAATCCTGAAAAAAATTAAAAGCAGAAATAATACAGGCCATATTCTCCGGCCACAGTATGACGGAGTTGTAAAGTGATGACAAAATATAAGCAAAAATTCTTGAGTACTTAAATATTAAAAAAACTAACTTTCTTAAATAACTCTTGGTTTAAAGTAAAAATAAAAACATAATTACTAAATAATTATTAATTATAAGTAAAATCACAAGGAAGATGCTACTTTTACAAACCTACAGAATGTAGTCAAAGCTGTGCTAGGAGGCTAATTCATTGCTTTAAATGCTTTCATTATGAACCAAAAGTAAAAATAAACAAACAGACAGTCCAATAAATAAATTATAAATAATAATAAAACAGTAGAAGTAAGAAGTACTGTTAAAAATAAAAGTAGAAATTGGTGAATTAGAGTATACTATTTTCTATTTGATAACTTCAGTAATATTTGTAACTTCTGGGGAATTAATAAAATAAATGTATTATAACTAGTTTCATCAAGGAAAATAAGAGAGAAAATATAAACAACATTAGAAATGAGAAAGGGAATAAGCTATATACATAGAGGATTATTTTTTAATATAAAACACATCTATCAATAAAGTTGAAACCCTGAAAAAAATTGATGATTTTTCTAGGAGGATATAAATTACTAAGTTGGCTGAATTACTTCTGGAAATGGACCCAAGTCCAGATAGGTCTTTCAAAATTTCAAGGAACAGATAATCCCCCAGCTATGTAGCTGTTCAAGAGCATGGGAAAAGATAGAAAGCTGTCCAGTTCATTTTAAGAAGCTCACATAACCCTCATACCAAAACCTGCCCAAGAGAGGACAGAGGGAGAAAAACTAAAGGCAATTTTACTCATAAAGACAGTTACAGCAAAGATAAATTACTAAGTAGTAAGTCTTACTTTATTAAAGGAATTGTCTTCCAGTGATTAAATAAGGTTAATTCTTACAATGTAAAGATTACCTAATATTAGGTTATCTGTCAATAGAATCATTACATCCAATGCAGGAGGAAAAAAGTAACCATTTTGAAATGTGCCAAAATGATACATGACAAAATCCAATATTTATTTCAATTTTTAAAAACTTAATAAGTTCATTCTTAATATGATAAAAAAAATCTAACTCAAGGGAAAATCATCATCTTATAGCAAGCATTAACAACTATGACTTTAATATTCTTGCCTTCCTCTCTAAGCTTATATTTTTCTTCTTATTCTACTTGTGGTACATATATTTTATGTGTTTTGGTTGCCAAAATAGGAATGTGAGATACGTATGTATGTATGTGTGTGTGTATATATATATATATATATATGACATCAATAAACAAATCTTAAAATTAATTTCAATGATAATCCCTAGATGTTGCTTCTCCATAGATGCCAAGTCCTTTCTTCTATTAGGTCTAAAGAGTCTAGAAAGATGCAAGTATGAGTTCCTTACAATTCCATTTTTATTCTCAGGAGGAACAATCCAACACCAATCTAGCTAAATTCCGCAAGCTCCAGCATGAGCTGGAGGAGGCCGAGGAACGGGCTGACATTGCTGAGTCCCAGGTGAACAAACTGCGGGTGAAGAGCCGGGAGGTTCACACAAAAGTCATAAGTGAAGAGTGATCATGTCCTGATGCCATGGAATGACTGAAGACAGGCACAAAATGTGACATCTTTGGTCATTTCCCTCTGTAATTATTGTGTATTCTACCCTGTTGCAAAGGAAATAAAGCATAGGGTAGTTTGCAAACAATATCCTTAGACTGGTCTTGTCTTTTCTCTTTCCTGAAGCCATGTCAAAGTTTGAATAGTCACCAGAGTTGTCAAACAATCACATTCAATTGGTGACTTTTTTGGGGGTCTACGGCAACACTTTAAGGCTGTAAAGATGTCACTTATCCAGAAAGACTGTTCTAATGAACAGAAATTTGGAAGTCTATTTTATTTCTTTCTAACCTTTCCTGATATCTGAGTACAGTAAAATCTTAGAAAGCTCCTGCTTCCCCTAACATGAACCTTTTTCAGGATAGTACTAGCTATATTCTCACATAGGGGATTCAAACTGAATTGTATCATTAATTCTCTTTGTTGAATAACTGTTATCAAGAATATAAATACAAAATATTCTTAATTAGCCCATGGATATTTACATTATCAATTCCAATGTACCATATGCCCACAGTAGGTGCACTGGGTAATGGGTTTGACACGACCTTGTTCTTCACGAAGCAAGTTTCAAAATTAAATTAAATATGACTCTTCTCCCTATGAAAACTACAGGGTGTCTATCAAATCTGGAGACATAGAGAATATTATTTTTACGTTATAATGTAGTATCCATGAGCTATTAGCTTATGTTTCCAATCTTTATGGTCTCCCAGATAATCATATAAAGAGCCAAAATAAATGACTAAAAGTGTCAAGAAAATATGATCTCAAAGTAGGTTATTCAAATCTATATTCAACACACATAATGATGGGTATGAGTTTGGTACAAAAAGTAGATATCATAGCAATCTGGACCACTCAGAGACGTTTTCCTAGAGGATCAAGATTTTTAAACTGGATGCAGCTGAGATGCATAGCCAAAAATATAACCTTCCTCGACAGAATAAAGGAAGAGCTAAATGGTAACTTCCCATCAAATAGAAAGCAAGAGTATCTTGGTCTAAATGGCACTGTGTGAAAATGATGTAAATTAGACATGGTAGTTTAACAGGTAAGTTGGATTCACACTGTCGCACTGGCCTTAGAAAGGGTGTGGAATTGCTCTTCTCGCTGCATAAGCCCCTCTTTCACTTTGTTCCTGTATCACGTGGAATTGCTTAAGTGCTTTATAACGTGGCAGTAATAAACAAAAACAATATCTTACTTCCTACTTATTGAAAAGTTTATCCAGAGCAAGACAAAAGGTTGTCTGAAGATTCCCATCAGATCCTATTGAGAGCATTATTAAAATGTTTTATCTTCCTGAAAATCATTACCCACATTTTGCAGGTGCCTAGTAAAGAAACAGACATGTAAGAAAGTAAAATTAGGTACCTGTGGTAACAAAGCAGGCTAATAGATGGCTAGGAAAGGCCCTCTCAGACGCACATCCCTGCAATACCCTTCCTGATGGCTTTAATCTACCCCAGGTAGAAGAGTGTCACAAGTGAGTACGCTGGACCGCAAGTCAGATGACCAGAGTCTAAACTGCTGTGTGATTTGTGGAGATTCTCTTCTATTTTTTGGATCTCAGTTGCTTTATTAGTAAAATGAGAAAGATGAATTAGATGATCCCTTATGGTAATAAAACTATGTGACCTTTACAACTAGTATATCCAGATATCTCCTTTCATAAGGCAAGCTATAGCCATTAAATCAATTGAGATATAAGTACAATAATACAGATGTGGGTGCAAAACCAGGTATATTAAGCAAATGTTGTCCCAGTCCTAGCCAGACAATGCTGACAGACAGAGACGTGAGGCCACAAAGACAGTAAAATAAACTTTTTTAAAAAATTAAAATAGAAAACAATATTCAGGTATTGTTTGTAAGCAAAATACTAAATATATCCCATGGACTGCTGATAGAGGAAAAATCATCGATGCTGCATATTTAGACAGAGAAATACCCTGTTTCCAATATTTTCTTATGTTGAGTTTCATAGAGGAAACAAGATTTCACAAGCAACTTGGGCACCAAAAAAAAATGAGAGAAGCAGGACATCTCTGTTTGGAAGGCAATGCAATTTCGGAGCAAGTCCGAAGTGCCGGTGGAATGATTTGACAATGAATAAGAGGCGACTGATTGAAGGAAACAAAAGAAGCTATCTTTGGCTGCTCTTCATGAAGCAAGTTTCAAAATTAAATTTCCAAGCAACTTTGAAAAAGCACAATAAATTGCAAAAAAAAAAAAAAAAAAAAAAAGGAAATCTTTTTGAGAGAAAGCAACGTTTTTATAACCCTCTGCTAAAGAGCAGAAGTTTTCCTCCCGAGTACACTATCTGTAACTGCGCAGGCAGTTGAAAAGACTTCACACAGGCGACTCTGTGAAACAGAAGAGCAGTAGGCAACAAAGTCCAGGGATTCCAGAACTTAGCTGTCTTTGAAACAACACCTTACATTCCAAAGGCCAACAACTTTAAGATTGCCAACGACTCAAATTATTTATAGGAGATTGATTCATATACTTAACCCAATATGAGAGGAAATATTTCTAATTATATCCAAACATCTTTAATATGAGGGGAATTAGGCTTGGAGACCTTCAATGCCAAAAACATGTTTTGCCAAATATGTTTTAAGAAAGAGGAGGAGGTTACGTGTTTTCCATATTTGAGCCTATAAAAGTACCCTTGGAATGAGTATGACTTGTCTCTCCTCATAAAGCTTCAAGGTAAGTGTGTGTGAGGACAGGGCTCTGTCTGGAGGACGGTAAGGGATGTCTGGCTGCCCGCGTGCATGCCACACATCCTGGCTCCCACTGTCCCTGGCAGCCCTGCCAGTGAAGCACCAGCTTACTCCGTAGCAATTTTAATTAGATGTTGTAGTCTTCCCAGTCATTTCCTGGTTCTCAGTTAAGAATTGTTCTATAATCGGGAATTGTTATAATTTAATCAGAAGAGGTTTGCTCTTTTTCTTACAGTTCTGATCCACTTTAAGGTCGCATCTCTACGGTAAGATTCTGATTTTTTTTTTTCTCATTCCTCACAGAGTGCAAGGAATCTTCTGCAGTGGTTTGGACAGTGGTGAGGGGCGGGGTGAGGGAAGTGATAAAAAAAATCATTTCCATTTCATGGTTGATCACGCTTCTCTTAAAAAATGGAGAATGACTTTAGAAACTGGTTCTCCTTAACTCATATCCCTCGCAATATATGAAAATGCTTTCTCAGAGTCCTTGGGAATTTTATTCACAATAGTGAATTTCATTCACTATTTCCAGCATTGTAGTTTATCTTTTAAATGACTGCATTACAATATGCAATGTAACATTTCAAAGTGTTACTCAATTATAGAGAAAATTTAAATTTTCTATACCATGGCTTTTCCTCAGCACTATAAATATAAAAACCTATGAGAGATGATGTCTAATTGGATAAATAGAATGGTCTGAATCTTTGCCTTGGAAAAAGTTGCTTAACTGCATGTTGTTTCACAATCTATAAAATAAAAATTAACGAATATATACACACACACACACACATATGTATATATACACACACACAATACGAAACATGATTGTCAGCATATTCAGCAAGATGAAGCATTTTAATTATGTTATCTGAGTCAACATAGTTTCAATGGGAGAAATGTATCCAAATGAGCTTCCCTGGAAAAGGTATCTTTATTATTATAAAGTAGAATATACATGAAGATTATTGACAGCATTAATGAATGCTAGCTAATGTGGCAAGAGGGGGATCCTGAAAAGAACAAGTTTTGTGAAATTGTTATAAAAATGTTAATAATAGAGCAAGAAAACATAGGTAATAACGTTTTATAATAAATATTTAAGAAATGCTAAAGATCAGTGAAGAAGTTGAGTTTGTCAAAATTATTATACAGAGACAACAGAAATTGATGGATAACAGAACATTTTTTAACAATGCAAAACAAAGAGCCACACATTTCTGCTTTCCTGTATATTAGGAAGTCTTCGTAACTCCCAAGTTTATAATGAAAATATTTCTGTCATGTACAGAATAGTTCCTAAAATTATAGCAACATATTCCTATTGTTCTTTTAATTCACCAAGCCAGCTTTGAGCCTTTCTCTGTGTCCAGCATTTGTTCTAAGAGGTGTGAAGGATACCATAAAAAGAAGAGTGCTCCCTGCCTGCAAGGTGCTTATAATCCAGTTGGGAAGATAAAAACTATAAGTGAAAGAACTGGAGACTATCCTGCCACCATTATAGCTTTATGTTCTCTATAAGCCAATGATAGGCAGCTTATAAAGATTAATATACCTAACAAATGAAACAGAGAAAGCAGCTAAGAGACTGCAATAGGTGAGCCAGAAACAACAGTCTCTTTCCAAATGCATGATTAAGTGTCTGTCAGCACTGGCACAGAACAAGGAGACTGACATTTTATCCTCAACCAAGCCAGGGAGGTGGTCATACCCAATGCAATGCTAAGCACTCAATTGGTCAGTAAATTTTTTTTTAAAGTTTTAAATGTGAATCTAATGGTCCAGTTTCTTAATTTCTACAATTTCTTTTCTTCCTCTCCCAGCCAGGGTCCTTAACTGGGCTACCATCAATAACCTGCAGCCATGAGTTCCGACTCTGAGATGGCCATTTTTGGGGAGGCTGCTCCTTTCCTCCGAAAGTCTGAAAGGGAGCGAATTGAAGCCCAGAACAAGCCTTTTGATGCCAAGACATCAGTCTTTGTGGTGGACCCTAAGGAGTCCTTTGTGAAAGCAACAGTGCAGAGCAGGGAAGGGGGGAAGGTGACAGCTAAGACCGAAGCTGGAGCTGTGAGTAAAAACACCTGGAGCTGATTAGACTCTGCCTCATTTTGGGTTAAGTTAGCACTTACTTTTTGATCTGGCCTCTCTTGTTTGACTGGACAGACTGTAACAGTGAAAGATGACCAAGTCTTCCCCATGAACCCTCCCAAATATGACAAGATCGAGGACATGGCCATGATGACTCATCTACACGAGCCTGCTGTGCTGTACAACCTCAAAGAGCGCTACGCAGCCTGGATGATCTACGTGAGTTCTTTCTCACGGTCTTCTACTCATGAGAGTAGTTAATAGTTTTTGAAAAGTAGTAGATGATTAAGGTCCCCATCAAATAATTCTGTTCCTCCCTTTTGTTTTGGGTGCAGACCTACTCAGGCTTGTTCTGTGTCACTGTCAACCCCTACAAGTGGTTGCCAGTGTATAATGCAGAGGTGGTGACAGCCTACCGAGGCAAAAAGCGCCAGGAGGCCCCACCCCACATCTTCTCCATCTCTGACAATGCCTATCAGTTCATGCTGACTGGTGAGTGGCTCAGCTGGTTTTCATATGAATTATTTTACCATCCATAATCACAAAATATTAGAACTAAAAAAAGACCTTTAGAAAAAAACCCAATTCACGCCCCTGGTTGTTCAGCAGAGGTGACTAAAGCACAGAGAAGTATATACTGTCAAAGCTCGTATTAAAACACAGCTCTCCTGATTACACCTCACTGACTTTACTAGGCCATGCTATTACTCCATCCCATTAAGTTTAATTTGTTTATGGTCTCCTTGCTTGGAAACACACAATTTATTTTATATATTTAAGTAATAAGAGCCAAGATTAAGTAACAACTGAATCATATAAATCATGTATTATCTGAATAGAAATGAAAAATAGGAGTTCAATCCTTTTGGTGCCTCAGTTTCTTGTTAATTATAAATTAGATTCTTTTACAAGTACTGTCATCTCTTTAAAGTTATCAGAGTACATCTCAGATATAATATCCTCTGTTTGAATGAAGATGATGTTTTGGGGCTACACACATATAAACAGAAATTGTTTTCCCCCCTTAGAAAGATTTTATTTTGATTGAGGCATCCTCTCTTACCTCATCTTTCTTTAACACAATGGTACACTTTGGGGAAGGCTGATCGAAGTTAGGGCTATATTGAAGTTAGTCTGTGGCCATAAGATAGTAAATTTTTTCTCTTTGTGAAGTCATCTGACACATTTAGAAACAAAATCTCAGTCATGGCTTGATTAACACTATTTCAATCTATTAAATAATAGTCCAAGCCTTTAGCATATTATGCATTTTTCAGCTATATGCATTAATTAGCAGATAGCATGCCATTGAAATCTACAGATGACAACTACGGAATGTATCTAGCTTTGGAGAATACTGCTCTTTATATTAAACCAGCAGGACACACCCATAACTTTACCATAATATATTGAAAAACCCCACTGAATACATGACACTTATACTCAAATGCCCTGTTTCACTATAGAAAGTTTTGTTTGTGTAACTGATACATATGCTGATTTTCCACTGTTTTTCTTCTAGATCGGGAGAATCAGTCTATCTTGATCACGTATGTATTCCTATTCTGAGATTTATTGGCAGTTTGTTCTTACTGGAAAAATGACAAACCAAAAAAAGAAATTAGTTAATGTTCTCTACTAAAGCACTGAATGATCAACCTGGAACTAGATATTGGTTTAGCTTTATTATAAGGTTTACATTGCATTAGAATGTAAAATAATAATGTTCTAAATCACCTCATTTGCTGGTCTTGAAAGTTCCACAGAACTTTTTGGTGTGTAGAAAGTGTAAAATGAGCTGGGCTGGAACCCAGTATAGTGCAATGAGCAGCATACAGCCTTCAAAAGGTACAACAGTTTGGAAATACTACTAGTGGTTCATTTTTAAGGCCCACTTAGAGAATGTCTGTTCCTTCAAAGACCAAACTTGAGCCATGTCTCTAGTCCGAGGAAATGGAAAAACACATGCACGTTTCATAGAGTTTCCTACTAATTGTTCCATTCACTACAGAGGTGCTGAGTAGCTGCTTTTCAGACCCCTCAAGCCCAGGCCTCAGCACCCAGAAAAAAAGCTGACACATTATAAACACTCAAGAAATACGTGTTAAATGAACAATGACTGATTTTTTCTACTTCTTGCCAGTGCAAAGCAAAAGAAATAATACGAGCTATATGTAGGCTGAAAAGAAAGATGTAAAAGGCTCTCTAATAGAGATATAAAGACAAAGCCATGAGGTAGTTGTAGTTTCATTTGTCACAGTGCTTAATTTCTCATACGTTTGGTCTTTGACAGCGGAGAATCTGGCGCAGGGAAGACTGTGAACACCAAGCGTGTCATCCAGTACTTTGCAACAATTGCAGTTACTGGGGAGAAGAAGAAGGAAGAAGTTACTTCTGGCAAAATGCAGGTGAGTCTGATTGTTAGTCAGAATCCAGGCTCTGTCGGGACTCTCAGGTAGGAAATTCCCAAGCCCCAGATGCAAGGACTGCTCTTGCCTTTGCAGGGGACTCTGGAAGATCAAATCATCAGTGCCAACCCCCTACTGGAGGCCTTTGGCAACGCCAAGACCGTGAGGAATGACAACTCCTCTCGCTTTGTAAGTCTCTTGGTTGCCAAAGGGTCTTCTCTGCCTTTAGATGCCAGAGAAAGCATGTCTGAATTATTTCAGTGGCATCCCCACTACGTACTTCAAGCTTTGGGTATAACATCATTTTTTTTACTTACAAGGGTAAATTCATCAGGATCCACTTCGGTACCACAGGGAAACTGGCTTCTGCTGATATTGAAACATGTGAGTAACAGGACCTCCTAAATAGAATCCAAGAATGACAAATATTGGTTTGGAGGAACACTTTGCAGCTCCTGCTGAACATGGAGCTTGTAAAGCACCAGTCTGCTGCCAAACATGCTTGTGGTTAATGTCAGTCTTATCCATAGCCCACAGTATGCTTTACCCACTCCAGTCATGAGGTAATGCTTCTGTGGGAACTGCCAGGAACTGCTGGGCATGTCCAAAGTATTCCAGCCTCAGAATGATTTCAATTTTTTTTTTAAGAAAAAACTAACACTAGAAGTAAACAAGTTGTCCAGGGATTGAGGATATGTGATTTATTCCTAGTCTGAGCTTTAATACTGTTGCTTTTAGTAGTCCCTCTATTATATGGCGACAGGACCCTGCAGAGGGAGTCTCAGGACTCAATTATATTCCAAATGTCAAGGATCTTCTGTATGAGAAGTGAATATCTTGAGCCAAGCATATTTCACTTTTTTCCCAGGAGGCAGGAGGAACTGCAATAGTGTTTGTAGAGACATAATATGTGGTACTTCACAGGAACATTCAGTTGAAATCTCAAGAGGCCAGTGAGATTTAGCTAATGATCCCAAGTCCTCAAATCACTCCAGGACATTGTGTAATTTTTCCCCATAATCTGATGTCTACTATCCGTTGCAGATCTTCTGGAGAAGTCTAGAGTTACTTTCCAGCTAAAGGCTGAAAGAAGCTATCATATTTTTTATCAGATCATGTCTAACAAGAAGCCAGATCTAATTGGTAAGAAATAAATTCATAGCTAGAAGATTGTCACTGTACTATCTTCTAATGTAAAACATATGCCCTGAATTCTGTGACCCAGAAATGCTCCTGATCACCACCAACCCATACGATTATGCCTTCGTCAGTCAAGGGGAGATCACAGTGCCCAGCATTGATGACCAAGAAGAGTTGATGGCTACAGATGTAAGTTATACATGAATTTTAATTTAAAATCCATTATGCATGGGAATGGCAATAACAGCCATCTATATGTGTGTAAAAGATACAGTATAAATTCTCTTGTGCCCTAATCTTTGTCTTCTCATCTCTCATGGTAGAGTGCCATTGAAATTCTGGGCTTTACTTCAGATGAAAGAGTGTCCATCTATAAGCTCACAGGGGCTGTGATGCATTATGGGAACATGAAATTCAAGCAAAAGCAGCGTGAGGAGCAAGCTGAGCCAGATGGCACTGAAGGTACCAAATGAATCTCCATCTGGGTTTAATGAGAGAATATAGGCAAAAATGTCCATTCCAAAATTCAAGTCTTCTTTACAGCTGAGCTCCTGATGGACATACTCAGATGTACCCACACACAGACTTTCTACAAAGTTATTTACTCAATACTATGCCCCTTTGAACTGTGGGTCCCAGAGTAAGTCATATTAGGTATCTGAATTATGTTTCTGCAGTTGCTGACAAGGCAGCCTATCTCCAAAATCTGAACTCTGCAGATCTGCTCAAAGCCCTCTGCTACCCTAGGGTCAAGGTCGGCAATGAGTATGTCACCAAAGGTCAAACTGTGCAGCAGGTAAGTGCATGACCTCAATGAATCACACACATCCCAGGCCTTCATGACATGTCTTTAATAACACCAACAAACTTTATCTGTGAAGGTGTACAATGCAGTGGGTGCTCTGGCCAAAGCTGTCTACGATAAGATGTTCTTGTGGATGGTCACCCGCATCAACCAGCAGCTGGACACCAAGCAGCCCAGGCAGTACTTCATTGGGGTCTTGGACATTGCTGGCTTTGAGATCTTTGATGTGAGTTAGCAGAAAAATTGTACCAAAAAAGTTTCCAACAAGCAAGCTTGTTGCTGCAGTCATATAGCATGCCTGTAGTCACTTATGGAAAGGGTCTATGAAAAATAGCTGCACTTTAAACTTAACTGACACATGAAAGAGCACCAAAAGACCGTGAAAGGAAGTGAACTTTGGAATGAGACAGACCTGGATTCAAACTCCTGCTCTGCCAATTACTAGCTGTGTAATAATGAGAATTGTACCTGATTGATCATTGGGCAAATTCAACTAGGACCTGTAGGTAAAGCACTTAACATTCCAGATCACAGATTCACTTCTGAGATCTGTCTGCTAGTTTCAAGATTTCTGAATTTTCAGCCCTTAACACAGTCCCCAAGCATGCAGGCAGCACTCAGTAAACAGTAAGATACTGAGGGCAACAATAGAATCAAAGATAGCAGTGGAGAAGACAAAGTCTTTAAAAGAAAGACTTTGAGATTCTGTTTGCCGAGAAATGAAATGTGTTTAATTATTAGGATAACCTCTGCAATACCCAGGTATTGAGTATAGAAATGGCATCGTAAATAAACTCAAATTTGTCTGCCTAAGGAAGAATACCTGCTACACAGCTTAGGAAATAGGGCTACTGCAGTCCTCCACTTGACAGCAGTATCTCGGATGTGTCTCATTTAGAGGTCCCAATTCTAAACTTTTATCTGTGTACGGACTGATTGAAACTGGATGAAATTTTAGAAACGGAAGCACTTCCAGACATTTCCAAGCCAACGTGGAAAGAAAGGAATAATCTGTCATCAAGCAGGAACAGAAAAAGCAATCCACACTTTTTAAAATAAGAGAACTAATGACAGGGTACTTGCAATCATTTTGAGCTGCTTCTTTTTTTTTTTTTGAAGTAACAGCTTTATCGAGATATAATTAACATATCATACAATTCACCTATTTAAAGTATAAAATTCAATGGTTTTTAGTATATTCACAGGTACATGCTATCATCATAACAATTTCAGAACATTTTCATCATCCCAACAGGAAATTCTATTTTGTCCTCCCCCTAGGCCACAGAAACCCCTAATCTACTTTCTGTCTCTGGTTTTGGCTGTTCTGGACATGTCTTATAATGGAATCGGATAATATGTGGTCTTTGTGACTGGCTTCTGGCACTTCGCATATGCTTGCCAGATTCATCCCCCTCATAGAATTCCTTTGACTTTTGTGTATGGTGATAATGCCCTTAAACAAGGGCATCCTCAATTGTGTTTCTATGTAGGTGTCCCGAATAATAAAGCAGGGCAGGTCTACTCAAGTTCTAGGAGTAGTTACAAACACTGGCTCTGGCATCAAAATGTTGGGGTTCCTGCCATGACCCTTACTACCATGGTCTTACACAAGTTACTTAGCCTCCCTAATAGTGTTTCCTCACCCATGAAATGAGCAAATGATACCACCTACAAAGGTAGCTGTGAGGATTAAATGCAGTAACTTATACAAGGCACTCAGCATAGTGTCTACTGTAGAGTAAATGTTCACCAAATATTAGCTGTTGAATTTTTATTATTAAGGACAACATACAGACCATAATGGCTCAGATCTAGCAAATTTAGCTAGTTTACAACATAATCATAATCATTAAGAAACCTCTGACTAACAAAAACAAATACTATAAAAACCAAACAACTTTTAAAAAAAAAACTTTTAAGTTCAGGGGTCCATGTGAAGGTTTGCGACATAGGTAAGCTGTGTCGCCCACGTATGAAGCCTAGTACCCATAAGTTATTTTTTCTGATCCCCTCCCTCCTCCCACTCTCCACCCTCCAATAGGCCCCAGTGTGTGCTGTTTCCCTCTATGTGTCCATGTGTTCTCATCATTTAGCTCCCACTTATATGTGAGAACATACAGTATTTGGTTTTCTGTTCCTGCGTTAGTTTGCTAAGAATAATGGCCTCCAGCTCCAAACAACTTTTTTTTATTGCATAGGAAAGCATCATTCAGAGCTTGTTGACAGGTGTTGAAGAGACAATTTTAACAAGTATGCTAACAGCAGCAAAAACTTCATTGTGTAGGTATAGGTAGGACAAAACGATACCATCCTAAGAGGGCAATTTGGCTAACTAAAAAAACACCCCTTTCAAAGAGAAGATTTCATTATAAATTGAATGCTAATTTGTATTTTCAACTCATTTAGTTCAACAGCCTGGAGCAGCTGTGCATCAACTTCACCAATGAGAAACTGCAACAGTTTTTCAACCACCACATGTTCGTGCTGGAGCAGGAGGAGTACAAGAAGGAAGGCATTGAGTGGACGTTCATTGACTTTGGGATGGACCTGGCTGCCTGCATCGAGCTCATCGAGAAGGTTGGCTTGCTTTTTGCAGACCACAGATCATACTGCTGTACAGTATTTAAAAGAAAATCATAAAATCTTGATATAGGCAATGGCTAAATATTTCTACTTGTGAAAAACATGAGGAGAATTCCTTATTTTGCCAACTCTGAAGTAGATATTCTGGTAAAAGGAGATTAAATATTTTCTATAGAGTCCAGAACACAACACTTACCCACAGTTTGCAATACAAAGTCTTACATTTAAAGTCATCTTTCCTTACAAAAAGTGCACTGACTAGAATATTTTTTACTTACTGTTTTTTGTCATCCTAAAGTCATTATTACTGCATTCAAAGTATGAATTTCTACTACTGTACGTTAAAGCAGAGGCTTTTAAAATCCAGTGTGCGAAAGACCCACCAAGAATACTTGGTACAATTGCAGGTTTCCCTTGTCTCACCCCTAGAAATATTTTCTGGTAAGTGTAGGATGAAACATCGGAATCCTCATTTTGAGCAAGTGATTCTGATGCAGCTAATTCGCAAGTCACACTTGGAGAAATATTGCTCTCAGGTCTTTGGGGTAAAGACACAAACTCCACAGGAGCACAGCCTTCATCTGTCTTACTCTGTCATATCCCAGAGCCTGATACAGCACGTGGCTCCTGATCAGCACCCAATAAATATTTGTGAAGTTAATGACTTCTGACCAAAGGAACGAGTTTTCGTTAACTCTGTAGAATTAAAGGATGAATTTACTCAGATGGGATAATTATTAATGTTAAATGTTATTTCTATAAGCAGACAGAATTCAAGTGGCATTTATTTCTTTTCATTCTTCCAGCCTATGGGCATCTTCTCCATCCTGGAAGAGGAGTGCATGTTCCCCAAGGCGACAGACACCTCCTTCAAGAACAAGCTGTATGAACAACATCTTGGAAAATCCAATAACTTCCAGAAGCCCAAGCCTGCCAAAGGCAAGCCTGAGGCCCACTTCTCTTTGATTCACTATGCTGGCACCGTGGACTACAACATTGCCGGCTGGCTTGACAAGAACAAGGACCCCCTGAATGAGACTGTGGTGGGGCTGTACCAGAAGTCTGCAATGAAGACTCTGGCTCTCCTCTTTGTTGGGGCAACGGGAGCGGAAGCAGGTAATTATCAATATAATTAATCTTTTACCTAATGTATAAAACATAACTAGAGGCCAGACACGGTGCCTGTAATCCCAGCATTTTGGGAGGCCAAGGTGGGTAGATTGCCTGAGGTCAGGAGTTCAAGACCAGCCCGGTCAACATAGCAAAACCCCGTCTCTACTAAAAATGCAAAAATTAGCCGGGCATGGTGGCAGGTGCCTATAATCCCAGCTACTCGGGAGGCTGAGGCAGGAGAATCGCTTGAACCCAGGAGGTGGAGGTTGCAGTGAGCCGAGATCACGCCACTGCACTCCAGCCTGGGCAACCAAGAGTGAAACTTCGTCAAAAAAAACAAAAAAAAACAAAAAAAAAAAACCATAACCAGAGAAAGGCTGTCCTATGATTGCTTTCTTTTTCCCCTCAGAGGCTGGCGGTGGAAAGAAAGGTGGTAAGAAGAAGGGTTCTTCTTTCCAGACTGTGTCTGCTCTCTTCAGGGTACAAACTTCATTTTCTCTGTCTAATTAGATTTAGGATATTAAATGTACTCTATGGTGTGGGGGAAAAAACTAACCTTGCAAGGATTCTAGAACTGATGTGACTCAACGAGATAGTTCAGCTGGTAGTGGTAAGACTGAGTTTTAGGGAGCTTGAGGATAGTTTGGAAGAGGGGATAGTTTGGAAGAGATACCTCACTATTCAGAAGACACAGGAGTCAGGAGAGATGAAAGCGAATTGCAGAAGTCAGTATTAGACGGCAAAATTCGATTCTGGGGCCTGAGAATGAGGTCATTTAACCCTTAAAAGACTCCAGTGGGATAGGATTAAGTAAAGCTGAGACTTGCTTGAGGCTTTGGGAGCCTCCAAGTGATTTAGGTGCTTAAAGATACATTGGTATAGAACCGAAATGAGTAGATTTTGAAAGCTATAAGATAGAACAGTGGTGGGAATTGGAGCCTGAGTCAAAAGAAGGAAATAAGAAACCAGATGTGATAATAAATAGCACTTTTAAAAAAATTACGGCCAAGCACAGTTGCTCACGCCTGTAATCCCAGCAATTTGAGAAGCCAAGGCAGGCAGATCACTTGAGGCCAGGAGTTCGAGACTAGCCTGGCCAACATGATGAAACCCCATCTCTACCAAAAATATAAAAATTAGCCAGGCATGGTGGTGCACACCTGTAATCCCAGCTACTCAGGAGGCTGGGCATGAGAATCGCTTGAACCCAGGAGGCAGAGGTTGCCATGAGCTGAGATCATGTCACTGTACTCCAGCCTGGGTGACAGAGCAAGACTCCATCTCAAGGAAAAAAAGAAAAGTCTATTTTTCTTTTGGCAATCCCATTTCTGATTCCATCTCTAATAACTGATGCTGTAGATATTCGGAAAAACCAGGATTTTCAAAAGATGGAAAACTTTACACGCTTGGTAACATGGCTGTCAGTTTTCTACCAATTCCCAGAATAGGCATTAATAAAGGCCACTTTCTGTGGAATAAGTAGGAGGACACAGCTCTATATCTATGGCAAGGAATACACATTTGATAGACACACAGATACAAGTGAAAGTCAGGTAAAGAAAGAAGTGAGTGTGACTGGGCACCATGGCTCATGCCTGTAATCCCAGCACTTTGGGAGGCTAAGGCGGGTGGATCACTTGAGGTCAGGAGTTCGAGACCAGCCTGGCCAACATGGTGAAACCCCGTCTCTACCAAAAATACAAAAATTAGCTGGGGGTGGTGGCATGTGCCTGTAATCCCAGCTACTCAGGAGGCTAAGGCAGGAGAATTGTTTGAACCCGGGAGGCAGAGGTTACCGTGAGCCAAGATTGCGCCACTGTACTCCAGCCTGGGCAACAGAGCAAGACTCCATCTCAGAAAAAAAAAAAAGAAGAAGAAGAAAAGACAAAGAAAAAAGTGGGAGAATTAGAGGAAGGCATTGATTAGTAGTAAAATCAGACCATGTATCTAGGCAAAAAAAGAATGGGTAGAGTATTTCCATATATTTAGAGTGTCATAGTGAATTTAAAACATATACTAGGAAATTAAACAGCAGCGAACAGTCACTTCAACAGCAAGTAGAAAACTATGCTTCTAATGCACACCAACAGAAAACAGGGGGACATATTAGGAATGTGGAAATTCCAGAGATAACTCTTTGAAAATTTTCATCTGGATACTATTCATTAGAATTAAACCACTGTCATAGATCTCAATAATTATGTCTATAAATATGAATGTAGAAAACAGTACATTTTTTAAAGTATAAACTCGCATGGTTCCACAGGAGAATTTGAATAAGCTGATGACCAACTTGAGGAGCACTCACCCCCACTTTGTGCGGTGCATCATCCCCAATGAAACTAAAACTCCTGGTAAGACATTTCTGATATCCAGACAAGCTCCAGTGTGTGTGTGATAGACCACGAAGTATGGCATGTGGATTCATTCTTTTAGGTGCCATGGAGCATGAGCTTGTCCTGCATCAGCTGAGGTGTAACGGTGTGCTGGAAGGCATCCGCATCTGCAGGAAAGGCTTCCCAAGCAGAATCCTTTATGCAGACTTCAAACAGAGGTCAGACATTTTTGCTGTAAATTATTTTAAGAGGTTTTTATTACTTTTTAAACATTTTTCAATGAAAGAATCCTTTATACCTCCTCTTAAAATTGAAGAGAAGATAAACTCACTTAACAAACTCCATATTGACATAAGAAAACTCTGAAGTCCTTTGAATAAACAGAGGATAGATAAAGGGGTAGATATGATTTCTTGTTTATTTCAGATTACCCAGTGGCTATGTTGTTTCTATAGCCAGACAGGAAGATTTCTTGTCTGTGGCAACAGCCATATCATTTTTTTGTCTGGCTTAAACAGATACAAGGTGTTAAATGCAAGTGCTATCCCTGAAGGACAATTCATCGATAGCAAGAAGGCTTCAGAGAAGCTCCTGGGGTCCATTGACATTGACCACACCCAGTATAAATTTGGTCACACCAAGGTAATATTCTGTAAATCCTACCTGATGCTATTCCTGTCCCTTTGAACTTTATGTAAATTTTCTGATCTGAAATTCTTCCCACACATAGGTCTTTTTCAAAGCTGGTCTTCTGGGGCTCCTAGAGGAGATGCGAGATGAGAAGCTGGCCCAGCTGATTACCCGAACCCAGGCCATGTGCAGAGGGTTCTTGGCAAGAGTGGAGTACCAGAAAATGGTGGAAAGAAGGTATTAATAAGAATTCTTTACTTAACCTCATCATCTTAGGTGTTTTAATTCTGCTTCTTATTATAATCTGATTTGGACATTTCTGTTCCTATGACAGAGAGTCCATCTTCTGCATCCAGTACAATGTCCGTGCCTTCATGAATGTGAAGCACTGGCCCTGGATGAAGCTGTATTTCAAGATCAAACCCCTCCTCAAAAGTGCAGAGACAGAGAAGGAGATGGCCAACATGAAGGAAGAATTTGAGAAAACCAAAGAAGAGCTGGCTAAGACCGAGGCAAAAAGGAAAGAGCTGGAAGAAAAAATGGTTACTCTGATGCAAGAAAAAAATGACTTGCAACTCCAGGTTCAAGCTGTGAGTATCCCGAAGTCATTTCCTGCAATCTGATGCTAAAACTTCAGCTCAGTGGTCACTAAGGAGAGATCTAGATTCTACCAAATAAGGGACAGATTATGAATCTTTAATAATCCACAACTCCTTAGAATGTTCTATAGAATTCCCTATACAATATTACTAAAAATCACTGTGGTAGGATTCTTTGATGTCAAGAAGGGAAAAATAAAAGCATTTTTCCTTCCCCTCTGTTGTTTTCTACAGCAGAATGTGAACAGGAAATAAAGTGAGCTTTGCTCCCTAAATTCTCCCTACTGAAAAATGCAAATAAGAGCTGTGAAAAAGAAAAATATTGTCAGTGAAGAGGAAGGAGACTTTGATGAAAACACATTAACTTGAAATCAATATTCTGAGTTTTGTATCTACAATCCCCGAGCAACTTTGTGCTCAACTTTATTTTTAGAAACTTTTAGTACCTGAAAGAGTAGGATTATGGCAAGAATAATGGCAATGCTTTCTGTAAGGATAATGGCAATGCCTTCCACAGATAATGTCTATTTTTATGCAAAGTATGAGAGATAGGGTTGATATTCTTATTCTAATGTCCCAGTAACTATCCAGAGGCTTGGAGAGAAATATTTGATCAAAAGCCACTATCTAACCCATTTTTGTAACACAAATAACAAGACAGTTCAATTGCTGCCACCAAAACCAACAGCAGAAACATTAAAAGTTACCATCCCAGTTCTCTGAATTCAGAAAGGGAATTGACTAGTCCCATTGTGCCTACAAGTTTGGGACACATATTTAGAAAATCTAAAGTATGATGAATTGCAAATACCTAGGTTGGTACTGTGACTTTCCTGTACTTTGTATAGATCAGGGTTTTCCACATTGAGGAGTGGTTCATCGTGCCTTCAAGAAACAGGAGATAATCTATCCAAGAATACTCCTCTCCTTTGAGGATAGTATTATAAAACTTCTGTTTAACAATATTCTATCAACTATCCACTAATAAATATTGGGTGAAGTCCCGGACAGGGATGTAAGTTTGAATGAGAGACATGGTCCTTCCCTCACAGTTTATCTCAACTCCTATTTCTTCTTATGAGAAATATGCTTGCTACTTCTCTAAGCATCACCTTGAACATGTTCCATTCCCTTTGTCTACTCTGTCACTGGATGACATTTCTTCCTGTTAAGGCACTTTTCTGATAGTACCCTTCTCTCCCAGCAACCTGCTAGAAACCCAATCCTTTTGTCTATTGGTTTTTCATATATTGAATGCTCCTGAAAATAAATATTAAATAAAGAAAATTGGCTGACCCGAAATTATATACCAACATATTATATATGTTATAACAAATATAATTGTAACATAATTTCACCAGGAACTATGACTTAAGTTCCTTTTTTTATTACCGGACTCATAAGTGCCCAATATTTACTGAATGGTAGAAAGCTAATAAAAATTAACCTGAAGGCTTAAAACAATTTACTTGTTTGGTTTCAAAATATTAATAAAATCTGAAAATGTCTAGGAATTTTCATAAAATCTAAAATATCTATTGCCTCTTCTCAGGAAGCTGACAGCTTGGCTGATGCAGAGGAAAGGTGTGACCAGCTAATCAAAACCAAAATCCAGCTAGAAGCCAAAATCAAAGAGGTGACTGAGAGAGCTGAGGATGAGGAAGAGATCAATGCTGAGCTGACAGCCAAGAAGAGGAAACTGGAGGATGAATGTTCAGAACTCAAGAAAGACATTGATGACCTTGAGCTGACACTGGCCAAGGTTGAGAAGGAGAAACATGCCACAGAAAACAAGGTATCAATCATATTCTACAGTACTGTATAGAGGTTCTGCCACCCAACAAAGGTGCTTTAGAGCAACTAAGCTGCTTTCTTCACCTTTGTAGGTGAAAAACCTCACAGAAGAGATGGCGGGTCTGGATGAAACCATTGCTAAGCTGACCAAGGAGAAGAAGGCTCTCCAGGAGGCCCACCAGCAGACCCTGGATGACCTGCAGGCAGAGGAGGACAAAGTCAACACCCTGACCAAAGCTAAAATCAAACTTGAACAACAAGTGGATGATGTAAGCCTAACATTATATAAAAATGATTTTTTAAATTTTGTAACAAACTAAGTAAGCATAAGTTTGTGTCGTTATGATATAGTGAGTACTTATCAAGTGCCTCCTATGAATGAGGAATATGGAACATCATCCCTATTACAAGGTCTAAGATGTACACACAATAAAGTTTTTAAAATCAATAAAGAAAGTTAACTGTGAATAATAGACAATACGGGTAAAAAGAATTGATGGAAAGGAAGGTTAATGTGTTCACAAAGAAAAGCTATACAAGCAAAACAGGTCTTTCGCTGGGCTTGAAAGACAAGGGGCTATGTGCAAAAAGAAAGAAGAGGGAGGGTGTTCTAAGAAGGCAGCATAGCAGCAGCAAAGAAGTTGTAATGATCAATAAGGTTTTCTCTCACAGAAACAAAGGACACTCAGAATTAGGAATGTGGAAGATAAATTTGGCTTTAAACATGATCTGATATCTAATAGAGAACCCACTGAAAATGCCTGAGTAAGGGAGGCGTTAAAAAAGTTCATGGTTTGGAAGTATTAGCATGGTGTCCATCCCAGCTGGAAAAGTATTGGATTCCAGTGGGGAGATGCAGAAGGCATAATGTCTCACTAGTAACTTATTGTAACAACGTGACAAAGAGGCACATTTTACCTTTTAAACGATGACTTTTTCGACTAGGTAAATACCAAGGAGAATGGAATCAATGGGACAAATCTGCCTAATTCATAGAAAAATAGTTTGCTGCATAGATATAATGTTTAAAAATTTCATCTGGGACAAAAGGTGCTACCATTCTAAGAACCATATTCATGGATTATTAACTTTTAGCTTGAAGGATCTTTGGAACAAGAAAAGAAAATCCGGATGGATCTAGAAAGAGCAAAGAGAAAACTAGAGGGAGACCTAAAATTGGCTCAAGAATCCACAATGGATATAGAAAATGACAAACAACAACTTGATGAAAAGCTTAAAAAGTAAGCAGTTTTAGGTCAACAGTTTTGTGGGGAAATTACTCTTAATATTTCTGAGACTGACATAAAGGGCTTTTCTAATAGGAAAGAGTTTGAAATGAGCGGTCTGCAAAGCAAGATTGAAGATGAACAAGCCCTTGGTATGCAGCTGCAGAAGAAAATCAAGGAGTTACAAGTACGTTAAATGATTTTCGCCAGGCTAATTTAACATCGAAAAGTTACTGACACCAAGAAGTTGAGTTCGTATTAATATTTTTCACCATTCCCAGGCCCGCATTGAGGAGCTGGAGGAGGAAATCGAGGCAGAGCGGGCCTCCCGGGCCAAAGCAGAGAAGCAGCGCTCTGATCTCTCCCGGGAGCTGGAGGAGATCAGCGAGAGGCTGGAAGAAGCCGGTGGGGCCACCTCAGCCCAGATTGAGATGAACAAGAAGCGGGAGGCTGAGTTCCAGAAAATGCGCAGGGACCTGGAGGAGGCCACCCTACAGCATGAAGCCACGGCGGCCACCCTGAGGAAGAAGCATGCAGATAGTGTGGCCGAGCTTGGGGAGCAGATTGACAACCTGCAGCGAGTGAAGCAGAAGCTGGAGAAGGAGAAGAGTGAGATGAAGATGGAGATCGATGACCTTGCTAGTAACATGGAGACTGTCTCCAAAGCCAAGGTACAATCAACACTTCACATTGATTATTTGGTTTTTTGTTTTTCCCTTTAGCACAAATATGATTTGTATCTCAAAAACGTCTCATGAACTAAATCAGGCACCCTTTTTCTCATATCACGTATAGTACAACTTAGTAAAGTAGTTAGATTAACAAGTAATTCAGTGGCTGTATGCTTGGACTATGTATCTTATTAGTCTTTCCATTCACTATCTAAGACCTTTGCTGGTTTTGTTTGTAAAGATAGTTTCTTCTCAAAATAAATGAGTACTGCAGCTCATATGGAATGTTTAGATTACTGAAACTTTCTTTGGTCCAACTACTTACTTGAGATGCCTTCTACCACTTTTTGAATGCAGGGAAACCTTGAAAAGATGTGCCGCGCTCTAGAAGATCAACTGAGTGAAATTAAGACCAAGGAAGAGGAGCAGCAGCGGCTGATCAATGACCTCACAGCACAGAGAGCGCGCCTGCAAACAGAATCAGGTGGGCCATGTACCAGTACTGACCTTGAATGACAAATTCACCCTGCATGTGTAATCCACTGAAAAACTCTGCATTTATTTACTTGAGGTCATATACTACCTCCCTGGGAGATCCCCACTAATATGAACACATTATTGACCACTGGCATGAGGTTGCTTTCTTTCATATATATACGAGAGAAATATATGTGTATATATATGAAACATATATATCCATATATATATTTGTATATATATCCATACATACATATATATATATATATAAAGAGAGAGAGAGAGATAAATAGAATCAGGCCCTTCTATTTTTGAAGACTTTAAGGGAGACTTGGCTTTAATCAAAAAGTTATCAAAAACAAAGTGCATCCTTACAGTACCTCTTTTCACTTTTCAAAATGCTTTCGCAAGCTATGTGTTACTTTATTTTCCTCATTAGTCTGTGTAATACTATCCCCATTTTAAAGACAGTGGATTATGGTAGTGATGAAGCAACTTGTCCAAGAATGTTTACTCCAGTCTTTTTCCTGAAGTCTTGCCAATTACTGGTAACTAACACGGTTAAGTAGGGAAATATTCAAGACCACAACCCAGCTGAGAAGCATTCAAGTAAGATTTGTAGATTTTTGATTAGAGAAATTGGAAAGTCTCTGCATTTATTCCCCCTCCTACTGACGTGTCCAACTTTCTACCAGAGTTGTATCTCCCCAGGTAGAGGTAACAAAATGGAAATTGTTTTATGGGTAATTTAGGCTATTAAAGTAATAGGCAGGTTAAAGTGTTGGAAAATCACTCTACACTTTTGGTATTCAAATACTATTCTTTCTATAACAAAGTTCAGAATAAATATTTATTATAATTCTTATTAAATGCCAGAGATAAAGTTCAAGATAACTAGTATAAAAATGGTGTGGAAAAGTTTTACTATCTTTCTAACATAATGTAGTGCATTTTCTGCATTATGGTGCTTAAAAAATTGAAGACATGTGTAAATGCCATTTAGTTTGGAAAGTACTTATCCAGAAACCAATTCATTCTGGGGATGGGAGACCACTTAATCATTTCTTAATATAAAAATCTTTCCAGAATTTCTCTTGACTATCATTTCTACTTACAGAAGACATTGCCCAAAGTCTCTTATTTTCCACAGTATAAATCCTTTGTTTCAACCAACTTTCAATGGAAGGCAAATTAGACAACACTACTGCCTTACATAAAATAAAAAGTACTAGAATATTTTGTTGGCTTGATTTACATTTTTTTCATGTTTCTTCATCAATTTTGACTACGATCAAATAATCGTAAATATCTCTTGAAATCTTTTGTGCTGTTCACAAGCATGTAATCTGCCTCAAATTTCTCCATGCTTCTAATTTTTACATGGATCTGCTTATCAAGGTTAAAGCGGATGTTGGTGGTTTGTTGTCACCCATGCCCTCCATCAAGTTTCAAACTTGGCTCCCTTTCCCTGCTCAAGTTTTTATTTTAGAGTTTTAATTTCCAAAGTAAGGTTGAGTTTTCTGGACTTGGTCTTTTACAGGTGAATATTCACGCCAGCTAGATGAAAAGGACACACTAGTTTCACAGCTCTCGAGGGGCAAACAAGCCTTTACACAACAGATTGAGGAACTGAAAAGGCAACTTGAAGAGGAGATAAAGGTAAGCTCCACTTGTCATTCTTGTCATTATTGTTCTTGTTATTTGTTTTTCGCTTACTTTTACAGACTTTCTTCTGGTGGCCTATAGGAGATCAGGAATCAAACATCACTTTAAATATATAAAATTAAGTCATCAATCTCTATGTTCTCAGGCCAAGAGTGCCCTGGCACATGCCCTGCAGTCCTCCCGCCATGACTGTGACCTGCTGCGGGAACAGTATGAGGAGGAGCAGGAAGCCAAGGCCGAGCTACAGAGAGCAATGTCCAAGGCCAACAGTGAGGTTGCCCAGTGGAGGACCAAATATGAGACAGATGCCATCCAGCGCACAGAGGAGCTGGAGGAGGCCAAGTATGTTCCAGACTTAGTTAAAATGGAACTATAAGTTTCCTTGCTCCCAAAACATATGAAAAACTAGGGAAAAAACATTCTGGGACCATATACAGCCATATTGTTGGAATTAATGTTTTGGTAGATGCCTTAGAAGAGATTCTGAGAGGAGTTCTCGATGCAAAATGTATATTGATGTGGGAAAGCTTCTTTATTATTAATGGATTAATTAAAAACTAGCACAAATAAGGGATACAATTAGACAGACAAAATCAAGTATATTTCATTTGAATTCAATTTATCCAACATTTGAGCCCTTAATATGTTGGACAGCCTACAAGAATACAAAGATTAGTACAGTACAGACTCTCCCTCTGGGGATTAAAATTATGTGGAGACACAGAAAAACAAACCAGTAATTCAAGGTAGATATTAATATTCTACAGAAGAGGAATAAACCAGCTACCTGGAAGGGTAAAGTGTTAGCTCATGCTTGTCATGGATGGCCTTAAAGCCACTCTATGAAGTATGGCAATACCAAAACTGGGGTTGTTTTTGGTATTTGGTGGTAGGATAATGGGAATGAGTTAATATAGAACTGGACCTACAAAACAAGCTTGAGAAGCAAAGTATTAAAGAAGTCTGATTGTGGAATTCACTCTCTTGTACCCACTTTGAAACACCCAATTCAGTTGACAGCCATTCACTTTTATTGCCCATATTTCATAGGAAGAAGCTGGCTCAGCGTCTGCAGGATGCTGAGGAACATGTAGAAGCTGTGAATGCCAAATGTGCTTCCCTTGAGAAGACGAAGCAGAGGCTCCAGAATGAAGTTGAGGACCTCATGATTGATGTTGAGAGGACAAATGCTGCCTGTGCCGCCCTGGACAAAAAGCAAAGGAACTTTGATAAGGTATTCTCTCCAGTTTTTGCTTCAACTTTCAACACAGAATTAACAATAGCCTGCTACCTTCAGTGTGCCCAATTCAAACCATCTGAGGGCTGTTCTCAGTAGCTCTTAACCCATCAGCAGCTGTCTGTGGAGAGGGGAAGTGCTCCTATGGTTTCTATTCTTCTCATTCATAATTTTTTTTCAGTCCCAGAACACCTCAACTCTGAGAGGTGCTAGAATAGATGGTTTTTATCTCATCAAATTTTGTCCACTAAATTTCTTGTCCATTCCTTGACCTTCAGATCCTGGCAGAATGGAAACAGAAGTGTGAAGAAACTCATGCTGAACTTGAAGCTTCTCAAAAGGAATCCCGCTCACTCAGCACAGAACTATTTAAGATTAAGAATGCTTATGAGGAATCTTTAGACCAACTTGAAACCTTGAAACGGGAAAATAAGAATTTGCAACGTGAGAACATTTTACCTTTTCTTTAACAATAAAAGATTTGAAAGAATCTTTTCCAACTATAAACAAATTTCTATATTTTTTGTTCACCAACAGAGGAGATTTCTGATCTCACTGAACAGATTGCAGAAGGAGGAAAGCGCATCCATGAACTGGAAAAAATAAAGAAGCAAGTTGAGCAAGAAAAGTCTGAACTTCAGGCTGCCTTAGAGGAGGCAGAGGTAAGCATTTTATTGCATACTCTAAAACAATTAGAAGAGGAATTGGGGTCTATTAAATGTAAGGAATGGTGAATCAAGAGAAACGAAAAATAATTTTTGCTCCATGAACTAGGGATGAGAATGGAGAACTGATCATGCATACAACCAACATAACCATATGTCAGGAACTGTGCTACACACTGAGCAAACAAAGATGAATCAGTTAAAGGCCCTGCTTTCAAGGGCACAATCTACCTAGGGAGATAAAAGCATATAAAATCAACAATAACATTCAATAATTTGTAGAAATGTCTAAAACAACAAAATAAAAATGTATGATGGCAGCACAAAGGCAGACAGTGTGTGTGTTAGAGAATAGCAAGAAAATGCAAAGGCATGAAAATGACACTCTTGTTTAAATCTTACTACTACTTAGAAATCTATTTATAAATAAGGTTTCATGAATGATAAATCATTCTTATCTCTAGAATACTACACACTTCCATTACTCTACTAATGTCACCTCTTGCTGTCATTAAGGCATCTCTTGAACATGAAGAGGGAAAGATCCTGCGCATCCAGCTTGAGTTGAACCAAGTCAAGTCTGAGGTTGATAGGAAAATTGCTGAAAAAGATGAGGAAATTGACCAGATGAAGAGAAACCACATTAGAATCGTGGAGTCCATGCAGAGCACACTGGATGCTGAGATCAGGAGCAGGAATGATGCCATTAGGCTCAAGAAGAAGATGGAGGGAGACCTCAATGAAATGGAAATCCAGCTGAACCATGCCAACCGCATGGCTGCTGAGGCCCTGAGGAACTATAGGAACACCCAAGCCATCCTCAAGGTAAATATGTCCAACAGATGATCCCAGGACAATTGGGGTGCCTGCAACCCTGAATACATGGTGTCTCAATGACGGTTTGTTCCACAGGATACCCAGCTCCACCTGGATGATGCTCTCCGGAGCCAGGAGGACCTGAAGGAACAGCTGGCTATGGTGGAGCGCAGAGCCAACCTGCTGCAGGCTGAGATCGAGGAGCTGCGGGCCACTCTGGAACAGACAGAGAGGAGCAGGAAAATCGCAGAACAGGAGCTCCTGGATGCCAGTGAGCGTGTTCAGCTCCTGCACACCCAGGTGCATGTAATAATAGAATAGCAACAAATACAAGGGTATGAAAATGACATTCTTGCTGAAATCGTGGTACTATTAAGAAATCTATTTATAAGATTTCATGAAGGATAAAGTTTAAAATATTTTATTTTTTTGATTATCTATATTCTTATCTGAACTATAACATCCATAGTTGATTTTTTTTTTTTTTTTGAGACGGAGTCTCGCTCTGTCGCTCAGGCTGGAGTGCAGTGGCGCAACCTCGGCTCGCTGCAAGCTCCACCTCCCGGGCTCACGCCATTCTCCTGCCTCAGCCTCCGGAGTACCTGGGACTACAGGCGCCCGCCACCACGCCCGGCTAATTTTTTGTATTTTTAGTGGAGACGGGGTTTCACCGTGTTAGCCAGGATGGTCTTGATCTCCTGATCTCGTAATCCACCCGCCTCGGCCTCCCAAAGTGCTGGGATTACAAGCATGAGCCACCGCGCCCGGCCAGTTGATTGTCTTTTAAACATATGTCAACTCAGATAATTTATGAAACAAGGAGGAATATTAATGAATTCATTTAGTTAATTAGTTTATGGTTCATTAGAACATGAGGTTTCCTAATTTTTCTCTCATGTGCCTAATATTTCTAAATTTCACATTTTAAACAGAACACCAGCCTGATCAACACCAAGAAGAAGCTGGAGACAGACATTTCCCAAATCCAGGGAGAGATGGAAGACATCATCCAGGAAGCCCGCAATGCAGAAGAGAAGGCCAAGAAGGCCATCACTGATGTGAGTGAAGGGTAACACAGTGGTGGTCAAACTTAAATCTTAATGTGCTGTCTTAGCTGTCTTAACCCATTCTGTTTTACTGCTAATTAGGCTGCCATGATGGCTGAGGAGCTGAAGAAGGAACAGGACACCAGCGCCCATCTGGAGCGGATGAAGAAGAACCTGGAACAGACGGTGAAGGACCTGCAGCATCGTCTGGATGAGGCTGAGCAGCTGGCCCTGAAGGGTGGGAAGAAGCAGATCCAGAAACTGGAGGCCAGGGTGGGTCTCCTAATCAGCATGTATTTCTATCTCATTCCAATCCAACACACGATTCTGAATACCTAGCACTGCTAGATGATGTGGGGCATACTGAGATGAGGGAGAGCTATTCCCTCATGCCCAAAAGCTCATAATAAGGAAAACTGAACTAGGGCATTAAAAACTACATATAAAGCAGAGTAGAAGAAGTATGTGGGTCATGTGAAGAAGTAGAAATTCGTCAAATGAATGTCCTTAAAATGTCCATCTTCTTGTAGGTTCGTGAACTTGAAGGTGAAGTTGAAAGTGAACAGAAGCGCAATGTTGAAGCTGTCAAGGGTCTACGCAAACATGAGAGAAAAGTGAAGGAACTCACTTACCAAGTAAGGAAAATGGCCTGTCTAGGTTTTCACTTTAGTCCACATGGGATTAAAAGTCATATGTATGACAAAATGTAATATTTGTACTTTCAAGAAACTTACTCTTGAAAACATTATTTCAGACTGAGGAAGACCGCAAGAATATTCTCAGGCTCCAGGACCTGGTGGACAAACTGCAAGCAAAGGTGAAATCCTACAAGAGACAAGCTGAAGAAGCGGTGAGTTCACAACCCCTTGGGGTGATTTTTCTCAGACATGACCAGGCCAGTTTAGTTAAAGTGACAAAAGAAAAGATGAGTAAAATGAGGAAGGATCAAAAGAAAACAAATGGCTACATGGAGGTCCAAGGCTGAGGTAAAACCAACCACCTGACAAGCCAGCAGAAGATGTTCTAGAGATGGGGAAGAGCAAATGCAAAGCTTTTGAGTGGGAAAGAGTCTGGCTCAAGAAGCAGACAAAAAAAGGAGGAAAGCACCACAACTGGGACTGGAGAGCCAGGCAGGAGGCAGCTCATAGGGTCTTCCAGGCCATGGTAAGAACAATAAGGTACTGGGAAGCCAGGGAGGGTTTTAATGTGGGTCAGTCACTACCTGATCTATATTTTTTAAAAAGAGCATTTGGGATACTATGTAAAGAATCGGTTACTGGGTAACACAAGTGGGTGCAGAGAGACATGTTAGGAAGCTTTTCAGGTCGGTTCTGTGGCTTGGATAAGAGAGTGGAGCAGAGAGAAGTGGAGAAATTCAGGACATATTTTGGAGGTAGAAACTACAAGATTGCTAATAGGTTGCACTTGGGAGATGAAAGAAAGGCAATTAAGAGTAATTTATCAAGTTTATGGTTTGAGTAACCAAGTGGATGATGTAACACTTAAGTGGGGAACAAAGGGAAGAACAGAATTGCAGGGCAAGAAAGAAACAGGAATTCTGTTTTAGATACATAATACCATATATACACAAGTGAACATGTCAAGTAAATAGTTAAATATAAGATTCTGAAACTCAGAAGGTCTTGGTTATGTTCAAATCAGTAGATTCTTAACACTCCACTTTATCTCATTTCCGTATCCCATGATTCATCTGGATTAATAATCAAATAGTTTCAACTTCCTACATATAAATATTCATAGTTACATATCACAAATGAGTTCCTCTGTTCATTGATGGTTTTTATTTTACCCCTGACATCTAAGGTAAGAGAGAGAGAAAGATGGGAATGGAGGGGAATGAGGGAGGGAGAGAAAACAAACACACTTGTGTGCACGGACACACACACACGCTACTGTCCATACCTCGGACAAATTGCTTAATCTTTCTCCAGTTCCTACTTTCCTCATCTGTAAGAGGAAAAGCTGAGGTTTTTTCTCAAGCTATACTATTTAATGATTCTAAGCTTTATGTCTGTTCTAAATTTGAATGCCACATTTTGGAGGTTCTTACTGAGACTTTTAAATAAGAATGATTACCAGAGACTAAACTAGAACTGACCTGCTCAAATTCTCTGCTATATATTTAAGTATAATCAGAGACAGCTCAGACTATTTTAGGAAACAAACTTCTTGCTTAATTTCTAAACTTAAGTGGCAATAATTTATACTCACATGGCAATAACTTATATTCAAGCTTAATGGTTTGGTTTGGTATAGATTGCATACTTGCACTCTTAAAAGGTTTGGTTCCATTCTCAGGATTCTGAAAAAAACAAACAAACAAACAAAAAAAAAAACAAAGCTGGACACCTGGCATATTTAGTAGTAGCTCTAGGATGTTCTGCTGTTCTAAAAGTTCAGATACAAAGGTCACCTGTCCTTCCTTGTTATCTATGAGTTCAAGAAGCTAATGCAAAAATAAAAAAAAATAAAAATTCAAGAGCATTTCTCTAGGTTTCTTAAAATATCTGCTAGAGTGAATCATTTTTAAGTAAAAAGGAAATTCAAGATCCACTGACCTAAGAATGGAAAAATTCTGAACTTTCTTCCCTCATAAATGGATTTCCATTCACAGGAGGAACAATCCAACGTCAACCTCTCCAAATTCCGCAGGATCCAGCACGAGCTGGAGGAGGCCGAGGAACGGGCTGACATTGCTGAGTCCCAGGTCAACAAGCTGAGGGTGAAGAGCAGGGAGGTTCACACAAAAATCATAAGTGAAGAGTAATTTATCTAACTGCTGAAAGGTGACCAAAGAAATGCACAAAATGTGAAAATCTTTGTCACTCCATTTTGTACTTATGACTTTTGGAGATAAAAAATTTATCTGCCAAAAACTTGTGAGTCTCTTTTTCCCCTCTATGTCAATTTGTCTTTAGAAGTACTGAGAAAAGAAAAACATCTCAACATTTTGGTTACATTTTACAGAAAAGTGCTTAGTCACCAATATTAAGACATGATAGAGAGCAGCTAGGCAGACCCGGTAAGTGCCACCATATGCGTCCCTATAGGAAGTAGGTGAACCTAAAGGTATACCACAAGCCATAAAACATAGAATATTTGGTAAACCTTACTTGACAAAACATAGCTAGTTTCTGTCAATGAAATTATTGATTTTCTTCATAAAATGATAGGAAATCCTTCATCCTAAGGCTGAGTAAAAATAAATTAAAACATGTTATTTACATAAAATGAGAAAAATTTAAAAATTAGATTAAAGTACTGTCAAAAATATTTAAAATGCAAACTCTTCACTATAACTATATGAACCATTTAATTGGGATTAGAATCCCTTGAGAGGGAAGCATGTTCTGTAGGTTTTCTGGCCCTTTGTAAATACAAGAGATTTTTAGTTTTTTGTTATCTACAGATGTTTAGTTTGCTGGATTGTGCCCCCTCCTTGGTTATCACAATCAAATGGTAACCAAGAGTTAAAAATTGTTAAGAAATATGTTTCTATTATGTCTTCTATCTCTTTGGCTACTTCTGTATTTTACAAGGATTTCTTCCTTGTAAGTATATTGATAGCAATAGGTCACTTCATATTTTTTAAAGTCACTACCCTACTCTCATTACTTTATATTTAGATGTCTGTATTGTGCCTTTCTACAGTGCTATGGCAATTATTGTCATCATTGTTGTAACCATGGTATTACTACTACAGGTTTACCTGTACTGAGGGTAGCATGGGCCTTCCACCTATGTCAATTTTTCATACAACATGAGCAAGTAAAATAGCAAGTATCTCATCCATTAAAGACATAACAAAGGTCTTGGAGAATAGTAACCAGTCTACTTAAAAGGAACAATATACAATTAAATGTTTCTAATCTTATGATCCAGTAGGTTAAAATATCCAGTCATACATCTCTGGACCTCAGTTCCTGGGGAAGATTCTCTCTGGGTCATTATGCACCTCCACTTATTTTCTATTGATTACTGGAAACAACTCGCTATTGTAATGCTATATCTTGGGTTGGACTTTAAAATAATTTTAATAGACTTTAATATCCAGTTTTCTCCCAAAGTTTA